>NC_000014.9:56884440-57187470 GCF_000001405.40 Homo sapiens
TAGAAACAAATGCATTATGTATTACTGTTTTGGATATTAGTTCTGAAAAAGCCAACTATCATTCTCAACATCAAAGAGCACCCCTTATCAAGGACTTGGCTGATAGGATAAAGCACTGGCTATTTACCTTATGACCTTGGTCCCAATCCAGATCATATTGCCAATGAAAGGACGTTTGTGATCCCAGCCCCACACAGATAGATGGTAGTCCATATCACCAAGAACACAGATTGGCAAAACTGGCATTTTCCTGCTTAGGAGAGACCTAAGACAGAAAAAAGTCCAGAGCCGTGGAAGTGAAAAAGCATCCCGCTCATACGCCATCCTAGAGATGGCAGTCTTCTCAACTGGACGAGGTGGCTCAGAATAGCAAGCTGGGGATGCGCTCCAACCTGGCTTGCAGATAAAGAAATCTGTTTTCAGAGCTTGCAACTCGTCCAAGCCTATTTTTCAAGCCAACACCTCCTCTCCAAATTCTCCCCTCCCCCATCCCTCTCCTTCCAGAAACAAAAAGCAGAAGGATCTTTAGGTTGCCATTTGTAGAACTAGGTTGATGGCTTTAATCTTTTTAAAGGATGATTGCAACTGAGCTGATATGTTTCAGACTTTGCTTTTAAAAAGGAAGATTAAAAATAGTTAGATATTACATTCTCAGTATAGTTTTTTAGATTACAGAGTTAACAATTTATTACAATTATGCCTGTAGCATCACATTCTCAGGAAGGAGATATACTCCATCAACTGTAGAAAAAACTACACTAGGTAGAAAACTTTTCACTGGCTCCATATGAGTGGTTTAACATTTTAAAAATATATACTTAAAGTCATTAATAAAAGATAATGTAGTTTGTATTTGACATTTGCATTTATTTGATAATAGATACTATAAATATTTCAATGTGTAATATCTTATTTCAGACAATTTCTCTTTGCTTCTATACATTTGACCATTTTTATTTTTCATTCTATTAGTTTACTAATTTAGTCATTCCTAGTCTTTCCAAGAAACATTTTAGTGATTGTAAATAGTTAACATATATTATAATTATACTTATTTGATATTACAAGAAGGGAGGCTTCCAACATCTGGTCATACACCACATCCTTTATTTCCAAATAGAGCTAGAGAACAATCTCTCTTTAGCTGTAAGTTAGGATACTCAGCCAGGCAGGCAATGTGAACTTCTATGATACTGTTATTAGAAGCATTTAAGAGCCTATTCTACATATATGAATACTAAATAACAGCAGCTATTTTAAAAGTGAATGCACATCTCCTGAGTGGGGAAAGGGGCATTGCTATGTGTTTATGTTTCTACTAAAGGAAAACTTCCCTCACCCATAAGAATTAAAGATGACTAGTACCACCCACATAAGGGGAAGTCCATCTATTCTTGTTCTATATACAATACAAAGTGTGACAGCATTGGAGCTTCAGCCTAGCTCAACTTGCTCAGATGGCTCAGGTGGTGGGCTTGAAGGAAACTCAGGTTGGGGAGGTTGTCAGGACACAGAAAATTACATGGAGCTCCAGGCATTCCAATGGTCTTGTCTGGGAAGCGGATCCGTTGATTTTCCATGAGGCTGTTTGTCCTTGGTGCCTAGCATTCCTGTAACATCCATTAGGCTAAATTGGCTTCTCTTACATGCACAGAGGGGAGAGCAGATGAAAGGATACAAATGCAACAGACTTTTATTGTCAGCAAACAAAAAAGGGCACATATGTGCCAGTTTATAAATTACTGTTTTCATTAAAAAGGAGTTCAAAAATCAGGTTCCACTTATCATTGTTAAAACCTTAAATTTTTTTTAGCTGTATGATTTCATTATATGAATTACAGAACAGTAATAGAGTAATATTACTCTTAAGCCAGCTCACTTAAATTTAAGACATTCAAGACCCAATAATGCACTAGGTTCTTTAGTTCAAGTTATGCAAATAATATACATTTTTTATTCGGCTTCCCACCAGGTTATACATGTATTATAAACACAACAAAGGCCCCTTTCTTGTACAATATATTACTCAGAAGCTGGTGAAAAATAGAAGCCAAAATATTGTGAATTACATTCTTTTAATGGTTTGGCTTTGTACTACTGGCTGACATATTTTAAATGCTAAAGAGAAGCTGAACTGGAAAGAGAGAAATGTTGACTCACTGTTCTCTACTACTGTTGCCATTCATACTGATGTTCTTCAATGTCTAAATCAGATTATTATCTTTGTTTTCTTTAGAGTGGAACTAGTAGATCCAGCTTTGCTACATTTGGAAAATCAGCAGGGGGAATGGTCATCTCAAAAAGACAAAAATAAAAGAAGGGACTGAAACTTAACATAAATTACCATGGCTGTCCCTGAACTCAGAACTGGAGAGAACCTTTTTATTCTTTTACACACAGCTTATGATGGAAATCAATACGGATTATTTCGCAAGCATTGTTTCGTAAATATTTAGTATAGTTGCCTAACGTAATTCAGACACTTAAAAAATACAGCCGCTGATGTACTAATTCCAGTCAGGCATTACAGTTTTTAAAAAGCCAAAATTAAAAAAATTAGAACTACTGAACATCTTCTGATGAAAACGATAGTCACAGACTTTGCCCCAAAATTTATGCACTAAATAGTGAGATGGCTCTGTGCTCTTCCGCAGATTTCCACGTTTCCGTGTCTGCCCAATATAGTCAACTGGTAACTAGATCAAGTGAATAAAATAAAGCTAAAAACATTATGGATTTTTCTAAAAAGTGAACAGGAACGTGCTTCTGTGTGTCCTGAAATACACAGATTAGTCCCATTATAATCTCATACTTAAGAAAAAAATTCATTTACTAAGGGAACATTACTTGTTTACACTGGGCAAATTGAAAACAAAAATAAGAAAAGTGGAAAATAAGAAATGCAGTCCTTTAGCTTCATGACGTAACATGAGCTTTGTGGGAACAAGAGAGCATTCCTTTATACTTGTATGCAATCTGAGCTCAGTGGCTTTGAAAGCTCTGAAGTCCTCCACAAAACTCTTTCCTCCCTTTTTTCCCTCTTAAAAAAAAAAACACCTCAACTAATGTATATAATCTCATCAGCATTTCTAACAGAAATTCTCACCTCAAATTTCTTCCTGTGTGAGAGTAGAACCAGTCTCTGGAGTACTTGGCAAAACACCCGAGCCTCTTGTTTAATTCAACAAGTGTGAGTTGTGCTTCTCCTGAAAGCATATAGCTCTTTATACACGACAAAAAGAGCCACAGTGGATGGCAAGCAATCGTGTTTTAAGATGATGCATCATCTGTTTGGATGCTGCCAGTCTTCCCCTGGATCTGTAGATGGCTCCTTTCTTAACAAAATGTAGGCACAGAATTGCATTTACTGTCCACAGTGATGATGTGAAAGATTAAAAAATTGCCCTCCATCAGATTGCTATTAAGAAAAAAAAGACTGTGAGGTCAGAATTATTTCTTAATTGCATTTCACACCTGGTTAAGATAGTGTATACAGCTGCAAGGAGATGAAAAGAATGATTGATCCTTGAAGAGAATAGGTAGAGTAGGCATTGGAAAGCTTGAGAGCAAGGCACACTGGGGTGGAGTGAAAAGCAGAAATCACTTTTGGTAGAATTAATTTCTTGCCAGCATTTGAAAAAGAGGAAAGTGGCTCTGGAAGCAGCCTTCATTCTCCAATGCTGACTGCAAATCCCCCACCAAAACAGTCTCACTGTAAACAGCAGATATTTTAGATGCAATTAGACTTCCATGTGCCATGCACAACAGCTGGGAAGAGTTTGCAAAGTTTTCTCTTAATTTGAGCGGAATCCTAAAGAAATAAAATATCCTGACAACTTTTAGTGTTGTCTTGTGACTTTAAAAAAAAATCAGCCTGTGAAGTATCACTGCTCTGTTTTAGTCTAATGCTACTTCTATCTTTTATCCTTTTTAATTAGAAGGCAAATTCTCAGACCGCCAGGCCTAATCCCTACACAGTGGAACAAAGCCCAGCAAAGCCTTTGAACACTGTTCAGCCGGGCAGCACAAACCCTAGTAACTGTTGGCAGTAGGGGCAGGACTCTGACCCTCATCTCAGCCATTCTCCTGCAGCTCCTGATGCTCCCTGCCCTTCAGAACCCTATCTGTTGTTCTTCTGTTTAGACTGAAAAGACAAAAGAGGAGACAATGTGGGAAACCTAGAGGATTGGCTAGGTAGGATGCAGGGAGCTAGTGACGGATAGGGGCAAGTAAATGGAGTTTCACGGGAATGGACACAGTGGGGAGAATTGGATCACCAGATTAGGTCTTTAGGTTCAAGAAATTTCTTCATCCCTCACTAAATCTTTTCATGGACAATGCCACTTTTTAAACAATTGTTGCATTTCCAATTACTCCAGGAGTGTTCAAACAAATGCCCCAAACCCTCCATGAAAAGTTTGCTCATATTTTAAACTCGCCAGATGAAAATGAATAAAACAAATACCCCCCAAATCAGTGGCAGACACTTACATCTCCAAAGTATTTACGCTTGTAATAATATTTGAGTCAAGAGCATAATTTGAGCTCACTCAAGCAAAACATGGAACTAGACAGAAACGTGAATTTTCAAAGCTAATCGGAACAATCATGAATCAAAAAGCCAAATTCCAAGTATGCAAATATGAAAAAGGATTGTTTGCATTTCCTACTTTGGCTAACTGTGAATTATTGAACAATGAAACAACAGATGCTACTACCATGTTGCAAACTCTTCCAAATTGTTCTTAGATTGAGCTACGTATGTGTGGGAATTACTGTCTGATGCCAGGATGTTTAAGAGTTGTAATGGGATTTCTGAAAAAGATAGGCATCTTCTGTTTTTTTTGTTTTTGTTTTTGTTTTTAGATATGTGGAATAGATATGTCAAGAAAAAAAGAGAAGAAAAAAACCCTTTATTGGAAATATTTTTAACAGTCTCTCAATTCTTAAACACAGCAGGTTTTATAAAGCCACTTTCAGTTTTCCTTCTAATGTCTGCAGAAAACCCAACATATGTAGTGAAATACTTAACCCAATCATTAGGGTTGTCTTTGTAACCAAATATAAAATGTGTTACTGATCTGGTTTTGGGTCATTAAGAGGTTAATTTAAATCATAGGAAAGGATTCATTCAGGGGTTTAGATGAGTATTGTCCAATAAATGTGTACATTTTATCAAGTTATCTTAAATTCAAAGTTAGAGCTAACACTTTTAAGGAAGCTTCCATTTTAAAAGCTCTCAGTAAAGACAGATATCCCAAGTTTTATATTTAAATAAAATATGATTTCAAAATTATTAAAGTGTAAGTTTTACATGGATTTCTAGCATTTATTTTGAGAACATATGCTTATCTTATTAAAGGGACAGCAATTACTGTAACTACAGTCCATTTCTGTACAATTTCTATTATTCAAATGACAAAACCCAATATCTTCCTCCACATTCTCCGTCTTTGTGCTGAATAAGCAAATCTTTTCTCCAGGTCAAAAGTGGTAAAATAGGTGAAATCCACAGAGATAATGAAATACAACTATGGGTAATATAAAAAATGATGCAGCATTATTGGCAGTCGTCTCTCAGCCTGCTTTTAGGTTTGTTTTTACCTTTGATCTTATCAAAAAATATACAAAATATAGCTACTTACATCCATACTCTTTAAGTACATCTTATGTTCATCATTTTTTCTTTTTTATTTAAATAAAAACTGTCTGAAAAATTAATACACTAGTTATTTCAGGGCTCTAAGCAGTGATCCTAATTTGCAAATAAAAACACTTAAATTAAAAAAAAATACTTTTTGTAAAGACAGAAGCCACTTAAAGAAATTGTCTGAATGTTTGCACGTATTTCACTGTCTAATGCTCCAATGGAAATGATCAATAAACATTTGCATAAAAAAGACCAAATTCATTGCATGTGTGTTTTAATAATAATTGGAAATCTTTACCTAGTGGAAAATTATTTCTTGTTGTTCTGCATGCACGTGCCATCTTTTGCAAGTAGGCAATTAAATCCAGCAGGCAACGTTCTGTAGTGATACTTGGGGTAGTTCTGAAAGTTCTAAAGATTCAGAGGTAGTCCTGCAAATGCACATAACCCACAGCTAAACACAGTTCCCATAAATCAAACCTGGCATCACTTCTACTATTAGGGAATGGCTTTTGTGTTTGTTTTTGTCCCCCATCACTATCATCTACCTACTCACCTTAATCATGTATATGAAATAATTTTATTAGAATTGAATAGAAGAGATTCTTGATCAGAGGAATCTAAAGCTTTTGAAGACAGCTTTTTCTTTTAAGAAACTAAGACTTGCGTGAACCATGACAATGCAGCACACCTAGTTATCAAACAGGGTTGAATATACTCATTAAAACTTACTAGAATGTGAACATTAAAATAACTGCTATATTTCCCGTTTTCTCTTTCTTAGGATCCATGCAACTTAGGTGTACATAATAGGTTTGAGTCGATTGGGTTGCCAAAATTAAAATATTTTTTGTGGAGGTTAGTTGTTGTTATTGTTACTGTTTCTTCTACTGAATAAAGCTTTCTTTACTAAGAATAAAGCCTTAGAGAGTTTCTGAAGCTTATAATTTAATGACCATAAATACTAAGCTCAATCAAAACAAATGCTAAAAAAAAAAAAAAAGGAAAAGAAAAGAAAAGAAAAAAAAAAAAGCCAGCTCTTAATTCTGTATTCTGATCCATCAGTGACTGTATAACTATATCATTAACGATGTTCTCTAACTGGGGAAGTCCCTACCCTAGAGTGTAAGGGATCAAAGAAAACATTCTTTTCTGTCTGGTACACTTAGTAGTCCTGCCTCCCAACAGTGGGATAAAAGGAACTTGCTAAACTGTTGCCATTTTGCAACATCTGCTATAATTCCCCTAAATCCAGATTTGCCTGACACAGAGAGGCCTGTTCTTACATCATTGCCATGTGACAGTATAACACCAGTCACATCAAGCTTGGGGATTGCAGCTTCAGGCTATGATAATATGAAGAAAACCTTTTTGCCTAGGGCAAAACACTTGTAACAAAGTATTATTCATCTGGCCAATTTAAATCTTCTCTCAAAAAGGTATCCAGAAACATATGCAGTATTCCTTTGTAAAAGGCTGGAGCAGCTCATAGGCAAATGACCTGAACCAAGAGTACAAAACCTAATGTCCTGATTAATTACTGCTAAGCAGCTCTGATACACAGAAAGGAGAATGCTGGTACTAATCCTTAACCCTGTCCTACATTCTCAAAATAGGCCAAACATTGCTGACAGTTACAAAAACAAACCTGTCCGGGTTTGTTTTTTTTTTTTTTATAGTAGTACATTATCACTCAACGCCCTCCACCTTATAAAACAAGGATGCAGTTCATATCAGTAGACAGATCAGGGAATTACCAGTCCAGGGGACTTCTTGGGACAAGGGCACAGGCTCACAGAAAGAAAATATCTGAAGGCACAAAAAAATCTAACAACACACACAAACTCAAACAGAAATATTGCAGGTGTTCTTATTTTCAGAGATCAGCTTGCATAAGATTGAGCTTTTCCAAAAATTGTTCCTTGAGTTGAGCAACCTCAACACAGCAATTCTTTGCTGATTAATGTGGAGCAGACAGACTGTAATGCTTAGGATTTTCTTAGGATGAGATGTTCAAATTCCCTTTACCTATAAAAATAAGGGGATACTCATAGTTCACTAAAAATATCAGACATTTTATAATTCCAAACTATTTGAATTGTGAAGCTATATTGGCTTCGATCACTCAAATTACAGGTACTTTTATCAATAAAGCAGACATCTGGAGTTTCTTTCACTTTTGCTGAGCAAGAAATCAATGGTTAAAAGAAGAAAGTCCTATATAAGGAAAAAGGAAGTTGCATATCTTAGCAGATTTTTTTCAGTTTTTAAAACAATCAGAAAGTAACTAAAATACAGCTCACGTTACTACCAGTTGTGACAGTTTTATATCATAGGTTAATCACATTAAAATATACCTCTCTTGGGCTTTATGTGTGAAACCTGGCACTCAGATAGCACTAATTCAAAATAAATAATGAACCTTACCTATTTTGAAGACTGCCTTTAATTTGACATTATTTTACAGGCACACTCCCGCCTCAGTTTTCCAAGAAATAGTGAGAAACAGGAAGCCAATCAAGGTCAAAATTCTGAAGGGCCAGCCTAACTATCATAGGGTCATTTTCCCCAGGTAGCTACTAAAGGAGAGGAGACATATTTTCACCTGAAATACACTCATTATTAAGTCTAATACCATTTTAGATTTTGAAGACTTCTGTGTGTAAGCCCATTATTTTTAGACACAAACATTTTCACACAGCACAGCAACTCATCCAGTGTTTAACAGACAGCATAAGAAATGAATTTTCCACCTGTCCAGATAAAACAGGATGCCGGAAGCCCAAGACAATACAAGAAGCTGGTTCAACGTAGCAGCCTGAGTGTTGACAGTCTCTGCTGTTTTTCACAGCATCATGTACTTGTTTCTCTTTGTCCAACTTCTTTTCCTTCTTTTCCCTACCCATTTTCCCTCTCTCCCTTCCTCAGCTGGTCCCCAAGGGATGCACTTTAGTTTCTCAACAATCCTCATCACTACCCTCTCCCCACACCCGACTTTCTGAATTGGAGTGACTCACCTTCTCATTAGTGGGGTTGTAACTCTTGAGTCAAGTCACCTGGGTTCATAACGTCTTCACAATTCTGAGCAACACCTGCTCCCGGGCATGACGACTTTTGATGGCAATTGTCCCTCCCTGAAGCCTGAAGCTCCGACTCTATTCAGGGGCAGAGTAAAGAACCAAATAGCTGTTTCTCAGGTTTGGACATCCCACTTGACAATCCTGCAGAAGTGAAAGAGTTGCTTTATTATCTGCAAAGATTGACACAATTTAGGGGGAACTTTCTCCTTTCTGGTCTGTGGCAGGTTTTCTTTTGCAGATTTAAAACAGAAAAGTTAAGAAGGTTGAAAATCACTGCCCTTCCTGGAATTTGAACTGAATATTATTAGGACTGGAAATACTCAAGCATTTCCTAGTTTCCCTTTCACTAATCAGTCTCTCTAAGGCATAGGAAGTACAATGGAGAGCACATATATTTTGGATTAGAGAGACACAGGCAGGCTTAAAACCTGGCTCTCATTTATCAGCTCTACGATCCTGAGTGAATTACTTGACCTCTCTGAAACTCAGTTTCCTCAGCTATAAAATGGGGGCAAGTAAGGCCTATTTCACCCCGTTGTTGGGAGGATCAAATGAGATAATGAATGTAAAGCAACCTCTTTAACCAACCACAACAATCCTATTAGGCATTATAATCTCCATTTCACAGAACGGGGGAATGGGGAATGATTCAGGAAGGTTAAAGCACATGCCAAATGTGACAGTCACATTGTAGGTGTTTAGTAAACGGGGTCTATTATATTCATCAACCCAAGAAGCATGGATTCTCACCTATCTCAAAATAAATCGTTAGCAAGTTGGAGGGCCTTTGCTCTAGTGGGTGAAACAGCCAAGCTTCCTTTTTAAATAGCTCCTCGGAGGCCTTTCCAGGAAAGCCCAAAGGGAAAGGTTCTTCTCATTTTCCAAACCCTGACTTCATTGTAGGCATTACTGAAATGTTACCTCTTTAGTCAACTCGACGACACTTCTAGTTACCATCTCCTTTTCCCAGAGCAGGATCCAGAACTTTGAGAAATGTCAAATCATTTGTCAAAGGTCATAGGTATTACTTATGTTGGAACCAGATTTGTAAATCTAGATCTCTATGTCCTTGAAGACAATGTTTTTCCCACCCCGGCTCATGGCTCTCACTCACCACCCATCTGCTCAGGGCATGGAACCATGGTTAGATGTTGGAGGAAGAATGGCTAAACCTTTTCAAGGGGCATGCTCTGTGGCAGGTTCTTCTGTTAGCCCAACAAAACCATCACGTTTTCTAGAATGAAGCCTAAATAGAAATGAATCTTAAGTAAAAAGCAGAAATCAGGGTCAAATAACTAGATCAATAAACTGAAAAGGGCAATACAGTGGAAGGCATTTCAAGGTGCAAAACAAAGGAGAGGAGAGTCAGATCAAATTCCAAATCATTTCCAGGAGGAATAGGGACCTAACAGTACAAACTTTTAATTGTGTACATGCTAAAAGGTTTAGAAAACCAGGTTAGTAATAATGGAGATGTTTCTCTCCTGCTGATTCCCACTGTTCTTTGTACCTCACTTTCCCCTCCAACCCAAACCCCACATCCTCTCTGGCTCACTAGGGATTGTGAATGAAAGACAGAAAATGAATTTAAAGAATCCACAAGGGTACTCTATATCCTTGCCTTCGCACCGACCCTCAGGTGATTAAAGAAATGTGCATATGAATCACCTAGTGATCCTGTTATAATGCAGATTCTGGTTAAATAGGTCTTGGGGTGAGGCCTCCATTCTGCTTTTCTAACTGGGAGCGCAGATTTCAGATAACATCACTCAGATTCTTCAGCTTTTCTTGAAATGTCAGTGCAGCCCTTAGAATTCAAGGTATCCTCGTGGAAGTGGGGCCGTGAACTCTGAAGTGTTACTCCCTCCCAGACCTCAGAGGACTCTCAGCTGGAGGTTCTCGATGGTTAGAACAGAATCTGCCTAAGTAGAACAGGCACTCAAGTTAGAGCAGGCAGGCAACTGATTGTATAGACTCTCACCTCGAATCAAAAAAAGACAGGAAAAGAAAGGGCTGTAAGAGACCTAACTAACCCAAATGATAACCTGTGAATACAGACCAGACCCTGATTGTCTTAAAATCAAATTTCTTTCCAGTTGAACTTAAAAGGTGAACAATTGGCTGGCAGTAGGGCCTATTGGATAGAAGTCAGGGAGACGGGACGGTGAGTCATCAGGAAAGGCAAAACTATACTGATCCAGCACAGAACTGGGCTGGAGCAGGGGTCAGTGGGGACCTTCTCCTTCTTTTCGTCGGTTAGGGTAACTTTTCTGGCCCTGATAAAGTGAAAGAGAGTCAAGTGGGTGATTTGTACAACTGGTTAAGGCTTAAGGACATGAATTCTGCTGGAGGGGGCCAGAGGAGGGGTTGAGCCAGCTTCATGAATGCTGCTTCTACCCACCAGGGCTGAAAACTTTGGCTGCAGACAAGAGAAGGGCACAGCTCACTTTTTCTTTGGCTTTGTTTCTTGAAAACCTGCTAAATCCCAGCAGCTGCACCTTATATTGTCTTATATCACCCAGTAGCAGATTCAGGTTGAGGCTGAGGTTGAGAATATGATCAACAACCCCAGGATTTGGGGCCGGGCACGATGGCTCATTCTTGTAATCCCAGCTACTTGGGAGGCTGAGGCAGGAGGATTAGTTGAGCCCAGGAGTTGGAGACCAGCCTGGGCAACATGGTGAGACCCCCAGCTCTTTAAAAAAAAAAAAAAAAAGACTGGGCACCGTGGCTCATACCTGTAATCCCAGCCCTTAGGGAGGCCAAGGTGGGAGGATTGCTTGAGCTCAGGATTTGGAGACCAGCCTGGGCAAGATAGTGAGACTTCATCTCTACTAAAAAACAAACAAATAACAACAGCAACAAAACATGAGTGCTGGTACATTTCTGTTGACCCAGCTACTTGGGAGGCTAAGATGGGAGGATCACTTGAGACCAGGAGATCAAGGCTGCAGTGAGCTATGATTGTGCCATTGCACTCCAGCCTGGGCAACAGAGCAAGACCCTATCTCAAAAGAGACAGACAGAGAGAGAGAGAGAGAGAGAGAGAGAGAGAGAGAATTCCCAGGATTTGGGTATCATCACCCATTCCCTGGGAAGATTGAACAATATTAGATTTAAACCTACCTGCCCTCTGCCCCTGTGCTTGGTACTCCCAGGCAGAAAAGGCAATGAACAAGGTCAAGAATGCTCAGATGATCTAGAATGCCCTGTTGGGCAATTTGGTGAGAGAATGACAATGTGGGTCGGTTCCTGGTGTCTCATAGCAAGATTGTCTCTTGCATAAATTTTTTAAAAGTGCTCTTGGCAAGATAAAGGTATGAAGCTATGAGACATATACTCAAGTGTTTGGAAAAATTGTAACAATTAATCAGCCAGGCATGGTGGCTCACACCTTAATCCTAGCACTTTGGGAGGCTGAGGAGGGCAGATTACTCAGGAGTTCGAGACCAGTCTGGGCAACATGGCAAAATCCAGTCTCTGCAAAAAAAAAAAAAAAAAAAAAAAATTACAAGAATTAGCTGAACTTGGTGGCACGCACCTGTGGTCCTAGCTACTCAGGAGGCTGAGGTGGGAGAATCACCCAAGCCCAGGAGGCAGAGGTTGCAGTGAGCCAAGATCACACTACTGCACTCCAGCCTGAGTGACAGAGTGAGACCCTGTCTTAAACAAACAAACAAAAAACAATCGTTTTCAATTATTGAAAAGGAAAATCATTTTCTACTGGTGATGAAAATACATGCTACCTCATAAGCTCGGCAGACCAGCTCCCTCTTTTCAGAAGCTGGACAGAACCAGTGGTAGAAGTAAAGCCCTGTGAGTCACTCCACTTAGGCCAGCTACCATTTCACATCGCTAACACCCCCTCGAATCTGTTAACACTTTTTTTTTTTCCTAAAAACTTTCTTAGTGGATGTGGAAAAAAAAGGGAGGGCGGAGGGGCCTGGGGGATAAAGGCTACTGTCAAATTGATTAAGTGAACGCTCATTAGAGAAAGTAACAAGAGGCAAAATCTGCATATGCATTGCAGAAATGTGTCTGATCTTGCTTAAGTTGTAAAAGACAAAAAGGGCTGAAAACCTCCCTCGCTGGAAGTACTTGAGGGAGAACTGGGGGAGGGGAAAGTTCTCTAACAGTAACTTTCTTTCATTGTAAACACAAGCTAGAGCAGCCACAGACTCCAACACTCTGGTACAAACTTTGTTTTCTAATAATTTGTAGTACGATTATTAAAAAAAAAAAATTTAACCTGACTGTTCTTAGAATACACTAGCCACTTCCTCAATTTCTTTTAATGTAAGATGTGTGTGTGTGTGTGTGTGTGTGTGTGTGTGTGTGTTTTGAGACGGAGTCTCGCTCTGTTGCCCAGGCTGAAGGGCAGTGGCACAATCTCGGCTCACCGAAGCCTCCACCTCCCAGATTCAAGCGATTCTCATGCCTCAGCTTCCCAAGTAGCTGGGATTACAGGCTTGTCAAAGGTACATGGAGACTTAAACCAGTTGATTTTGTGTCACTGGGGCATAAGTTTTGTTATTGTGCAGTACAGAACAGAATTTTTTCTTCCCCACTTTTAAAAGAAAAACAAGGCTTCAGTCAACTATTTGTGTGTGTGTGTGTGTGTGTGTGTGTGTGTTGTGTGTATGTGTGTGTGTATGGTTGTTGGAGGTGGGTGGGGGCAACCCTCACCAAAGTCTTCTAGCTTATTGGCCCAAACAAATAAATCTAGAATGAAGATCCAGATTCCAGGTAGCAATGTTGATTTTGGAGGAGATAAGGGTCCCTCTGCTTCTTATGATGGTCAGCTTGGTAGTGTAATTCCAATGCTTACGCTAGCTACTTGGATAACCCTTTTAAGAGGATAGTAGTATTTCCAGTTGTCCCCATCTATGAGGGTGGCTTAATATTACAGCCCTAGGATATCATCAGGATAACCCTGATGATTTTTTGTCGGTATGTATTTTTAAGGACAAACGTTTCAAAAATAATGTCAAGTCTGAAGGCCCTGTTAATGTTCACACTCATGCATTCTTGCGATTAACGTTAAACGTTTTTGCTAATACCTCTAACTTGCCTCCTCCTCTCATGAAACCTAACCAGAAAATTTCTTAATGAAAGCGATGATGATGTCGACCTTAACCTCCAGAATGAAGATACTTCAGGACTTAGTCTGAGAAGGTAAGATAGACGATGACATCAAATGTACCCCAGTTGGCAGAAACCCTTAATTTTGTGAAGTTAAAAGTAAGAAAGACACAAACCTGACATTTCTTAGGTTTAGAAGATAGTCAGCATAGGTACTTGAGGTGTGAACCTAATTGTCTTGAAGATTTGAAAAGAAATGAGTAATAATCATAATTTTGTGCCAGAGAATGTTCTTTGAAATATCTGCAGACTGGAGACAAAGCAGTTCTTCTCCTATATGGGGTTGTCTGAGCCGTTTTGCACCATTATGTGCTTCGGAGATCCTTGTAATTACAAATTTAAGACTTAAATCTTCAGTCCTTCTTTATATTTCTAAACTACCCCCATAGGTATATTTACTTCTTTCTTTTGTCAAGCTTAAACATTTCCAATTACCTCAGCCTCTAAAGGGAAGCGTGATGGTTAAATTCCTGCACTAGTAATGACACTTATTAATCTAGTTCTGGTGAGAAATGTTGAACCTCTTGCCTTCCCAAATCATACATTTTAATTCTGAACACACCTCCAAAGAACACTGACATTGTTTAATTAAAATAAGAGTGCACATTAATAAGAAAGGATATCATTTTGTCATTTATATGTAATTCTATTTTGTTAAAAAAAAATGAACAGAGACTGGTAAGTTCCATAATTGCCCTCCATGGTGAAGAAATAAGTGTAGGAGAGAAGAAAAGCACAGTAAGACACATATGTTAGTAAAACACTCCTTAATACTACACAAGCTACAGAAAATGCTACTTTGCATTTGGTCCTCAACGTGGCTAACTGCAAGCCATTGAGTAAAAAGTGTACCTTTTAAACTAATTCCTTGGTCAGAAGATAGAGCCACATCTTGAAGCCTCCTCATTAATGTGCTATAATGGTCAAATAAGAGATTAATAGCAAAGTCACCTGCTAAAGCAACCAGGAACCTGTTGATTAACAATAAGCCTCCAAAAAATAAGATACCAGATTGCAAAGCAAAATCAAGTCCCAGGGCAACAAGTGCTTCTGTAATTTATTCCTTCTTTATATGAGGGCATAAAGCTCCCTTTATAAATGTGTTTTCTAGGTCCTGCTGTGAGCTGTAGGTGTGAGCTTTTCAGCTGATTTATTAATTTTAGTTTCAATCAACGTGTCACCTGCAGACACAAAAATGTAGGCCTCACCACAGAAAATACAATTTAAGGAAAAAAAAAAAAGAAAGAAAGAAAAAAATGGGGCTTTAATTCAAAAACTCTGCCAAGATTTTTTTTTTAAGATGAACACTGGAACGCCTATTCTTTGAGATCTAAAATAATTCCCAGCAACGTAATTAAAAAAATCAAAATTAAACATTTTTGTCATACTTCGAAAGTCAGTCTTAGACCCAGGGAAGAGTAACATGACGCTGCCAAAACAATCAGCTACTCTTGTCAGTAGGGGTACATTCTCCCCAAAGAATCGAATGAACAACAAGTCCCCTGGGCAAAATGTGCAAAAAATTCTCAATTAGTTGTCTTTATTTAGTGAGCACTATGGGGTCCTCAACCACACTATAGAATTATGGCAAGAAAGCTGAGCTCTTCACTAGCTTATTAGCATTCTCAGAGGGTTGGAGTGCTGCTGATAGCAGGCTGTTGCCTCCAAGAGCTGTTGGTGGGACCCCTACACTCCCGGGCTTTGTCCTTTTGTCCTTCTAAGCCAGCAGGAAGTACTGCCCCATGTTCAGGGCATTCTGGGATACCTTCATTCCATTCACAGTTTGCATTACCGACAGGGGCCGAAGTCTTTGTTATTGACTATGACCATCACTGTTGCAGGTTTCAATGAAAAGCAAAAGCAATCTGTATCAGTCAATTCTAAATGAAGGTTTAGGAAGTAGCCCCCTTCCAAATGAACATCCTTGTAGGGCTAGAGTGGCCTTACGTGGCCAAAGCCCCATAGGAAATCAAGGTCTCGGCTTATAATCTGGCTGCTGCATTCTTTTCATCCGAAAACTACAGTGTTAGGCAAGGGAACCAAAATGGGAGTGGGCTAACGCATATTCCAGACTGGTGCCTCAGCATATACATTTTTACAGCACTCCTTTGCCCATAGAGCTCCCCCAACACCCTCCTTCCCACACAAACCCACCTATCCCTAACTACCCTTTCCCCAGAAAAAGAAAACCAGAAAGATGAACACAATGAAAAAGAACTGGCAGCAACTATTAGAAATGCCTTTTCTAAAGAAGAGGGTATTTGCTGCTTTAGGGAAAACACTATCATTGACTAAATTAACAAGTTGTCTTATCAACTGCCATAAGCCTTGGAGTCTAATTAATTTAGTACTGATCAATAGTCCTGAATGAGGCATTGATTTCTGCCTGCTTGACAGGGCTGCAGCTGAAATCACTTTCTCTGTATGCCACACACACACACACAAACACACACACACACACACACACACGCACACACACACACGCACACACACACGGGCACCCGAAGCTTATGCGTTATCACATTAAGATTTTATTTCCCTCATCCCATATGGACATGAATTTCATGAACCAACTATAAATGAGGAAATGGGATGTAAAGCAACTTTGGAAGTAAGAACAGATTCACCAGAAAGTGCAAACAGAGCTTGAACACTCCCTGCCAAAGTTCTGCTTTATTTGAAAATGTCCTCTGAGTGAGATAAAACATTTAAAAAGAAAAAAGAGAAGCTGAAGGGTTTTGCTTAAAATACATAGTAGATGCTCTAATTGGTCACGAAACATGTAAAAATGGATTGGGTTATCCAAAGAGTAATATTCTTCTGTCTCTTGTTTTTTAAATGCTGATGATACTTTATTAAAAATATTCTGACCTAAAGAAATAAAAGCAGTAATGCTCTCTGGCCAAGGGCAGAAGCAGATGGGGAGCCTTTGATAAGAATGAAAACATGTGAAAGATCTACCCCAGATTTGTCTTTCACTGCTGCGATTGGTGAGCTAGGGGTGGGGGTGCAATGAGGAGGACTTCCCACTCTCCCCACCCCCACACACACCAAAAAAAAAAAAAATCAATGGGGATAATACTGGGACAGTATATGTTCAAAATAATTTAAGCATTTGACTTTTTAATTTTTACTTGGACTGACAAGATATTTATTCTATTAAGATATATATTCCAAAAAAGGGCTAGGTTTGCATCAATGTTTTCACATTTTCCTAGGACACAACCCTGCATTTTCTTTTGGGCCCCTGCTTGTTTTTGCGGCTGTTCATTCTCATTGTGCAAGGCCTCCTTTTGACACTCCTGAAAATCCCGGGACCTTCCCCTTAGGCCAGGCCACCGGACAGTTTTTTCTCCCATTCTTAAACATGACTTGAAATAAGAAGGACAGCAAAACTTTTCAAATATTTTAAAGATGATGCTTCAATTTCAAACAGGGAAGGAAGATAACTCAAGAGCTTGACTATCTCAGAACGATTTTCTATTCAATAAACATCACCAAGAAAAGGAAAAGGAAGATAGGAGAACTGAAAATATAAACTGCCTTTTTTTTTTTTTTGAGACAGAATCTTGCTCTGTCTCCCAGGCTGGAGTGCAGTGGTGCGATCTCGGCTCACTGCAACCTCCGCCTCCTGGGTTCAAACAGTTCTCTGCCTCAGCCTCCCGAGTAGCTGGGATTACAGGCGCCCGCCACCACGCCTGGCTAATTTTTGTATTTTTAGTAGAGATGGGGTTTCACCATCTTGGTGAGGGTAGTCTTGAACTCCTGACCTTGTGATCCACCAGGCTCGGCCTCCCAGAGTGCTGGGATTACAGGCGTGAGCCACTGCGCCCAGCCTGAACTGCCTTCTTTTACAGGTTGGAGAAACCATCTAAAATGATCAAAACAAAACAAGGAATTCATATTCTTTCCTGAGCATTTATTTAATACCATTTAGCTTTTTAAAGATTACACACACACACATACACACACACACACATACACACACACATATATATTTGAAAGTCCTAGGAGAGTCCCACCCTTAATCTCTTTGAGGCCTCTATGAGTTTCCATAGCACTTTACAAAAGATCTTTATTGAGGAAAGGATTGGACAAACTTTCCTTATATGTGTGGCCCACACCATTAATTGCCCCATCTCCTTTAGTAAGGCCTTATTCCTATGTAAATACCCTTGCATAATGTTACAGGCTATTGTTAGGCCAGCGCCAGTCAGTCGCCACTTATATGCATTTTTACTTCAATCCGCTGCTCAGAGAATGAAAAGATGTCTGGACTTAAGCTGTTTACCAACTGGGCCGAAGCTGCAGAGCGGCAAAACTGAAGAAAGCCCCAAGCAACTGCAGGAACAAGCTTTTACAATGCGAGCAGCCATTTTCAGTTGAGTTATTAACCCACCCTGAAACTCTTCTAAGCTATGCCTTTTTTAAAGAACAAATGTGCTGAATCAAACATGAATGAGCCAGAACTATGAAGAGAGAAATCCTCTAAAGAACTATTGAA
The DNA here is from genome assembly GCF_000001405.40 of Homo sapiens. Classification (NCBI taxonomy): domain Eukaryota; kingdom Metazoa; phylum Chordata; class Mammalia; order Primates; family Hominidae; genus Homo; species Homo sapiens. The sequence continues at coordinate 56,902,817 of NC_000014.9, forward strand.
CACAACATAGGTTTGTAATCATTTTGTCTCAGTTGCCTGCTACCAACATTATCAAGGATGATAATGCTGGCTCAGTTGAGGCAATTGTCTCATAATTAAACAATAGTGCGGTACAGTAAAAACACACATGCAAGCGACACACATTCCGAATCACAAAACAGTGTGCAAGGCTGAGTTAATAGCTCACCACCAGGATCTACTACTAAAACCACCAGGATTTGACTACTAAAACACAGTGATCTTTAACGAGAACATTGGAAAACGCCTCCAAATCCAAGTCTGTGTGATTCTCTCAACCCTATGTGGCATCATCTGTGCTTAAATAGAAAAAAAAAAAGTTTTTTTTTACTTTATAGTTGTAATGATCCCCCGGCATGACACACCATGAAAATAAAGGAGCAAAATTCTACCAAAGGGAGCTAGCTTTTTTCTCTGAAATATGTGCTACAGGCAAAGATCATTGTATGTATTTAATGGCATCACAATCTGAGTAGTGTGGTATTAGCCTAAAGAAACTCTTGACTATTTGCATGCTTATTAGGATCCAATGAGTACTTAATAAGTGGATATATATGACAGAAAACATCTCATTGCATAGTTAGTGCTACAGGAAAGACGGGAAGACACACACACACACACACACACTCTGAAGAAAGCAGTCTTGAGTTAATTAACATCACAATGCAATCAAGTACAACAGTCATAGCTGAAAACCATTTCTATTAAAGCTGCTAGACTCAACCTTGCCTCTGCAGGTCAGCTATGGCACTGATAACCTTTCCAGCAGACAAATACATGTAACATCGCCTCATCTAATTAAAAGCTCAGGGAGGTGTAGAAAAATACCAGCACATTGAATCCAAGCAAATGAGTGCTGCCTTCGGCTGATGAAGCTACCATATGCTGCTGCTGTTTACTCTGGAAGGAAACTGAGTCACTTAACATTTCAATAGGTTAATCAATTGACAATTAAATAGAGAAATTGGTTAACTCTGAAAACAATTAACATGACACGCCATTAAGTACACTTTCTAATTGCCACAGCTGTGAGTAGAAATTAACGTGCATGTTAAAGGATCTAACTGGGGTGGCACTGTTTTTGTGTGTGTGTTTAAGAAAATGGAATTAGCTGAAAAGTCGGGTTTTACTTTTATAGATTAGACAGTAGGAATTCTATCATCAACTGCCGTTTTAGCAGAGGGGAGCTATGTATGCTTTTTCCTTCTTTTAAGGACTCACTTCAAGTTGTTGAAATATTTAATTTGCAATAATTAATTAAAATAGCCCAAACCCCTCCCACCAAATTACAGGTTGGTGAACAAAAAGAGAAATCGCTCCCTTTGCCCATTTTGTGGACAGAATTACTTTGCAGGAACAGGTATATTTCAAGATTTCCTTTCTAATTAAACAATGCAATGCACACATTGTAAAGACAGAATTTTCACTGAACATTTTCATGAATGGTTTCTGGTTGTTGGCTGTATCCTGAACCTTACTGTAAAATGGTAACAATAGTGTTTGCTAGTCACAATTTTAAATTAGAAGGCCAAGAGTTTGGATTTTATAGACTAATACACATGCCTGCTATAGCCAGTTGGTAAGACAAAGAATATTCATTTACAAAAGAGGTGATAATTTAAGTAAATCATAAATCTTTTGATGTATGTTAAAAGCCAAATACATATTTTTGAATGAAAGAGTATCTTTAAGAACTGATTATCAAAATTATTTTATGTAATCTCTCCCCCCTCATCCTCCTTACTACCTTTTTGGATAACTTTACTATCTCTGGATGCTCAAAGATGAATAGGATAAATCCTACTTTTAGGGACTGATGGTCTGGCAGTGGGGAGAGTAGCACTGGAGGAGAAGAGGCTAAAGGACTTAGTGAGCTGGTGCAAGAGAGGAACACTAAGAAGACTGAAAGTTTTCTAGTTTGGACCCCTGGTTTGGTAGGGAGATTATTAATCAAAATAAAGAAGGAATGCAGGTTAGGGGTGGGGTGGGGATAACAGATAGTAAATTTAATTTAGGACATCCTGAATTAGAAGTGTCATAGGTGCAGATGTCAACTAGGCAATTAAACATATATACATATACACACAAGTATTTACATAGTATATTTACACGTATATATGTATTTATGTTATACACACACATACTATATATATGTGTATATATATACCTGAAACTTGTGGACTAGAGATTTTTGGGAGTTGTCAGACTATTAGCAGCCACCCGCTAAAAGTCTGGACACCTGGTTTAGTAGTGAGGTCATTCATCAAAATAAATGAGCAGGTGGCTGCTAATGATATGGAAGTAGATGAGACTGTCTATGGAGAACACGTACAATATGAAGAATAAGAGAAGAAGGCTGAGAACAAGATCTTAGGGAATACCGTTATGAACAGGGTAGACAGAGGAAAAGCCAGCAAAGGAAACTGGGAAGAAAGAGGAAAAAAAGGAGAATGAAAAGAGAGTTGTCATGGAAGTCAAGGGACAAGAGAATGACTACTACCCATGGTTAGGTAGGAGATCAGCAGGACATGTTTTCCAAGCACTGGTCACGAGATCCTGCTCAAAACAGGAGCTGATCAAAACGATTTGCAACAAAGGAACTGGTCAAAACCAGCTAAACCCAAGATGGCAATGAAAGAGACCTCTGGTTGCCCTCGTTGCTAGTTGTATGCTAATTATAATGCATTTACATGCTAAAAAAAATTCCCACCGGTGCCATGACAGTTTACAAATGCCATGGCAACTCCTGGAAGTTACCTTATATGGCTTAAAGAAGGAGGTAGCCTCGGTTCCAGGAACTCCCAGAAGGTTCACAAATAGCCCACTCTTTATTTAACATATAATCAAGGAATAGCCATTATATAGCTAGCCAGCAATCTACGAGGGCTGCTGCTTCTGCTGCTGCTACTACTGCTTCTGCTGCTGCTACTACTGCTACTGCTACTGCTACTACTCTGTCTATAGAGCAGCCATTTTCCTGTACTCTGTTTCTCTAATAAACTTGTCTTTGCTTTGCTTTGTTTGCTCGTTTGTGAAGTCTCTCCTGTGCAAAGCCAATTTTGAAGTTGGGCTGCATCAAAGGGGTCTAGTAAGAAGCTGGCAACTTAGAATATGGCAATTTGGAAACACTGGTGTCTTGGTGATGGTTGTTTGGTTGGCATGATGAAGGCTGGAGTCAGAACATCATCCCCACGGGAGAAAAGTTAATGGATGATGAGGAAGGAGAGATGTTGGACTACTTTGAGAAGCTTGATTATGAAGGAGAGGGACAGAGCAGTGGCTTAAGGACTGCAGGATGTGAGGACAGTTTTGTTTAGGTCTGAGTTTGGAAATAATTGAAGATAGGGCTATATTCAGATGACCCAGAATGGAAGATGGAGGTTCTGACTGCTGACTGCTGGCGTTTGTGTGTGTGTGTGTTCTAAAGTAGAAGATGAAGTCTGGGGGCTTCAAGGATAAATGATTCAGAATTGTTGTTGAGAGACTCAGAAGAGGTATGTGACTGAGATGGAGAAAAAGGATTATAATTGAAAGGCTATGTGAGGCTGGGCGTGGTGGCTCACGCCTGTAATCCCAGCATTTTGGGAGGCCGAGGTGGGCAAATCATGAGGTCAGGAGATCAAGAACATCCTGGCTAACACAGTGAAATCCCATCTCTACTAAAGATACAAAAAAAAAAAAAATAGCCGGTTGTGATGGTGGGCACCTGTAGTCCCAGCTACTTGGAATGCTGAGGCCAGAGAATGATGTGAACCCAGGAGGCGGAGCTTGCAGTGAACCGAGATTGCGCCACTGTACTCCAGCTGGGGCGACAGAGCGAGACTCTGTCTCAAAAATAAATAAATAAATAAATAAATAAATAAATAAAAAGAAAGGCTATGTGGAATTGGAAACAATATCCTCATGGTCATACTCATCTGCATTGCATCTTGGACCATGCAGACAAAAGCCACCCTTGATAAAAGCAATGGGCTTTTCCTTTAGGGGAATTCTTCATTCACGTATGTATTTATCATTCAACAAATATTTATGAATGCTTGCCATGTGCCAGGCACCATTATAGGTCTCCACCAGCAGTGGTCCCCAACCTTTTCGACATCAGGGGCCAGTTTCACAGAAGATAATTTTTCCATGGACTAGATGGGGGGATGGTTTGGGGATGATTCCAGCACATTACATTTATTATGTACTTTATTTCTGTTACTATTACGTTGTAATATATAATTAAATAATTATACAACTCACCATAATGTAGAATCAGGGGGAGCCCTGAGCTTGGTTTCCTGCAACTAGATGGTCCCATCTGGGGGTGATGGGAGACACTGACAGATTATCTGGAGTTAGATTCTCATAAGGAACATGCAACCTAGATCCCTCGCACACACGCAGTTCACAATAGGGTTCGTGCTCCTATGAGAATCTAATGCCACCGCTGATCTGACAGGAGGTGGAGTTCAGGCAGTAATGCAAGTGAGGGGGAGCAGCCGTAAATACAGATGAAGGTTTGCTCTTTGCCAGCTCCTCACCTTCTGCTCTGCGGCCTGTTCCTAACAGGCCGTGGACTGGTACTGGTCTGTGGCCCAGGGGCTGGGGACCCCTGGTCTCTAGGACGCAGTGATGAATAAGACAGACAATGTCCCTGCCCTCAAGGGCTTGAAAAGAATCCTATTTTAGTTACAATAGTTTCACCCTTAGGAAGTGATATTTGAGCCTTTTTCTGAAGGTTGTGAAAGACCCAGCCAGTAAGGATCTGGTGGAAGGGCATTCTAAGAGTTAGGGGAATAGAGGATTTCTTGAAGTTGAAGAACATAGGTCCATATAAAACATTGTTTCCTACTTCATAAGGTCTTACTATTGTAACATACACGTAAAATAAATTATGTGCTATCTTGAGTTTATCCTAGTAATTCAAGTTTGTCTCCCCAATGAGTGGGGAAGGTATACTTAAGAGCAGGGGTAGTATCCTGTATCTATGTTGTATATAACACTTCCAAGCAATGCTGGTTATAGAGCAGACACTTAAAATACTGTTTTTCATCCTTGATCAGTGTGCAACATGAGTTTTATGAGATACAAATGTAGTAGTTGTAATTTTTTTAGCTTGCTCTTGGGAGCTCTGTGTGGTCTTCAACTAAGAAACCATGCTTATGGCACAAAGGCCAGTTGTCATGTAAGATCCCTTTCTTGTAGGGCAATAGTCACAGATTTTTATCTGTACACAAGATTATCTAGGAAAAAAACAAAATTTCCCAGTCTTTTTTATAGCTACATGTGGCTAGATGACTAGGTTTTGAACAATGGAATATGAAGAGAATGGTGTATGCAACTTCTAAGAAGTGATATTGAAGAAAAAGGACACTCCTTTTCTTCTTCCTCCTCCGTTTGTTTACTTGGACCAGTTCCTTAGGGGTGGATGTGTTGGTTGAATTGCCATCTTGGACTATGCAGACAAAAGCCACCCTTGTGAGCAAAGTGGAAAGTGAGAACAGCCTGGGTTGCAGATGACCAAGGAACTGTCATAGCAACCTTGAATTGCTTGCACCTTGACTTTTACATAAAAAAGAAATAAACTTATATTTTGTTAAAGCCATGTTTATAAAACAGGCTATTTATTTATTTATTTAATTTTTGAGACAGAATCTCACTCTGTTGCCCAGGCTGGAGTGCAGTGGCTGGAACACAGCTCACTAGAGCCTCAACCTCCTGGGCTCAAGTGATCCTCCTTCCTCAGCCTCCTGAATAGCTGGGAATACAGGCGTGCACCACCACACTCAGCTAGTTTTTTAAATTTTTTAGTTTTATAGGGATGGGCTGGTTTTGAACTCCTGGGCTCATGGATGCTTCCACCTTGGCCTCCCAAAGTGCTGGGATTATAGCCATGAGCCACCACACTTGGCTGGCAAATTATTCTTCTAACTATCCTATCCTATCCTGTGCTATGCTATGTATTCTACCCTAGGTTTAAATACAAAGCTAGCAACCATGCAGCAGACATTGTTTTATGAGCCCATCGATTATGTGATATAATATTTGTCATAATATTTTAGGAATAAATTGGTTCTGAATGATCAAGTGAATCTCAACTACATGTAAATCCCAACACAATGACTGTCATTGTTTAAAACAAAGCTATTTGCATGTGCCAATGGATGGATGACCATAATAAGTCACTTTTGTATGCATTCATATGGCTATGGCACATCTGGGCCCATTTTCCTTATCATTGATATCTTGTCCATGTAAACATACGAAAATTCATACGATGATTAACCTTTCTTGTGGGAATGAGTCCATCAAAAGCATGAATTTTGCTTTATTTTCATATTAACAAGCATCAAGAAAGGATAAGATTTTTTGTTTTTATTTTTTAATTGTTTTTGAGACAAAATGTCTTGCTTTGTCACCCACTGGAGTACAGTGGCACCATCATGGCTTACTTCAGCCTTGACATCCGGGGCTCAAGGAATGAGATTTTTAATCCTTTTTTTTTTAAAGCAATATTCACTGACTGTAGGTATTTCAGACCAGATTTCTGGGCCTCCCCAGATTTGCTTGGCTTGAGTGCCTCCTGGGCCTCCTCTGCTTGCTTGGTATGGAACTTGGTCACCACCATTGTCACTACCATTGTCTTTTAAAACTACCAAGGCTTCTAAAGCTTACTCAATTCTCACTCGGCCTGCCCTACATCTGGTCCAACAGGAGGCACGGCAGCTCCAGCACCCAGACCTGACCCTACTGCACCCACGTAGGCTGTAGCTTCTCCATCACTTGTGGATCCAGATGGATCACACATATTGGGGTATGGAATTTGTCTTCTCCAGCAGATGGCAATGAAGCCGGGTAGTGCATTTGAGGAGTGTATTGGCTGCATAGGGCCAGATTCAGACAATGAGAGACAGGGAACAGCTGGGAGCTCCATAGTAGCCTGCCTGGAAGATGTCCCCTAGGACTAAACAACTGACTGTGTTTTCTTTTCCTTTATTTTTTTTATTTTTTTTATTTTGTGAGATGAGGTCTTGCTATGTTGTCCAGGTCTCCAACTCCTGGGCTCAAGCAATGCTCCTGCCTTGGCCTCCCAAAGTGCTGTGATTACAGGGACAAGCCACTGTGCATGGCCAACTGTGTTTTCTTATGAAGTTGTGGTCAACTTACCATGTTTTACCCGCTTTTCTTTCTTCTATGCTTCAATTCCCCTTTTCCCTCAGTCTGTTTTTTTTTTTTTTGATATGGAGTCTCGCTCTGTTGCCCAGGCTAGAGTGCGGTGGTGCGATCTCCGCTCACTGCAACTTCTGCCTTCCAGGTTCAAGCAATTCTCCTGCCTCAGCCTCCTGAGTAGCTGGGATTACAGGCGTGTGCCACCATGCCTGGCTAATTTTTGTGCTTTTAGTAGAGACGCGGTTTCACCATGTTGGTCAGGCTGGTCTTGAACTCCTGACCTCGTGATCAGCACCCCCCCAGCCTCCCAAAGTGCTGGGATTACAGGCGTGAGCCACCATGTCCAGTCTCCCTCACTCTTAAAACTCTGGCATTACACCTTCTAATAAAGACTTAGGTCATAACTTTTGCCTTGGTACCATCTTTTGAGGACACCAGTGTACCAGAAATGTAATGAAGATGGTAATGGTAGTATCGTCATCAAGATTTCAGTCCACCTTTTCCAGTGAGAATAGGGAATAGGAAGAGAAGCAAAGAAGTATAGAGAGGGCACTGCTAGCCCACATAAACTATTGTACAAATTTAAAAAGCTGACTTCTCTGGATCTATGCAACTCACAGGCACGGCTTATTGCATAGAATTTGTACTGGATTTGAGCTCTCAGGTATCCCCTCAGCTGCATGTCCTTATGCAATGAACATCCTATACAAACATAGTCTTGAGCATAGTAGAAGTATTATGCAACTTATGAAGGAGGAAATTCAGAAAGCTCAGTTTTGTAAAGCACTTCTAACAGCGCATGTTGATGTGGTTATATCCAGTTCTAAGCAAGAGATAAATTTTACACTTATTGTTTACAGTCTCTGTTTATATGACAGCTTATCTTTTTTTAGGAAACAGCTTAAATGGGTCTTTTCCTTAGTAGGCTGGTAGAAGAGAGATGAGTTGAGCTGGGTTATAACTAGTCAATTCAATCCATGTTGAAACTGGTGTTTAAAATGTTCCAGGCATTATACTACATGGGGAGCAACAATAAGGAATCAGCACGAGTTTGCATACATTTTTAGCATCACTGAATAACGCAGGGTAAAGAGCAGAGAAAATGGATGATTGTGCTTATTCAGGACTGAGAATGCCTTTCCCTTTTTTCATTAGCTACTCACATTTTTACCTACCACTCAAACCTGGTTCAGGTTCTACATCACTCAGGACTTCAATCTTCTCCTAATACTCAACTCCCACCCCCGCCCCCCACCCATGGAGGCAGTTAGATTTTCTGCTTCACCATTTTCGATACATCAAAATCCCAAAGAAATGGAAGCACAACAGCTATTCTCTTCGATTTATCTGCTGAGTACAAACCTCCCTTTCAAAACATTGGAATACTCATAGCCCTCAAGATGGCAGGCGGAACTTTGGATACTTGGTGGAATGATGGGGCATGGGAGAGGGAAGCAGAGAAAGGAAAAGCCAGCACCTGTACTTAGGTGGGGCCGAAAAGAAAAGCTTGCAGACCCCCTCACTACACATTCTATAACAGAAAGACCTTTTCAGGCTCCCTTAGTTCAACAAACATTTCTTTGTTGCTTACCATATGCCAGACCATGTGTTACCACAAAGGTGAATAAAAGTTTCTGCCCTTCATGAACTTACGATCTAGCGGGAAAGATGAAAACATGAACAGACAATTTCAACATAATAAAGTGACTGCTGTGAGAAATGCATGAAGAGTGTGCAAAGGACAGTGGTGGCTCGTCCTGCCTTCAGGGTGATGGAAGGCTTCCTAGAAAAGACCCAGGAGTGAGTCTGTCACTCAGGGACTACTTATCACCTGACTCTCTGTATGACCTATCTCTCTAGCCTTATCCCTTGTCTGTCTCCACCTAACCCTCCTCGATTTCCTCTGCAATGATTCAAACTCCACTTTCCCTAATTTTCAAACACTTTATGTTTGCACAAGCTACACTTTCAATCTGGATGCTCTTCTCCCACTTCCCAATTCTGGAAAACCTCTATTTATCCCTTACTACTCACCTCCAAAGTAATTTCTCTGACGCTTTCCCTGAAACTTCTAGGCAGAATTGCCTCCTTCCTCCTTCCTGTTCCTAACCTACCATTGTACTTCTAAGCCCAAACTGAGCTCTCTAGCCTACCATTGTACTCCTGTGTTTACCACCGTGTGCTTCTAAGATAATATTCACCACATTTTTTTCTGCATGTTTGTTTTCCTGCATTAGACTGTGAGCTTTTAGGGCAGAAGTCATTCATCTTTGTTTCCCCAGGGACTAGCATTGCAAACGGTCCTTAGCTCTGTAACTTGGTATTTGAGGGATGAATGATTATATATAATATACTATGGAAACATTGATGATGCAGTCACTCACTGTGCTGTTCGCGCTGAATGAAACATTTGAAGCATCGTGTTAACATAGTAAATAGGCATAGGTGACATATGAGAGAGGCTGAAGCAGACCTCTTTGACTGTGGTATTCAGGCTTCCTTGCTGGCTTTCTTTGCTGGGGGTTTCTTTTTGAGGACATCTATTTTTTTTTTTTTTTTTTTTCCTGAGACGGAGTTTCGCTCTTGTTGTCCAGGCTGGAGTGCAATGGTGCGATCCTGGCTCACCGCAATCTCCACCTCCTAGGTTCAAGCGATTCTCCTCCTCAGCCTCCCCAGTAGCTGGGATTACAGGCATGTGCCACCATGCGCAGCTAATTTTTTGTATTTTTAGTAGAGACGGGGTTCTCCATGTTGGTCAGGCTGGTCTTGAACTCCTGACCTCAGGTGATCTGCCCGCCTTGGCTTTCCAAAGTGCTGGGATTACAGGCGTGAGCCACCGCGCCTGGCCTGATGACAGTCTATCTATAGGCGGCATCAGCAAGAGATCAGAGTCAGGGGAAGGATGAGGGTATTTATTCTCCTGGCTCTCTCTCTGCTGGTCTGTTGGTAGGCAGCGGCTGCATGAGGCCACATCCTAAGGCCACAGCCTCTGTTGATGAACTTTCCTCCACCACAGCTCTTTCCAGTTTCCCATAACCACTCCCTGTGCCCCTCTGGTCTCAGGTGGTTTTGTCCCTTCACTGATGCCAGCCCAGTGGTGCCATAATGTTCCTTGTTAGTTTCCCTTAATTCTTTGTTAACAACCTTTGTAAACTTCTTCTTCATTAACATGCATACAGATCTATTTTTAATTGGTAGTGGAGAATCACAGTGATAGAATCAAATCATAGTTTTGATTTGCTCACTTAACATGACATCACAAACATTTCTCAAGATTTCCACGAAGTCTGCACAATGACCATTTCATGGCAACACAATATTCCACCTTATTATGTACAATAGTTTCCTAATATATTTTTCCTTCCCTTTCCTTCCCCTTTACTTACTTTTTCTTTTCACTTTCTTTCTTTGTTTACCATTACAGATGACAAAATAAACATTCTCAAGGTGCAGATTTTTACTGCATGTATCTTCTCTTTTTTTTTTTTTTTGTTAAATATCCTGAAGTCTTTTGTGTTTTAGCCACATTTCTACCTTTTCTTCTGAATTTTTCTATAGGCAAATAGTTAAACTCATTCTACTTGAAATGTATTTACACTCACTTGTCAACAGACATTTGTTTAAACTATACTCTCCACTTGAAATACTGTCTTCTCCCAGTTTTTCAAATGCAAACCTCCCTGGCTATCCAAATTAGAAATGTTATTCTGTCTTTTGAGTTTTCTTTTGAACTGACCTATTCAAATAGTTTATTTGGTAATAAGTGATTTTTATTGTTATTTTGAAATGTAAATTAAGTCTTTTAGGTTATTTAACTTTAAACATATTATTATATTTTCTCTTCCAACTAGACTATTAATTTCTTGACAATAGGAACTATTTTCTTATATCACTTTATGTCTCTTATAGAGACTTTCATGTAGTAATTGTTTCATAAACATGTGTTAATTTGGAAAATGTTGGAGTACCATAAATAAAAGATTGGCTTTCCAAAGCCTATATAGGTTTAAGAGCGTTTACACTGAGTTCTCTGTTCATTTCTGTGACTACAAGCCATGGCTTCATTATATGATGCTTAGATTTCCAATGTTGTGTGAGAGTGTTATTGCTCTTATGTGACATTAGGAGGGGAAATGTCTTAAAAGTGTGTTTACATCTCTCTAAGTCAAAGTGGAGCCCGTGCATGAGAAAGAAACAACTCCACAATGTAGATTTAAAAGGAAGAGCAGTGGTGGGAAAAATCAGCTTCTGATGGCTAATAATAGAGATTCTAAGTTATTCTATAACATTTGCCCTGTTTTATTTTCATTATAGCGTGCTATCACCTCCAGATATGTTTAACATTTATTTTGTTATTTGCAATAATGATAAAACCTTCCTTACTACAACTAAGATATATGCTACATCAGAGTAAGGGCTTTTTCTGTCTTGTATTCTGTATTGTATTCTCAGTTCTAGAATAGGCATGGAGTAGGCACTCGATAAATATTTGTTGAGTAAATTAATGAGTAAATGAACATCTATTCACACAGTCGTGCATTGCTCAGCACCAGGGATATGTTTTGCAAAATGCATCATTAGACAATTTTGTTATTGTGCAAACATCATAAAGTATACATACACAAACCTTGATGGTGTAGCCTACTACACACCTTCCTTACTGCAACTAAGACATATGCTACATGAGAGTGAGGCCTACATCTAGGCTCTGTGGTATAGCCCATTGCTCCTAGGCTATAAACCTGTACAGTATCATACTGTGCTGAATACTGTAGGCAACTGTAACACAATGGTAAGTATTTATGTATCTAAACATAGAAAAAACACAGTGAAAATACAGTATAAAAGATTTTAAATGGTACACACCTGCATAGGCCACTTACCATGAATGGAGCTTGCAGGGCTGGAAGGTTCCCTGGCTGAGACAGTGAGTGAGTGGGAGTGAATGTGAAGCCTGAGAACATGACTGTACCTACTCTAGATTTTATAAACACTGTACACATAGGCTACACTAAAATTTATTTAAAAAATTTCTTTCTTTGATAATAAATTGACCTCAGCTTACTGTAACTTTTTTACGTTATAAACTTAAATGTTTTTAACTTTTTGACTCTTATAATAACACTTAAAACACAAACATCCTAGCACTCACCGTACAAAAATATTTCTTTGTATCCTTATTCTGTAAGTGTTTTTCTATTTTTAGATTTTTAGAAGTTTTTTTTTTTATTCTATTAACATTTTTGTTAAAAACTAAGACACAAACACACACTTAAGCCTAGGCCAACATAAGGTCAGGATCATCAATATCACTGTCTTCCACTTCCATATCCTGTCCCACTGGAAAGCCTTCAGGGGCAATAACACGCATGGAGCTGTCATCTCCTATGACAACAATGCCTTCTTCTGGAATCCCTCCTGAAGGACCTGCCTGAGGCTGTCTTATAGTTGAATTTTCTTTTTTTAAGTAGAAGGATTACTCTAAAATAACAATAAAAAGTATAGTACACAATAAACAATAAACAATAAAAAGTATAGTATTTATGTAGTAAATGCATAATCTGGTATCATAGTCATTTATTATCATTATCAAATATTATGTACATACATAATTGCACATGCTGTACTTTTACACAACTAGTAATGCAGTAGGTTTGTTTACATCAGCATCACCACAAACATGTTAGTGTGTTGCACTATGACATTATGACGACTAAGACATCACTGAGTCTTGAATTTTTCAGCTCCATCATAATCTTACGAAACTATACTGTGGTCCGTCATGGACTGAAATGTCGTTACATGATGTATGACTCTGTATTTTGCAATTTTCCAGATAGTGCTATAAGTGCTTTGTTTTCCTTACCTCATTTGAGCTTCAGTACATCCTACTCAATAGGTACTATACCTTTTTAGTAAGGAGACCGAGTCTTAGAGAAATTAAAGGACCTCCAAGGTCACATATCTAGTAACTGGGGAAGGAAAGTAAGAATTAAATCCAAGCAGTCTGACTTTGAGCCCACAGCCTTAGCCACAGTATTAAATTTGTCGGTGCAATATTGTGAAATAACAGCAATTTGGCCAGGCACGGTGGCTCACGCCTGTAATCCCAGCACTTTGGGAAGCCAAAGTGGGCAGGTCACCTGAGGTCAGGAGTTCGAGACCAGCCTGGCCAACATGGCAAAACCACGTCTCTACTAAAAATACGAAAATTAGCTGGGCGTGGTGGTGGGTGCCTGTAATTCCAGCTACTCCGGAGGCTGAGGCAGGAGAATTGCTTGAACCCGGGAGGTGGAGGTTGCAGTGAGCTGAGGTTGTGCCATTGCACTCTAACCTGGGTGACAAGAGCGAAACTCTGTCTCCAAAAAAAAAAAAAAAAAAAAAAGAGAGAGAGAAAAGAAAAGAAAAAGAGAAAAAGGAAAGAAAAGAAATAACAGCAATTAGCATTTGCTATGTGCTTCTAAAATGTATAAGCTATTTTCACATCTGTTTTCTCTTTTAATAACATTCAGTGACCTGAGCTAATGTTATAATTATCCCTACTTTACAGATGGGAAAACTGAGAGATGAAGTTATTTGTCAAAAGTCACAGTGCCATTAAGTGGCAGACTTGGAAATTAAACTCAAATCTTCTCAGTCCTCCTGGCATTTACCATGCAACAGTTTAAAATGGCCAGAGACCCACATTTATGGTTTTAGACATATGAAAAGAAATTCTATTTCAGAAGTCTCTAATAAAACAACTGCATTTAGTAGTTACTAATAAAGAATTCTGTTTTAATATTCACTAATTGTATTTTAGTAGTTACTAAGTCATTACTAATAAAAAATTACACGAGCTCTATTTTTTAATTAATTAATTAATTAATTTGTTTTTGAGACAGGTTCTCACTCTGTCACCCAGGTTGGAGTGCAGTGACATGATCACGGATCACTGCAACCTTGACCTGCCAGTCTCAAGTCATCCTACCACCTCAGTCTCCCCAGTTTCTGGGACCACAGGCACCCCACACCACCACACCAGGCTAATTTTTAAAATTTCTTTTTGTAGAAATAGGGTCTCACTGTTTTGCCCAGGCTGATCTTGAACTCCTGGCCTCAAAGGATCTGCCCACTTCAGCCTCCCAAGGTGCTGGGATTACATGTGTGAGCCACCATGCCTGGCCCATGAGTTCAAAATTTGGGGGGACAGTCCCCAAGCATCTTTGACTTTGGAAGGATATGACATTAACAACATTTTCACTGGTAACTTTCACAAAGACTGCACAATCATTGGTTCAGGAGGCTCTACGATATGCATTTGTTTTATATGTTGAAAGACATTTACTTATGATTGGTACAATAACTTATCTCCTCCTCTCCTCTTAGATACTTAGTCCTACAACAGGTGATGGCAGATGTCTCCAAAGTGTTTTTTCTTTTGACAAATTAAGATATATTGTAAACATGATTCTGACAAGTAAGATTCACGGCATGAATGTAAAAAAAACAGTCTGGGTGAAGTGGCTCACACCTGTAATCTCAGAACTTTGGGAGGCTGAGGTGCACTGATTGCTTGAGCCCAGGAGTTCAACACCAGCCTGGGCAACATGTCAAGACCCCATCTCTAAAAAGAATATAAAAATTAGCCAGATGTAGCAGTGTTTTCCTGTAGTCCTGGCTACTCGGGAGGCTGAGGTGGGAGGATCACCTGAGACCAGGGAGATCTAGGCTGCAGTGAGCCGAGATCGCACCACTGCATTCCAGCCTGGGCAACAGAGCGAGACACTGTCTCTGAAAAAAAAAGGGGGGGAAAGAAAAGAAAAAAGAAAACAGAGGAGTAGCAGTAAAAGTTACGGAGGCTGAAAAGATCTCGAGGCTGCACAGGAATGGCAGGAGACACAATCCAGAGCAGTGGTTCCCAACCTTTTTGGCACCAGGGACTGGTTTGGTAGAAGACAATTTTTCCATATATGGGGGTGGGTTGGGGGCAATGGTTTTGGGATGAAACTGTTCCACCTCAGATCATCAGGCTTTAGATTCTTATAAGGAGTACACTACCTAGATTCCGGGCATGCGCAGTTCACAATAGGGTTACGCTCCTGTGAGAATCTAATGCCACTGATCTGACAGGAGGCGGAGCTAAGGCCGTAAGGCTCACTCACCTGCCACTCACCTTCCACTCACCTCCTGTGCAGCCCAGTTCCTAACAGGCCATGGTCCGTGGCCGGGGGTTTGGGGACCCCTGATCTAGAGGTTGCACTGAGGAATGGCAGGAGATAGGATGGAGAGAAATCTGAATCAATGTGCTGGAGAATGGCTGATGGTAGTGACAACAGGAAAAGGGGTGTCAATCAAGGAGGGCACAGACTTTACTAGTATGAGTTGTGGGATAAAGGTGAGGAGGGTTTGATAAGGAGTAAGTAGATTAAAGAATATGTCAACCTTCTCTTCAGGGTAATGGATGAAGAGGTATTCTCCACTTGTGGAAGGCGAGAAGGGAAGATTGTCACTGTATGTCAGGGTAAGATGGTAGAGTAACTGTTCATGATATGAAGAATAATTAGCCTTATAATAGGAGATCCAAAAGGCAGCAAAAAATGACTTGGAAATCTTTAGGAATCAGAAACTGAATATAATTTAATATAGAAATATTATCATTAAATAGAAAGGTATTATACTTTGACATAATAAGGAAGTATTCCTATTGTCTATTCAAAAGTCTTACTTTTCATGAAGCTTTTAAAGTTTATAAGCATGTTACTGGCCAATTTGATGTTCAGATTAATCCAAGACTCACCTTAGCACATGCTGATCTGCCCACCTGCTTCTTCAACATGCACAGATTTCTCTCTTTTATGAACATGTGTGGCATTTACTTTCCATACTACTCACTTGGAATTTGTCATAATGAGCTTCTCCATGATAGTTTCAGTTTTTACACACACACACCTGTAATCTCGCCAGCTAGGTGTGTATGTTTATTCGAAGTAACCTGTGTTCGAGAGTACCTGCCACAGGCTTTTTCCTAGAGCTGCAATGCCTAGTTTGGGGCTGACATATTTGCTTACTCAGCTACTAATTGCTGAGTGATTATTTAGGCTTTATTTGGGCTGTTTTCTTCTTCACAGCCAGCAAAAGTTGCAGTGAAAACCACATGGTACAATTTATGGGAATTCATGAGTTGTAATTCATTCACAATTTTACTTCTAGATGAAAGGCAATGAGTATCCCTTTAAGTGAGAAATTTGACAAAAACTGGATTTTTAAGGAAGCATCACCTCCCCCAAAGGGTAGGCTTCCTTTCTGAGATCTCCTAGCTGCCAAGGTTGCTAAGGCAAACCTTTGCATATACAAATTTGGGTCAATGTGTTGACAGGATGTCAGATTTGTGTAGCTAAGGGAGCTTCAGCATGAATATTGAGCTGTATGCCACTCCATTGATGCCCAAATGAACCTGTAGGTGCCTATTTGTGCCTGAGGCTATTGGGGTGGAAAATAGAAGCCCTTCTTGTGAAAACCTAACCAAGGTCCACAACCCAGCCTTGACCAGCAGCAATTGGTTTTCAGCAACAACTGAAAAGTAAATTCAAAGAGATCTGAATGATGGAGCACTGGTTTCTTTTCATCATACAGCCTGTAATTTCATGTTGCAATTATTTTTCCTCATAGGCTTACCTGTGCGTATATTAGAAGTCTTCCCGGTGCCAGGAATCAACAAAGAGTTGAGTAACGAAGAACTAATTTAATCAGCTAATTTGGAGAAACTAAGTCTTACAACTATTATTTAGTTCATCAAAACAAATAAATCTCAATGAGAACAATGAAATATGTGATAATTCTTTTTTTTACCAGAAAAGTACTGCTTGAAATTATATTTTAGGGCTATGAAAATTTTACTTGAGATTGAACACAGTAAACTTCAGATGACTTTTATATTATTTAAGAAATAGAAGTGTGAATTAAATAGTATTCACCATAAGCACTTGTTTTAACTTCTTAATGTTCTGTTACGTAACATTTTGTTATCTGGGATTTCACTAATTAGTGTTTCTACATATGTATACTACAATGATAATTGATGTTATAATTGATCAGTCACAATGATTTTGAGTTATTGAGTGACCTTTTTAATTATCAAAGATTTAGTTGTACACAAACCTAGTTTTACTTGATATTTGTTTTTAATTATTATTTTATAAGAATTGGCAATCTATTAGAAAACCATTAGCTAGATTATTTGAATAATATCCATATCCTCCAATCATGTAAGATAATATAATTTATTTTCTTTGCTCCAGTAGACACCTGGGGTATTTGAAACCTTGAGCAGATCATTTTTTCACACTTCCCTCGTCTTATACAACAAAATTATCTTCTGTAAAATTTATAAAATGAAACCAATAATAATAATGTCTAAAAAAGAAATGTAAACTATGAAAATTTTATTTTACTGAAGTTTAAATTTATAATTGTTCAGGTAAAGGAAAAATAAAGAATTCTAAATAAATAGAGATTATAGTACAAAAAATGGAAATAATGAATTAATAGTCTGAGTATATTAATGCATTTTTTTGAGAAAAGGGAAAAATATTGTGTCTACATATCAGTCTGTTGCAGTAATAAATAATATTATAATTTCTGCTTTTCACCTTGAGCTATAATTTCTGCAAATTTGTCAGTGACTTTGTCAAAATTGATCTTTACACATTTATATTCAATAGATAATATAGTCAGACTTATCCTTTCCCTTTGTTGATTAAAGAACACTTTTGGCCGGGTACAGTGGCTCACGCCTGTAATCCTAGCACTTTGGGAGGCTGAGTCAGGAGGATCACTTGAGCCTAGAAGTTTAAGACCAGCCTGGGCAACACAGAAAGTCCCTGTCTCAAAAAAATTAAAAAAAAAATTAAAATCTTAAGAATATTTTTAATTAACTTTAGTTTTGAAATGTTTCTTTTATATGAAGCAAAATATAACCATAGGAAAAGTTTTAAACAATTTTGGCAGAAATTCATAAAAATCCCATTTTACAATAAATCCCATGTCTTTGTTCCTTCAGAATCAATTCTAATGGCTCTTAAATATTTCTGCAGTAGAAAAAAATTAACTATAAATAAAAATTCCAACACTCAGGATGACAGGACTGAAGTACCTTGAACTCTATTTCTTTGTCTTTATAATTGTTATGGTTTGAATGTTTTCCCCAAATTTCATGTGTTGAGAAATTAATCCCCAAAGTAACATGTTGATGGTATTTGAAGGTGGGATCTTTGAGAGTTAGTTAGGGTTAGATAAAGTTATGGAGGTTGGGACCCCCTGATAGTACGGTGACTTTATAAGAAGAGAAAGAGAGCTGAGCTGGCCTGCTGTTGCCCTCTTGACATATGATATCCTCTGTACATGCAGCAAACAGGACCTCACAGATGCCAGCAACTTGACTTTGGACTTCCCAGTCTCCAGAACTCTAAGAAATAAATTTATTTATTTTTATAAGTCACCCAGTCTGTGGTATGCTGTTATAGCAACAGAAAATGAACTAAGACAGAATATTGGTACCAGAAGTGGGGTTGTTACTATAACAAATATCTGAATTGTGGAAGCAGCTTTGGAATTGGGTAATGACCAGAGGCTGGAAGAATCTGGAGGAGCAGCCTAAAAATAAGCCTGTATTGCCATGAACGGAGCATTAAGGGTGATTCTGCTGATGGCTTGGAAGAATAGAAGACTAGGGAAAGTCTGGCACTTCTTAGAGATTACTTGAGTGGTCATGGCCAGAATGTTGATAGATAGTAAAGGTCTCAGATGGAACTAAAGAACAAGGTATTGGAAACTGAAGCAAAGACTATTATAAAGTAGCAAAGAACTTGGCTGAAGTATGTCTATGCTTTATGGAAGGCAGAATTTAAGAGTGACAAATTAGAATATTTAGCAGAAAAACTATCTAAACAGCAAAGCATTCCAGTTGCTGCATAGCTACTTTTAACTGCTTATAGTAAAATAGGAGAGAATACATACATATATATATACACACATATATATATACACATATATATACACACATATATATACATATATATACACACACATATATATATACACACATACACACACACACACACACACACACACACACACATATATATATATATATATATATTTTTTTTTTTTTTGAGATGGAGTCTCGCTCTGTTGCCCAGGCTGGAGTGCAGTGGTGCTATCTTGGCTCACTGCAACCTCTGCCTCCCGGGTTCAAGCAATTCTGTCAGCCTCCTGAGTAGCTGGGATTACAGGCGTGCACCACCACGTCTGGCTAATATTTGTATTTTTAGTAGAGACGGGGTTTTGCCATGTTGATCAGCCTGGTCTCAAACTCCTGACCTCAAGTAATCTACCTGCCTTGGCCTCCCAAAGTGCTGAGATTACAGGAGTGAGCCACCATGCCCCACTGAGAAAAGAGATTATTTAAAGACAGAACTTACAATTAAAAGGAAAGCAGAGTGGAAAGATTTGGAAAATCTGCAGCCTAGCCAAGTAGTAGAGAATGAGAGTATTTTCAGCAGAGAAATACTACAGAGTGACCAAGTGACTGCTTGAGAAGATGAGTATGGGTAGAATGGAACCAGAGGCTATTCATTAGGATAATGGGAGAAGAACCTGAAAGTATCTCAGAGATCTTTCAGGCTGCCCCTCCCATCACAGTCCTAGAGCTGTGGGAGGACAAAATGGTTTCAGGGGACAAGTCATTGCCCAGCGTCACCTCCAGTCTCTGCTACCTGCATTCCCATGCAGTGTTTCTCAGCCACCTCAGCTGTGGCTCAAATGGTTCCAAGTGTGACTGCACCAGCCACTCCTGAAGGTATAGTCGTAAATCTTGATGGTATCCACCTGGTGCTAATTCTGTAGGTGCACAGAATGCAAGAGCTGTGGAGGCATGGCTTCCTCCACTTGGATTTTAAAGGATGTCATAAATAGCCTGGGGAAACAGGCAGAGACTTGCCACAGGAGCGGAGACACCACAGAATGCCCCCACTACAGCAATGCCTAGTGGAGCTGCTGGGGCAGGATCACCCCTAAAACCCCAGACTACAACTACCAGTGTGCAATGCCAGGCTGGGAGGATTCCATGAGACTTCAACATGTGAAAAGAGCTGCTTGAGCGGAGTCCAGCAAAGCCATAGGGATGGTGCTGCCGAAGATTTGAAAGTCTAAACCTGCAGTGTTTCTAGGAGGTGGCATATGGAGTCAAAGCTTTAAGGTTTAAAGTTGTTTTCCCTTTTGAGTTTCAGAATTACTTGAGACCAGTTACTGCTTATTTTCTTTCCTCTTTCTCTCTTTTGGAATGGGAATGTCTATCCTATGCCTGTCCCACCATTATATTTTGGAAGTAGATAACTTGTTTTGATTCCACAGGCTTATAGCTGGAGGAAATTTGCATGGGATAAATTGTGCCTTGAGTCTCACCCAGATCTGATTAAAATCAGACTCTGGACTTTGGACTTTTGAAGTGGTGCTGGAATGATTAAAGATTTTGGGGATATTGGAATGGAATAAATGTATTCTGCATGCAAGAAAGGCATAAATTTCAGGGGCCAAGGGCTGAATGCTGTGGTTTGAATGTGTTTCTCAAAATTCATGTGTTGGAAACTTAATCCTCAAATTCACATGTTGGTGGTATTTGGAGGTAGGGCCTTTGGAAGGTAATTAGGGTCAGATAAGATCGTCAGCGTAGGGCCCCCATGATGGGACTGGCGGCTTTATAAGAAGAGAAAGAGAGAGCTGAGCTGGCAAGCTCTTACCTCTTGCCATGTGATGCCTTCCGCTATATTATGATACAGCAAAAAGGGCCCTCACCAGATGCCAGCACTTCGTTATTGGACTTCCCAGCCTATAAAACTGTAATAAATAAATTCCTTTTCTTTATAAATTACCCAGTCTATAGTATTGTTATAGCTAACAAAAAACGGACAAATACCACAATCATTGCGCTCCTACTGTTCATTTAAAATCTATTGTTTATATGCAAGAATATATAGTATTACTGAGATGAAAGACAAACTGTTCCCAAAGCAAACTCAATGGCTCTCAATTCTTATAAACTGACTCTCAAAATGAACATGTGTAGCTGAGTCCATATTTATTGGGGACAATGTGCCTGACAGTTTTCTGAACTTTCATGTAGAATGCAGCGTTTAGAAAGCCTAAGAAATAAAAATGTGCAAACTTTTGATTTCACAGGCTCACACCTGGGGGGAATTTGCCAACTACATTATTAAAACTTAATAATGTAATTGAAGTGTACAACTATATTACTAAAACTTAACAGTAACCACAAATATTGTTTAGAACTTAGACAAACTATTTTTGTGGAGAGTATTATTTTATTCCTTACATTGTTTAGAATGATGAGCACCTGGGGATGATACAAAAAAGCAGATCCTTTTTTTTTTTTTTTTTTTTGAGACAGAGTCTCACTGTGTTGCCCAGGCTGGAGTGCAGTGGTGCAATCTGGGCTCACTCCAACCTCTGCCTCCTGGGTTAAGTGATTCTCGTGCCTCAGCACCCCAAGTAGCTGGGACTACAAGCATGAGCCACCACACCCAACTAATTTTTGTATTTTTAGTAGAGATGGGGTTTCGCCATGTTGGCCAGGCTGCCCTTGAACTCCTGGCCTCATGTGATCCGCCAGCCTCGGCCTCCCAAAGTGCTGGGATTACAGGTGTGAGCCACCATACTTGGCAAAAGCAGATTGTTTTTAAAGTTGTTGTAATATTGATTTTCCACTCTCTGAAGACAGTGCCTCATTACTTGTATGGAAGGTTCTGACTGTCACCCAGTGTGTCCGCTCCCTCCACCTTGAGTCCACCACTGCTTTGCTTTATAAAGTTGTATTTCAATATTATACTAGGTATTTTGGAGTGTAGTTTTCCAAAACCTTTTTTTTTACAGTGTATTTTTTTTTCTCTCACGCCTCTTCTTAGTATATCAGAAATCTTTTGTTTAGTATTTCCAACTTATTAATTGTCATTCAGGAAGCTGTATACTGTTTGATGAGAACTAGACCTATAGATAAATACTGATTTGTATTTAGCATGTATTTGTACATTTGTTTAAAAGAATAATGCCTTTTAAAAAGTAAGAATGAAAGAGATTAAACAGAAGACTGTGGAAGCATTCCCAACAATTTTTTTTCATATGTGTTTGCATTTGCCAATCATGGAAACTAACTTATCATATCCTATCTCTCTCATGGAGGCACAAAGTAAGAATCCTTCACAAGAGAGCTCTCTTTTTCTTGTTTCTTCATCCCAGTAAATAAGTATGCATAGATTTTTTTTTATACATTTATCAGGTTTTTTTCTAGCTGGCACCCCAAACAGTGCCCAGGCAGCATGATACTATGCATGAGTCTGTTTTGATTTGACACTATTGTATTCTTTTCCTCTCTATAAAATTAATTCCTGTATAGCGTCTGAATAGGTTTTTAAAAAAATCAATTAGCTTTTACTTGGAAAATCTTTTCCTGTCTTATATAGAATAATTTTTTTTTCATCTGTCAAGGGGGTTATTAATAAATGCCACCAGTGGGGTTAGAACATTCTCTGGTGTTTGCTTTAGGGGAACAAGGGGATTGTCGGAAATCCTAGCCAAACTGAACCATAATTAGAGAGAAAATGTTAGCAATTAGAACTATACGTTAGGCTTTAATTTACTACCACGGAAAAGTCAAGGGTGGCATTTCTATTCCATTTTTAGGTGCAGCCAGATGGATTGCTCATTACAGGGTAATTTCCACCGACCCTCTGCACTTCTCAGGGTAACAAAGCAGCTGACAGTGCTGTGCAGCCCAGTGGCTCAGATTTTATTTTATTTTTTGTGGAGGTGGAGAGTGGGGTAGGAGGTTGAGTAGTTATCAATTTCCTACATAGTCACTGACATTACTGGGAATCTTTTTACATGCTGAATAATTTTAGGCCAAGAAAGCAGTTTGGTAACACAAGTACATCAATATAATTTACTTTTCTACCTTGCCCTACATGTGTTGGTTATACTAGCATATTTTAGCAATCTTCACATTTTAAAGCTCCCCTCTTCAGTGTTTCTAATTTTGGTTTTTCCTAGTAACCAAAATGAGCATTTTAAGTTGCTGTTAAGAAAAGAAACTACACACAGCGTCTCACACCAAAGTAATATAGCTGTAATCTAATTCTAATCTAATTCCAGTAAAGCTTTGAAGGCCACGAGGTGATATATTTTTGACGATGCGGGATACACTTTATAATTTTTTCTTTTTATCTCACAATCAAATGCCATTTCTTTGTTACATGTCCTATCCAATTTTTTTTTTAATAAAATGAATTTGGTGCCAACATTGTAATGTAAGTGTATTTACTTCAGGGTTGCAACATTTTCATGGGGGAAATAAATCTACTTACTTTATATTATCATGAGTCAGAATCAGTCACAGTTTCCTTTGATTATGAAAATATAGTTGGAAGTTCCTTTATTATATTTTATTTTTTTATTGAGATAAAATACAGAGAACGTAAAATTTACCATTTTAACTGTTTTTAGGTATACAATTCAGTGGTGTTAGTACAGTCACATTGCTGTGCAAACAGCATCACCATCCATCTTCAGAACTTTTTCATCTTCCCCAACTGAAATGTTGTATCCATTAAACAATAACTCCCCATTCTCCCCGTCTCCTTAGGGAAGTACCAGGTAAAACAGGACTCATACAATATGTGGCCTTTTGTGCCTGGTTTATTTCACTTGCATAGTGTCATCAGGGTTTATCTATGTTTTCAGTATTGCCTTCCCTTTTAAGGCTGAATAATATTCCTTTATATATGTATCATAAAGGGAAAGTACCTTTATTTATTTATTTATTTTTGAGACACAGTTTCGCTCTTGTTGTCCAGGCTGGAGTGCAATGGCGCAATCTCGGCTCACTACAACCTCTGCCTCCTGGGTTCAAGCGATTCTCTTGTCTCAGCCTCCGGAGTAGCTGGGATTACAAGCATACGCCACTATGCCTGGCTCATTTTGTATTTTTAGTAGAGATGGGGCTTTCACAATGTTGGCCAGGCTGGTCTCGAACTCCTGACCTCAGGTGATCCACCTGCCTCTGCCTCCCAAAGTGCTGGGATTACAGGCATGAGCCACTGTGCCTGGCTGAAAGGTACCTTTATTTTAAGTACTTTACACATATTTCCTAAGGCTGTAGCTCCATACTCAAGTCTTGTTTGTACTCTGCTATCTGTAGCTATTATCTGTTTAACAAAGCCTCGCTGGCCTCACCACGGTTGATGTTGCTAATAAGAAGACTTGGCATGTTTTGCCCCATGACGAGTTTGTCAGAGGCAGTTCAGACAATGAACAAAGGAAAATATCCAATATTTCCATTAAAAATACCAGTTAGAGAGCAACCATGTAAAACTAATTTTTGAGTCATGACATGCAGAGAAAAGTAGTTAATTGTATTTTCAGGTAAATGTTAAGACAACATTACTAAAAACATTTGCATTCATAATTCATTACAGTTATCAATGGTTGAAAAATTCAAACAACTAAGCATCTTAAATTTTCTCTTTAAGGATCAGAAAACCAGAAATATTTTCCCTGCATTCTATATTATATCAGACTTTAGCCAAAATTTTTCGTGCTTCTAATGGAAAAATCATCAACACAAAAATCCCGCACTTTTGTCAATTGAAGATATTACGGTTCCATAACAGTGTGACAAGGTATTTATTCCTCAGAACATCCATATTATGTAAACAAAACATTAGTGAACGCTTGGTTTTTAAATGTTTAGATGCTAAAACTTTTATATTAGACTACTCTGCCTGAAGTTAAAGTTAGCCTTTCATAGGCTAAGTTACTAAAAAAAACTCTTTCCAAGAAAGGAATGAGAAAATTTTATAGAAGAAAATTTAGAATTATGGTTTAACAATCTGTTTAATATTTTTTTTTATTCATTAGAAGGGGCAAACCTGTAACTCTTCTTTTAAAAATAGTTCTATCTCAAAGATATCAAGCCGGGCGCGGTGGCTCACGCCTGTAATCCCAGCACTTTGGGAGGCTGAGGCGGGCGGATCACGAAGTCAGGAGATCGAGACCATCCTGGCTAACATGGTGAAACCCCGTCTGTACTAAAAATACAAAAAAATTAGCTGGGCGTGGTGGTGGGCGCCTGTAGTCCCAGCTACTCGCGAGGCTGAGGCAGGAGAATGGCGTGAACCCGGGAGGCGGAGTTTGCAGTGAGCTGAGATCGCGCCACTGCACTCCAGAGTGGGCGACAGAGCGAGACTCCGTCTCAAAAAAAAAAAAAAAAATCAGCTTTGTGCTCCTACCCTTTCTGACCCTAGTCTTTCTTTTTCGTCACAGACTGTATTCTCTTCCCCGCTTCCTCCCCACAATTTCCTTCTTGCTTTCCACAATCATTTATTAAATGAGAGCTTAGTATGTGGCAGGTGGGACATTTGGAGATTCAGAGATTAATATGACATGTTTACTGCCTTGGAGGAGCCCCCTGTAGGTACAGGTGTGTCTGGTAGGTTTTTAATTGTGTGTCCTCTCTAATCTACTGCAACTAAGTTCATGGAGTACTGAGTTGGTAAGAAAGGGTACCAAGATCTATTAGTGATTTCTACCTACGGCCTGGCCTGTAGACAGAATAGTTGACACACGTGTCGTGTCTTTGCCAACCCTTAGTCCAAGACAGCCACAGCTTTTTCCAACTCCATTTTTTTTTCTATCCGGTCTCTAAAGTTGAGAACTTTAAAGGATGCTTTAACTATCACTCTAGAACACTTCACCTTATATTTCCACCAAGTGCCTACCCAATCAATCCCTAAATCATGTTCACCATTACCAATTAATTTTTCTCTCTCTTTTTTTTCTAGGCTACCAAGTCATGATGGAGAAAAACGTGAAACCACTGATTCAGTTCATTGCAAATTCATTCTACCAAACCTTACCTGGCTCTTGTTGCTGCTTGGTAGTCCTTTTATTAATCTCTTGGAGACTCACTGATTAGTTTCCTCCATTGATCATCTAAAAGCTTTTTTCATATTTTTGAAACTCACTGTTTGATCTCCCCTTCCCCTTGTACTCGGAAGATGATCTTGCTTTCTGCTTTACTGAGAAGTTCAAGGTTATCTGCAATCTCCTTCAACTTTTCACTCCTATCCTATTTTCTATTTTCCTTCATCTCTTGCTTCCTCTGCTCTTTTGTTTTAGGGAAAGAAACAGTCCCTTTATTTCTAGGTTGAACTCAACTTCTGCAGGACTTTTGTCTGTAAATTGTACTTCTTTTTTTTTGAGACAGAGTCTCGCTCTGTCACCCAGGCTGGAGTGCAGTGGCATGATCTCAGGTCACTGCAACCTCTACCTCCCAGGTTAAAGCAATTCTCCTGCCTCAGCTTCCTGAGTAGCTGGGATTACAGGCGCCACTCCCGGCTAAATTTTTGTATTTTTAGTAGAGACGGGGTTTGGCTATGTTGGCCAGGCTGGTCTCAAATTCCTGACTTCAGGTGATGCACCCACCTCCGCCCGCCTCGGCCTCCCAAAGTGCTGGCATTACAGATGTGAGCCACCGTGCCCAGCTAAATTGTACCTTCTGTTCCTTAAAAATCCTAAAATCCCTTGTTGTAGGTTCTTTAATTTTGAGAAAGTAATAAATAAAGCACAGAGATTAATAAGACAAATATGCTTGTTTGCAAAACCCAGAATTGACTGTTAATATTATCATACACTGGCTTATCCTTTTTCTAATAAAAAAGTTTCAGATAAAGTTGAAGTTCCCCTTGACCTACCTTTTCAGTCCTGTTGCCTGCATTCCCTCCCTCAAAGCAACCCTATATAATATCGGCATGTATTCTTTGAGGTCATTAAAGAATACATTTATGTGCCCATATACATAATAATGTGTGTGATTGTTTAGTGGGTAATTTAAGAATTTACATATTTAATATTCACAGTCTATTTTGTGATGTTTCTGTCTTCTATCCATGCTAGTATATGTAGAGCTATTTGTAAGTTCCCTGAGGGCAGGGACTTTGTCTTGCTCATTGCTGAATCTCCAGCACCTAGAATAGCATTTGGCATATAGCAAACATTCAATCTTTCTTCCTTCCTTCCTTCCTTCCTTCCTTCCTTCCTTCTTTCCTTCCTTCCTTTCTTTCTCTCTCTCTTTTTCTTTCTTTCTTTCTTTCTTTTCTTTCTTTCTCTCTCTTTCTCTCTCCCTCTCTCCCTCTCTCCTTTCCTTTCTCTTTCTTTCTTTCTTTATTCTTCCTTTTTTTTTGTTGACAGGATCTCACTCTGTCTCCCAGGCTGGAGTGCATTGGCACCATCACTGCTCACTGCAACCTCCTCCTTCCAGGCTCAAGCAATCCTCCCATTTCAGCCTCCCAAGTGGCTGGGACTACAGGAGTGCACCACCTTGCCTGGATAATTTTTTGTATTTTTTTTTTGGAGAGACAGGGTTTCAGCATGTTGCCCAGACTGGTCTCAAACTCCTTTGCTCAAGTGTTCCTCCTGCCTTGGCCTCCCAAAGTGCTGGGACTATAGATGTGAGCCACTATGCCAGCCAATATATGTATATATTTCTTAAGTGAGTTAATATCATTCATTTTTAACTGCTGTGTAGTAATCAACTGTATGAATATTCCACATATCACATTTTATTTATTCATTCTCCCACCAGTAGACAATGTGTGCTTTCCTAATTTCCATGCTTCTTATTACAAATATTGTTGTGGAACAGCCTTGTACAAGTCTCCTGTGCCTATGTTTGAGTTGTATCAGAGTTGGAATTGCTGCTTGTCACAAATAAACTTTAAACTAGATTTAGCCAAATTGCTTTTCAAAGTTTTCTGGTTTTAAAACATGTTCAAGAATTTCTCTCCATATTTTTTTCCCTTTGAGTGTTCTATACCCTGAAACAATAGTTTTATTCTTTCTATCAGTGTTTTAACTTTTCAAGATGATAATCTATGGCCTTAGGATCTTCATGCCTGATGCTTGAAAGAACTAACCTTTGACTTTTAAGTGATATTAGCCAACCTCCCCTTATAAAGATAATTAATGTATAAATACATATGTGTATCTGAGAAAACTATCACTTTGATCATAAAATTATTTAAACAAAATTTGACTACTATAATGTTGCTTTTATGTAACTAATTGCAAACCATTTTGTTCTATAACTACTTAACTATATATCTTTATAAATAAATTTTAAGATCTTCAAGGGCATAGTTTGTGTCTTACTCAACTTCTTATGTCCATAGCACCTAGAACGTAATAAATGGCACATGTATATGGAAAAATTATAACAATTTATATTTACAATTTCTTTTCACTTCATAATAAAAAGTATTTAATTTTTTTTAAGAAGTAAATTTCAGAAGATCATCTTAAGTGGATGTTCTGTACTTTAGCTGGTGGTCTTCAGTCTGCCACACATGTAACCCTCAGAGGTATGGAAGATGTTTCAAGGAGTACCCAGTCATACAAAGTTTTCAGGGAGCCAGTTTGCAGTTGATCCTCAACTTCCATGTTTACCCTTTCACACATTTACTGATTTTCTTTTTTCTTTTTCTAGCGGTACGATTCCATTCATAGAAAGTACAAAACTACGTAAAACTAATGTATGCTGTTACAAATCAGGATGATGATACCTTTGTAAGAAGTGGTAGTGATGGGAAGGGCTTCTGAGGCGCTGGTAGTGTCTATTTCCTGGCCAAGATGTATTCAACTGTACAAAATTCATCAAGCTGTTTATTTGTTATATGGATGTGCATATTAAACTTTGATAATGAGTTTAAAATGGTTTGCTAGAAATCAGAAATAGAAAACTTTAAGTATTAGATATCTTTGTTTTATAAGCCACGGGGGAAACTGATACTCTTATACATGACTGGTAGGAATTAAAAATGGTGCAGCCTTTATAGAGGGGATTTGGCAAACTGATCAAAATTACAAATTTGTTTACCATTTACCCCTTGACCCAAGAATCCCAACTGCGGAAATGTGTCCTAAAGATATGCCTGCATGTGGAACCAATGTATATTTACGGTGATCCATTGCAGCATTATTTATAATGGCAGAACACTGGGAACAACCATATATTCATCAGCAGCTACTTAAACTCTGGTACATCCACACAGTAGAATATGATGGAACTGTTAAAAAGAAGGAAGAAGTGCTGGGTGTGGTGGCTCATGCCTATAATCCCAGCACTTTGGGAGGCTGAGGCAGGTGGATCACGAGGTCAAGAGATCGAGACCATCCTGGCCAACATGGTGAAACTCCATCTCTACTAAAAATACAAAAATTAGCCAGGCATGGTGGTGGGCACCTGTAGTCCCAGCTACTCCGGAGGCTGAAGCAGGAGAATCACTTGAACCTGGGAGGCGGAGGTTGCAGTGAGCTGAGATCGCACCACTGTACTCCAACAGAGTGAGACTCAGCCTCAAAAAAAAAAAAAAAAAAAAAAAAAGAAGGAAGAAATTCTCTATGTGTTGATGTGGAAAAATCTTTTGGGTATATTGTTAAGATAAAAAAAAATAAGGTATAGAACAATGTATATAAGATGACCTTTTTATGAGAAAATGTGAAAAACAATACTTATTTTTATAAAGATAATAGTAAATATTTATTTTATAAAGATATAATTGTTTTATTTTTATAAAGAAATCCTGGAAGGATAGCAAAAAAAAAAAAATCTAATAATAATGGTTCCTTAAAGAGGTAAGTGTAGGGTGACCAACCATTCTGTTTTGGCTGGGACCATCCCAGTTTGTTTGTTTGTTTGTTTGTTTTGTTTTGTTTTGTTTTGTTTGTTTTGAGACAGGATCTCACTATATTTTCCAGGCTGGAGTGCAGTGAAGCAATTATAGCTCATTGCAGCCTTGAACTCCTAGGCTCCAACAATCCTCTGACCTCAGCCTCCCAAGTAGTTGGGACTACAGGTACCACACCTGGCTTTTGTCCCAGTTTTAACACTAAAAGTCCTGCATCCCTGGCATCAGGACCATTGGTCACCATGGCAAAGGAGAGAGACACAGAGATGGGAGTAACATCTGTCAAGGCGTACCTTTTTGTATCATTTTTATTTTTGAACCAGGTGAATGTATTACTACAGAAAACACTTTCAAGAACATTTTATTACAGAAAATAGCAAACATATCCAAATAGAATAATCTAATGAACCTCCACATACCAATCACTCACCCTCAACAATGATCAGCTAATGGCCAGTCATGGGAGAGGGGACACCCACCTTCACTTATTATTATTATTAGTTTTGAGTCAGGGTCTCACTCTGTTGCCAAGACTGGAGTGCAGTAGGGCGCTCATAGCTCACTGCAGCCGAACTCCTGGACTCAAACGATCCTCCTGCCTCAGCCTCCAAGTAGCTGGGACTATAGGCACCCGCCACCATGCCTGGCTAATTTTAGCCACTTATTATTTGGAAGCAAATCCAATAATACCATTATCACAATTACACATTAACAATACTTTTTAAATATAAAACATATTTAGTCAGTATTAAATTTCAACAGTTTGTTTATGTGAATGAAGATACAAGTAAGGTCCACACATAGGGACCAGGTGTATTAGTCAGGGTTCTCCAGAGAAACAGAATCAATAAGGAATGTGTGTGTGTTTGTGTACAGAGAGAGAATTGACTCATGTAATTATGGGAGCTGGCAAGGTAGGCTGGCAGGATGGAAACCTAGGGAAGACTTGATGTTGCAACTCAAGTGCAAAGGCAATCTGGAAACAGAATTCCCCCTTCTTTGGAGGACCTCAGTCTTTTCTCTTAAGGTCTTCAACTGATTGGAGGAGGCCCACCCAAACATACTTTTACTTTACTCAAAATCTGCTGATTTAAATGTTAATTTCACTTTAATATGTCAATTATACCTCAATAAATTTGGGGAAAAAATAAAGAATAAAAATACCTTCACAGCAATATGTAGACTAGTGTTTGACCAACTATCTGGATATCATGGTCTAGCCAAATTGACACATAAAATTAACCATCACACTAGGTGATGTCTTTTTTTTTTGAGAGCAAGTCTTGCTCCGTCACCAGGCTGGAATACAGTGGTGGGATCTCAGCTCACTGCAACCTCCACCTCCTGGGTTCCAGCAATTGTTCTGCCTCAGCCTCCCAAGTAGCTGGGACTACAGGTGCCTGCCACCACGCCCAGCTAATTTTTGTATTTTTTTAGAGATGGGGGTTTCGCCATGTTGGCCAGGCTGGTCTTGAACTCCTGACCTCAGATGATCTGCCCACCTCGGCCTCCCAAAGTGCTGGGATTACAGGTGTGAGACACCATGCTGGCCTTAAATCTCTTTTAATTATGGATTTCCCCAGCCATCTTCCTGTCTCTCTTTTCTTCTTGTAATTTATCTGTTGAAGAAGCTGAGTCTTTAGCTGTATTTTTTGTTTTTGTTTTTCTAATTGTATCTTCATGGTATAGTTTTGTTTTTGTTTTTTGAGATAGGGTCTCATTCATGCCCAGGCTGGAGTGCAGAGGCATAATCATAGTTCACTGTAACCTGGAACTCCTGGGCTCAAGCAATCCTCCTGCCTCAGCCTCCTAAGTAGCTGGGACTACAGTTGTGCGCCATCATGCCCAGCTAATTTTTGTATTTTTTGTAGAGACGGGGGCCTTGTTATGTTGCGTAGGCTGGCCTGGAGCTCTGAGCTCAAGCGATCCCCCCACCTCAGCCTCCCAAAGTGTTGGGATTACAGATATAAGTCACCATGCCCAGCCTGGAATACTTTCAAAAGAACACATTCTCCTAATGCAGTCTTTGGTTCAACCAGTGTTACAGCATGTGTAGGAAAGTCAGGTTTAATGCTTGTTTATTTCACTTTATTTACCAGCTTTCAACTAATGAGTTTGTTGACCAGCATCCTCTAACAGCGACCAGTTGGTTTGTTTTAATAGCATTATGAATTCATGAGTTTAAACACCACTATACAAATGAGAATTTAAAAACATTTGATGGGTTTCAAGCCGTATCTTTATTGATGCTCAGATTGTTCCATCCTTGGCAAGAAGGAGTATCTCTCAGTTGGCTCCTCGATCTTTTTCACATGCCCTTAATAATCCTGGATATTTTCCTTCCTATTTGATAAGATGACAAGATATTCCAAGCTAATCTGTACATTTTTTTATTTCTTTCTTTTTTTCTTTCTTTCTTTTCTTTCTCTTTCTTTCTTTCTTTCTTTCTTTCTTTCTTTCTTTCTCTTTTTCTTTCTTTCTTTTTCTTTCTTTCTTTTTTCTTTCTTTCTGTTCTTTCCTTCTTTCCTTCTTTCTTTTCTCTCTCTCTCTCTCCTTCCTTCCTTCTTTCCTTTCTTTCTTTTTCTTTTCTTTTTTTTTTAGATGGAGTCTCGCTCTGTCTCCCAGGATGGAGTGCAATGGCACAATCTCAGCTCACTGCAACCTCTGCCTCCCCGGTTTAAGCGATTCTTCTGCCTCAGCCTCCCAAGTAGCTGGGATTACAACAGGCGCGTGCCACCACACTCAGTTAGTTTTTGTATTTTTAGTAGAGACGGAGTTTCACCATGTTGGCCAGGATAGTCTCGATCTCCTGGCCTCGTGATCCGCCAGCCTCGGCCTCCCGAAGTGCTGGGATTACAGATATGAGCCACTGCAGCTGGCCAATCTGTACATTTTCTGCTTCAGAGTTAAAACCAGCCATTTCACTGTGAAGTTGTCCTTTCTCTTAGGGAAAAACGGAATTTCAAGTCCACTGTCTGGACACTAAGGATGCTAGTTATTATTGTAAGTTATCATAAGGCTATTCTAATCCTTTTCAGTGGATGGAATCAATAATTTTTTAAGATAAAATATACAATGAGTTCATACTAATATTTCTAGTTCAAATTCACAACTATAGGTTTTGTTATTCAAACTCTTCTATCTTACATCTATATTTTCTTTTTCTTTCACTAAGAATTCTAGCTCTCAAGGACACCACAGGTGGCACCACAGATTGTCAGAATTTTCTTGTTTTCTTTATTCTACATTACACAGAATAACACTATTAAAGTTACCACTCACAATATGATTACTGCAAAGTGTTTACAGTTCTCTTTTGCTGCTCTTTTCATTCTACTGATGACTGGATATACATGTAAATTCGTTTATTTTATGTTACTTTTTATTTGTAGGGATTGTTTTTATATTTTAATTTTGTATGCCTCCCAAGACTTATCTAGAAAACAGTGTATATTCAAAGAAGCCTAGTTTTTATTTCCTTGATTCTATTCTATTCCTTCCCTCCCCTAGTAGATAACCATTTAAATAATTTTATGGCTTATCATTCCATTTTTTAATTAATAAAAGTAGATTACACATGCACGCATGCACAATCACACACAAACGCTTTTAAAAAAATACAAACATACTATAATTTCTCTACTTGGATAATATATATTTAAATTTATATTTATATTCACTATACATTCAAATAAATAAATTCAAATAAATATAAATGTAAATGTATAATTTTCTTCACTTACCTTAAAAAATATCCTGGAGATGAATCAATGAGAATGGGAGTATACAAAGACAGATATTCCTTATTCGTTTCCACAGCACTTCATTAGATAGAGAGGGGGTTTCGTGCTGGTTGCCCAGGTTGGTTAGTGATATCTCTTTTTTTTTTTTTTTTTTGAGACAGAGTCTCGCTTTGTCACTCAGGCTGGAGTGCAGTGGTGCGATCTCCGCTCACTGCAACCTCCGCCTCCTGGGTTCAACCGATTCTCCTGCCTCAGCCTCCCGAGTAGCTGTGACTACAGGTGTGCACCACCAGGCCCAGCTAATTTTTGTATTTTTAGTGGAGACGGGGTTTCACCATGTTGGCCAGGCTGGCCTCAAACTCCTGACCTCAGGTGATCTACCTGCCTTGGTCTCCCAAAGTGTTGAAATTACAGGCGTGAGCCATGGCACCCAACCATGATATCTCCTAAGAAGTTACTAGCCAGGTGCGGTGGCTCACGCCTGTAATCTCAGCACTTTGGAGGCAAAGGCGGACAGATCACCTGAGTTGAGAAATTACTCATTACTCAAGCAGGAGTAAGAGGCATACCCAGTAAAGTAGCTGCTAAGTACACATGGCTATTTAAATTTAATTTTAATTAAAATAAAATAAAAAATTTAGTTTCTCAGTCACATTAACCAAGTATCAAGTACTCAACAGTCACAGATGAGAAGTGGCTACTATATTGAACAGTGTATATTATCGAACATTTCCGTCATTGCAGAAAGTTCTATTGGGCAGAAATCATCTAGAAGCCATAAATATCTCTGAAAGAGGCAACACAACTCTGACTTTCATGATGCTCCTGATGAACCTTGATGATGGTAATGATGATGAAAGTTATAATAATAATAATAAACTAGTGCCATTTGTCTTTTACAATACAACAGGTATTGTATAAATCTCCTTTCATAAACATCTCATTTCTTCTCTCATCAACACCGTGCCATATGTATTACTTATTCTCATTCTACAATTGAGGAAATTGAACATTCGCAGTGTTCAAGGTCACATAGTTAGTATATACCAGAGCTGGGTTCAACAGAAGTCTGACTCACTCCAAAGCTCATGCTTTAAACCACTCTACCATACACCCTCTCTTATTAAACATCAGAGATGACATAAATTATGGAAGATGAAGTTATGGATGCAAAATAGAACCTCTCCCATCTGTGACTGTTTTCAGCTAAAACAGCCTGATATGAGGCAACTCAAACCTTGCTTTTTGAGTTTAAGGGAATATCTTAAAAGTAATACTGACATAAAAGAAGAACGCAGTTTCATTTTTTATTTTTATTTATTTATTTTTTTAGAGATAAAGTCTTGCTCTGTCACCCAGGCTGGAGTGCAGTGGCGTAATCATAGCTCACTGCAGCCTCAAACTCCTGGGCTCAAGTAATTCTCCTGCCTCAGCCTCCGGAGTAGCTGGGACTAGAGGCACATACCACCAAATCTGGCTAATTTTTGTGTTTTTTTTCTAGAGATGAAGTTTTGCTCTGTTGTCTAGGCTGGTCTCGAGCTCAAGTGATTCTCCCACCTCGGCCTCCTGAAGTGCTGCAATTACAGATGTGAGCCATCACACCCTACCCAATTTCGTTTTTTTTGTTGTTGTTGTTTTTTTGTTTTTGTTTTTGTTTTTTTTTTTTGAGACGGAGTCTCGCTCTGTCGCCCAGGCTGGAGTGCAGTGGCGCGATCTCGGCTCACTGCAAGTTCCGCCTCCCGGGTTCACGCCCTTCTCCTGCCTCAGCCTCCCCAGCAGCTGGGACTACAGGCGCACGCTGCCACTCCCGGCTAATTTTTGTATTTTTAGTAGAGATGGGGTTTCACCGTGTTAGCCAAGAAGGTCTTGATCTCTTGACCTTGTGATCCGCCCGCCTCGGTGTCCCAAAGTGCTGGGATTACAGGCGTTAGCCACCGCACCTGGCTCCAATTTCATTTTTTAAAAGGCTCTAAACTTGTGATGAAAATGCAGCTGGCCTGAGCCATCCCTCGTTTGCAATGTTATCTATTAACATTAGACTATATAGCATAGCGATTAATGACTTGTATTCTGGTGTTAGATAGGGCTCCCTTTGCCATACACAAATTTTGTGATCCCGAACAAATTCTTTACCAGACAAATGCGTTATCTATAAAGTGAGAATAAAAGTGATACTTACCACATTGTACACCCAAAGAGTTTTTGAAAAATAATCTCCAGAACAATTAAATCAGAATATCTGGAGAGAAGGCTCAAGATCAATACTTTTTTTTTAAAAAAGATCCCCAAATGATTTTAGTGTGCATTTAGTACTGACAGTAACTTATGCTGATGGTGTTTAAGGTTACTTCCAACTCTCAGAATCTCTGATAGAAGCCCTTGGGCACAAAATCCTTCAACTTCTGGTTTCCTACCTACAAATGTTTCTTTATGGGCAACTAGCTCTTTTTCCGAAGATGAGGACTCATTTTCCTTACAAAACTGAAGGCTTCTACCCACGCTTGTGTCCTGCCTTACTGAAGATCCAGTTCTATCAATTATCTCTGTCCCTAAGTCTTCATTCTTCTTTTCTAGGGCTTCCTTCTCCCAGCAAAATAAATGTATTCAAGCTATTGCCATCTTAAAACACACACACACACACACACACACACACACACACACGCACACACACCACGTTTCTTGAACCTGTGTCTCCCTGACTACTGACAGATGAAGTATTGATACATGCTACAGTTCATTGTTCAGCTTCAAGAAAAAGCTGTCTTCATCTGCTGTCTTCACATCCCAGGTCTGATTTAATCTTCAGCTTACTGCAGCTTGGCACTGCTCCTGTCTCCCTGACGCTGCCCTCAGTGTTGTCATTAAGAGCCTCCTCTTTATCGTCCTCACCTAACGAGACACTGCTAACCTCACATTCTCTCATTTAAAAAATAGTGTAACATTCATGACATAAAATTTGCCATGTAAACATTTTAAAATGTGTAATCCGGCAGTGTTAAACACATTCACAATATTGTACAACAATCACCCTATCTACTTCCAGGACTTTTTCATTACCACAAACGGAAACCCTGTACCCATTCAGCAGTCAGTCCTTACTCCTCATTCTCCACCAGCCTCTGACAACCACTAAGCTCTAGGGGTTTGCCTATCCTGTCTATTGTCTGTAAGACAATATGTGGCCTTTTGTATCTGACTTCTTTTACTTAGCATAATGGTTTCAAGGTTTACCCATGTTGTAGCATGTATTAGTATTTCATCCTTTTTATGGCTGAATAATATTCCATTGTATAGATATACTACATTTTGTTTATCCATTCATCTGTTGATGGATATTTGGGCTGTTTCCATCTTTTGGCTATTGTGAATAGAGCCGCTGTGAACATTCATGTACAAGGTTTTGTCTGAACACCTGTTTTCCATTCTTATGGGTATATACCCAGGAATGGAACTGCTGGTTCATAGGGTAATTTTATGTTGAACTTATCGGGGGAGCTGCCAAATCAGTTTCCACAGCAGCTGCATCATTTTACATTCGCACCAGCCACGAATGAAGGCTCCAGTTTCTCTACATCTTTGTTTCTTTCTCAACACTTATTATTTTTTTCTTTTTTACTTTTGAGCATCCTTAGTGGGTTTAAAGTGGTATCTTATTTATTTTGATCTGTATTTTCATAATGTCTAATGATGTTGAGCATCTTTTCACATGGCTGTTGGCCACTCATGTCTCTTCTTTGGGGAAATGTCTATTCAAGTCATTTGCCTATTATTTAATTGGTTTTTTTGTCTTTTTGTTGTTGAGTTTCTCATTCTTTTTTAAAATCTGTTTTTAATATTTTTTATATTACAAAAGAAATATATGCTTGGTAAAAAATGTGAAACAATCAAGGGTATAAATAAAATCTTCATCCTCCCTAGTTTTTCATTACGGCACTATTTCTTGCCTTTCTTCCTACTTCTCTGAGCAGACTTCATCTGACTTTTCTTTGTATACTCTTTGTCCTCTTCCTGATCTTCACTTGTTTTTCCTTTCAGCTTTCATTTTAAGAAACCGGGGTACATGTGCAGGTTTGTTACATGAGTAAATTGCATGTTGCAGTGGTTTGGTATACAAATTATTTCATCACGCAGATAG
This sequence comes from Homo sapiens, assembly GCF_000001405.40. Taxonomy (NCBI): domain Eukaryota; kingdom Metazoa; phylum Chordata; class Mammalia; order Primates; family Hominidae; genus Homo; species Homo sapiens. The sequence continues at coordinate 56,940,661 of NC_000014.9, forward strand.
TGAGCATAGTACCTGATAGGTAGTTTTTTGATTCCCCCCATCTTCTCACCCTCCACTCCACTAGTAGGCCCCAGTGTCTATTGTTCCCTTATTTGTGTTCATGTGTACACAATGTTTAGCTCTCACTTATGGTGAGAAAATATGGTATTTGGTTTTCTGGTCCTGTGTTAATTCTCATAGGACAATGGCCTCCAGTTTCATCCAGATTGCTGCAAAGGACATGATTTTTTTTATGACTGTGTAGTATTCCATGGTGTCTATGTACCATGTTTAAAAAAATCCAGTTTAAAAAATCCCATTTAAAAAAAATCCACTGTTGATGGGCATCTAGGTTCATTCCATGTCTGCAATTGTGAATACTACTACAATGAACATATGTGTGTATGTGTTCTTATCGTAGAGCAATTTATATTCTTTCAGGTATATACCCAGTAATAGAATTGCTGGGTGGAATAGTATTTCTATTTTAAGTTCTTTGAGAAATCTCCAAACTGCTTTCCACAGTGGCTGAACTAACTTACATTCCCACCAGCAGTGTTTACCTGTTCTCTTTTCTCCACAGCATTGCGAGTATCTGTTGTTTTTTGACATTTTAACAACTGCTATCCTGTCTGGTGTTAGATGGTATCTCATTGTGGTTTTGATTTGCATTTTTCTAGTGATTAGTGATGTTGAGCATTTTTTCATATGCTTGTTGGCCATGTGTATGTCTTCTTTTGAGAAGTGTCTGTTCATGTCCATTGCCCATTTTTTAATGGGGTTTTCTGGGTTTTTTTTGCTTATTTGTTTAAATTCCTTACAGATTCTGGACATTAGACCTTTGTCTGACACATAGTTTGCAAATATTTTCTCCCATTCTGCAGATTGTCTGTTTACTCTGTTGATAGTTTCTTTTGCTGTGTAATAGCTCTCTAGTTTAATTAGGTCCCATTCGTCAGTTTTTGTTTTTGTTTCAATTGCGTTCAGAGTCTTTGTTGTAAAACCTGTGTCAGGGCCTATGTCCAGAAAGGTATTCCCTAAGTTTTCTTCTAGGATTTTTATAGTTTTAGGTTTTACATTTAAGTCTTTAATCCATCTTGAGTTTGTTCTTATTTTTCTTATTTAAAAAAATTATTCCAACTTTCATTATAAGTTCAAGGGTACATGTGCAACATGTGCAGACTTGGTATACAGGTAAACAGGTACCATCTTGGTTTCCTGCACACTTCATCCCATCAGCTAGGTATTAAGCCCAGGATACATTAGCTGTTCTTCCTGATGCTCCCTTCCCCCTCACCCTGAAAGACCCCAGTGTGTATTGTTACCCCCTATGTGTCCGTGTGTTTTCATCATTCGGCTCCCACTAATAAGTGAGAATATGCAGTGTTTGGTTTTCTGTTACTGGGTTAGTTTGCTGAGGATAATGGCTTCCAGCTCCATCCATGTCCCTGAAAAGGACATAATCTCATTCCTTTTTATGGCTACATAGAATTCTGTATTCCATAGTGTATATGTACCACATTTTCTTTTTCTTTTTTTTTTTTTTTTGAGACGGAGTTTCACTCTTTTTGCCCAGGCTGGAGTGCAATGGCATGATCTCAGCTCACTGCAACCTCTGCCTCCCGGGTTCAAGTGATTCTCCCGCCTCAGCCTCCAAAGTAGCAGGGATTACAGGCGCCTGCCACCATGCCTGGCTAATTTTTTGTATTTTTAGTAAAGATGGGGTTTCACCACGTTGGCCAAGATGGTCTCGATCTCTTGACCTCGTGATCTGCCCGCCTCAGCCTCCTAAAGTGCTGGGATTACAGGCATGAGCCACCACGCTGCGCCTAACCACATTTTCTTTATCCAGTCTACCATTGATGGGCATTTAGGCTGATTCCATGTCTTTGCTATTGTGAATAGTGCTGCAGTGAACATATGTGTGCATGTATCTTTATAATAGAATGACTTATATTCTTTTGGGTGTATACCCAGTAATGGGATTGCTGGGCCAAATGGTATTTGAGTTTATTTTTGTATATGGTGAAAGAAAGGGGTCAAGTTTCAATCTTCTGCATATGGCAAGCCAGTTATCTCAGCACCATTTATGAATGGGGAGTCCTTTCTCCATTGCTTGTTATTGTTGACTTTGTTAAAGATCAGATGGTTGTGGATGTGTGGCTTTATTTCTTGGTTCTCTGCTGTGTTTCACTGGTCTATGTATTTGTATTTGCATCAGTACTATGATGTTTTAGTTACCGTAGCCTTGTTGTATTGTTTGAAGTCAGGTAGTGTGATGCCTCTGGCTTTGTTCTTTGTGCTTAGGATTGCTTTGGCTAGTCAGATTCTTTTTTGGTTCCATATGAATTTCAGTATAGCTTTTTCTAATTCTGTGAAAAATGTTGTTGGTAGTTTGATAGGAATAGCATTGAATCTGTAAATTGGTTTGGGCAGTATGGCCATTTTAACAATATTAATTCCTCCTATCCACAAGCATGGAACGCTTTTCCACTTGTTTGTGTTGGCTCTGATTTCTTTCAGAAGTGTTTTGTAATTCTCTTTGTAGAGATCTCTCACCTTCCTCATTGGCTGTATTCCTAGGTGTTTTATTCTTTCTGTGGCCATTATGAGTGAGATTGCATTCTTGATTTGGCTCTCAGCGTGGACCTTTTTGGTGTATAGATATGCCACTGATTCTTGTACATTGATTTTGTATCCTGAAACTTTGCTGGAGTTGTTTATCAGATCTGGGAGCCTTTGGCCAGAGACTATGGGGTTTTCTGGGTATAGAATCCTATCATCTGCAAGGAGAGATAGTTTGACTTCCTCTCTTCCTGTTTGGATACCTTTTATTTCTCTCTCTTGCCTGATTGCTCTGGCTGTCTTCCTGACCTTTAAATGGTGGAGTTCTCTAAGATTCTATGTTCAATCCTCTTCATGTCTTATTGTAAACATTCCCTCTGGCATCCACATTCAAAGCTTCAATAATATCTCTAGCTCAGACTTATTTTTGAGTCTAGAAAGAAGAATCTCACTTATCAGGCAACTACACTTGGATATCTCAAAAGGATCTCAAGCTGAAAATGTCCCAAAAGTACTCCCTACCTCTCAAAACTCACTGCTTTTTCCATTTTTCTTATTATAGTGAGCGATACTACCTTCCATCTACCCCATTGCCCAAGCAAAATCCTGAGAGTTATTTAAAGATTTTTTTCTTTTTCCTTTCTACTCACATCTAATCAATCAATAGCTACTGTTGATTCTATTTCCTAAATATGCCTTACATCTTTCTCCTCTCTTCTAGCCCTACTATCTCTGTACATTAGAATGCTTCAGATTTTCAGCATCCCTTGGCTGGAATATTGCAGTAGCTTAATGACTATTTTTTCTGCTTCTAAGATGTTGTCTCCCAGTTTATTTTGACATTTTCTAATCAAAGCCGATCATGTTACATGAAATTTATCAATGACTCTCTATGGCCTATGGAATAAAAACTACGTTCTTAAGCATGGCATAAAATGAATTTCTGTGATTTGTCTACAGATTCCTGATGATACCTCATCTTCTATCACTACTGTCATATTTTATTTTCCAGCAATAATAAACTACTAGTGGTTGTTTATGTAGGCAAATTGTACCATACCTCCATGTCTTGGCATGTGATTTTCTCTCTGCTTGGAGCAGCAGTCCTCTTCACTTCTCTTTGTTCTTATTCATTCTTCAAGTTCCATCTCAAAAGCTACCTTCTCTATGAAGTCTTCCCACACTTCATCATAGAACCTTAATTCCCCTCTTATATCCCCCTCATATATTGCACATGCCTACAATATAGAGATTAGCTAACTGTTATTAAATTATTTAAATGAATGAGCATATAATCTTCTCAGAGCTATCCCCCATGCCAGGGCATTTTGATAACTACAAATAGCTATTTTCATGAAACTGTGAGATCCTTCAGGACAAGAACTATATTGGCCTAGTGCCAGATATACAGCATGTTGACAAATAAGCAAGCACTCAATATATGTGTATTAAATGTTGACTGTACTCTGATATTGATCCTCCCATTAGTGCAAATGGCACTATAGCTATGCAGAATCGCAAAACAAAAAAAACAAAAAAACTTGAAGAACATTAGCTGATGGTTATACGCAAATTCTTCACTACCAGAAAATAGCATGCCTATCTGTCATCATGAGAACAACACCTAAAACTACATAGAAAAACAACACAAGTCATTAGTCTCCCATCTTTTGTAAGCAAGCGCTAAGTATTAAATTACCTTTCTAGGGACATATTTTTTTCTTTACCATAAGTGATCATGTATATATTTTGAAAACATTGGTCAAAACTTTTATACTATTTATCTTACAAGAACTTTAGGCATTAATCTTCTCAGAGCTATCCCCCACGCCGGGGCATTTTGATAACTACAAATAGCTATCTTAAAACTTCAAATCAAAACATTTTCATGGTAGCAGGTTCCCTAAGGAAATATGCAATGAATTTTCTTTATTTATTTGAGGGCTACATTTGGCTTAGGCTGACCCCAAAGCATAATGCCTTTACATTATAAGCATGAGTTACTACATCTTACTTGACTTTAATGTCATTGTGTCTTGTTTGTGAGCTGTCCTTCTTGACAACGCTAACGGTTAATGGATAAAGTTATTTGGGAAAGAGATTTCATGCTACTCTGAGAAAATGTCAGAGTTGAAAAATCAGCTAGAAGTAAAGACAATAATACCCTAAGTCTAAAAATCTGGTCATTCTATCACACTGTTAGTGCCTGCATTTACTGGTTCTTCAAGACTCTAAAAAGGGAGTGAAAAAACTAAGCTGCCTTCTTAGCTCTCACGGGTGGTGTGAGGATTAGGGAGATAAGAGTTAGACTGTAGAGCTCACCAGTAAACAGATTGGAGTTTCTCTCCTTTAATAGCTAATGCAGAATGTTTTGGTGAAACCAGCAAATTTGTTACCAGACGGCTCAAACTTTGTCCTCTGATGCATCTTGGAGGCCACAGAGAAGTAGGAGTAGTTCTCCCTAAAGCAGACCTAAATCATGGTCATGACTTTTACACTTGTTTTCATGATATTGGTGAAGGAAAAAATAACTTTTTTTCTCGTACTAAATGAATCCGCCTATTGAGACCCATTTGAAGAGAAAGAGTGAAAAACATGAGAGAGAAGAGAGAGAAGAAAAAAAGAGTAAAAGGTATTTGATGGAGGGAAAGAAGAATGAGAGGGGGTAGAGGAAGAAGAAATGGAAAGAGCAAAAGGGCAGAGAAAGAAAGAAAAAGTGTGTGTGTGTTTGTGTGTGTGCTGCACGCACGCATGTGCAGAGTGGGTCTGAAAGAGGGACAGAGGAAGAGGAAAAAGAGAAAGATAATAGGAATCATCAACTAGATTCTCTAGCAGCTCTCACTTGCTTAAAATTAGTGGAAACAAATGATGGTCTTCTCCCTAGAGTTCTCTCAAGTTATTTTCCCTTGAACACAAGATAAAATGTCAACATTCTACTTGGAAATTTAGTACTTAAGACTGTATATACTGTTACTTGGGCTCCACTTATTCATAAAGATTTCAGCATTTTAGAATAAAAATAATTTTATTTAAAAGTGCTGCCTCTATTAGACCATAAAACTTTTCCTCTGAGCAGAACAAACACCAAAGCAAAGCTCGTTTTTATTGTCAGAGTATGATGCCATTTCCATAAGAGATGGAAGAAGTCCATACTGCGTTCTTTTCTCCTACTAACATGAGTGAGCGACACTACCCACCTGAATAGGCAGGCTTCACAGACTGAGGCTGACCAAGACTGTAGATTCAACATTTAGTAGATGTCTTGCCAGCATCTATTTCCTGCTTCCCTCTTCCCAGCAGTCCCTAGTTTCCTTTTGGGGATCAACATAATTTTGTGGAAGCTAACCTTACTGCCTCCCATTTACGGGTGCAATAGATGACCTAGGCCAAGCCAATTATCTCATCCCATCCTCCTGACTACAGCAATAGAATCAAGGGTAGAAGTGTGAAGTGAGCAGACCAGTAATTATAAGGGTTTTTCTGGGAATGCTGAAACAAAGTAGCTCTCTCTGCCACAAAAAAAAAAAAGAAAGTATATGAATCCAGGAGCTGTGAGCAGCCATCGTGGGAGTAGGAGTGGAGCCAGCTTTAGGATGAAGCTGACGCAGACAGATGGAAGAACCCAGGTTTTTGGGATATCCTTGAGACATTGGATGAAGCCTCATCTAAAGTACCTTTATCTCTGGGTTTTTCAGTTATGTGAGCAGATAAATTTTCTTTATTGTATTGTTTACTTTCAATCTGGGTGTAACTTAAATATTTTCCTTCCAGTAAATGGCTTGTGTTGCCATTAAGATGCTTTGTGGTGGCCAGGCACGGTGGCTCACACCTGTAATCCCAGCACTTTGAGAGACTGAAGTGGGTGGATCACTTGAGGTCAGGAGTTCGAGACCAGCCTGACCAACATGGTGAAACCTCATCTCAACTAAAAATATAACAATTAGCTGGGTATGGTGGTGGGCAACTGTACTCTCAGCTTCTTGGGAGGTTGAGGCATGAGAATAGCTTGAACCTGGGAGATGGAGGTTGCAGTGAGCCGAGATCATGCCAGTGCACTCCAGCCTGGGCTACAAAGTGAGACTCTGTATTTTTTAAAAAAATGCTTTGTGTTGTAATGATGATCTTTTTTTTTCCTGAGATGGGGGTCTTACTATGTTGCCCAGGCTGATCTTGAACTGCTGGACTCAAGCTATCTTCCTCCATCAACGTCAGCCTCCAGAGTAACCAAGACTACAGGCACACACCACCATACCCGTCTAATATTTTAACTTTTTCCTAGAGACAGGGTCTTGCTATGTTGCCCAGGCTGGTCTCAAACTTCTGGACTCACGTGGTCTTCCTGCCTCAGCCTTGTGAGTAGCTGGGACCACAGGTGTGAGCCACTGCACCCAGCTGACCATTCTTTTTGACAAGATCATGGGACAAGCAGCAGCAGGATCTTATATTGGAAAGGTACTTTCAAATGTAGCAGAAAATAATATCTCCAGATGTTGATCTAGGGCTTTCAGTCCAGGGTTCTTCCAAGAATCTCTCTTGTCATAGGATGTTAGACCCTTTTCATGATTAAAATTCTGACTATTTTAACTTGCTTCTGATTTATTCATCATCTATACTATGTGGAAGAAATTAATGTATAAAAATTTACTAACTAAAGAAATAGCCTAATGTGAATGTGAGAAAGGTTTATTCCAGCCAGAGTAAGTTTTTCATGGTCAAAAGTCAAAGAAGAGTGTAAATTTCTTTCTATTTTACAAATACTCCTGGAGCTTTAGTTTGTGCCAGGAGCCTTGCTGGATCCCGTAGGTACAACAGAGGCAGGTAAGACATAGTCCAAACTTCAAGAAGTTTGTAGTCCAAATGCTTAGACAAGAACTTAGATTAGCAAGAGTAGCTAATATTAGCTGCCGTTATGATGGCATAAAGCAAATATCATAATAAAAGTATAGTATGGTATAGAGTTTGAAAAAATGGGAAAGACCACATGATTAGGAGAGAATGGGAAAGGACAAAGACAGGATTCATGGAGCTGCTGACATCTGAGCTGGGTCATGGAGAACAGCTGATTCAATAAATCCCTCCTCTCATGGCACCCTGTTCTTTTCTTTCTTAGCAGTTATTCACAATTAGTTATTACATATTTATTGGCATGTTTATTTATTTGATAGTCTTGGCTTTAGATTCCATGAGGTGTACCCTGTGGTCCACTCCGATTTGTTCCCCATTATATTCCCAGCACAAAGCTCAGTATCTGATACATCGTATGTAGTCAATAAAAATCTGCTGAATGAACAAATGAATGGTCAGATGAGTGACGGATTGCAATAGATCCCATTACTAAATGTCTGCTAGGTAACAAGACTGCAGTAAGCACATAGGTCATCAAATTTAATATATTCAACAACGATACCAGGCACATTTATTATCAGTTTTACAGAGGAAGAAGTGGAGCCCTAGAAAAGATAAATAACTTGTTCAGTGTCATATAATGAATACATGGCTGAAGCTATACCAGGTAGGTCTAACTCCAAAGTTTGTGTAGTGAGTCACTGCACAATATTGCCTCCCATTAATTTGGTACTTACCATGTACTCATCATTTGACATACATTATCTCATTTCATTCACAACCCTGTAAATGAGGTATTAATAACTCATTCAATAGATAAGAAAATGGATTCAGAGATGTTTATTCATTCACTCAATAAATATTTAGATAATCTGTCAAATGCTAGGCACTATGCTACCCTCAGAGATAAAAAGCTGAGACAAAATAGACATCATCCCTGCCCATGTGGAGTTTGTGATCTAATGGGGGAGTAGATGGTAATCAAATGTGCATCAACAATCTGTGAGAAGTGCTGTGAGGGAAAATTAGAGGGTATTATGTGGGGTGTAATAACAAGGGGAACCAGCAGAGACCAAGCATGGCTTTCAACCAGGCCTATTCGACTCCAAAGCCCTCAATTTTTTTTTAAGTAAAAAAAAATTTTAGAGATTGGAGCTTGCTCTGTCACTCAGGCTGGAATGCAGCCTCAAACTCCTGGGCTCAAATGATCCTCCCACCTCAGCCTCCCGAGTAGTTGGGACTACAGGTGCACGCCACCACACCCAGCTCAAAGCCCTTGTTAAAACAAATAAACAAACAAACAAACAAAACAAAACAAAAAACCCAACATATTTTAAAAACCCAGGATGGATAAGGTTTGCACAGGCAAAGAGGAAGGACAAACATGGCCTCCAAATTGCGACTGTCTGACATGACTGGAGAGGTCGGGAGATGTGTGGAGAAGAGTACCATGAATAGCAAAGGCTGGAAAGACTGGAACAGTGAATGTCATGTTATGGATTGTCCCTGATTCAGGAGACAAAGGGGAGCCATCCAAAAGGTTTTGAATTATTCCCAATCAGAGGTGCATTTTAGGAAGAGTAGTCTAAATGGCAGAAACTGCTAATATTCATAGATAAAGAGAGGCATATTAACTAGTTGAGTGTGGCACTTGTAGCACAAAGTTTGAATTTATTTTATGGTTATTACATCAGCGTATTAGTTAGGATAAAGGTTTAGCTGAAAACGTAAGGACTTAAGATGGAAGTTTATTTCTCCTGAAAGTTTGAGCTGGGATGGCAGCTCTGTTCCAGGACACCATTAAAGGCTCTTTTTATTTTGATGTGAAAGGAAGAAGAGGAAAAGATGACTTGCCTTTTAAGGGTACAGCCAGTTGGTTTTGCACACACACACTCACTCACTTCACCTTGGCCAGAACTTAGTCTTATGACTACAGTCAGCAGTTAAGGAGGCTTGGAAGTGTTGTCTATGTTTTTGTTGGCTGTGTGCCCTAGGTCGAAAGTCTATGACTATAAAAAAAGGGGGTGTGATTATTAGGGGATGGCTGGCCGTCTCTGCCACACTCAGTGCTCTCCTCCTCTGAGAATGACCAAATTTGGTGGTTCATTTACTCTTATTAGAAAAAAATTCCAAATTTTAAAATAGTGTTGATGGTTACTATTGGTCAATTTTTTTAAAAAAATGCTTTTTAGCCAGGTGCAGTGGCTTATACCTGTAGTCCCAGCTACCCTGAAGGTTAAAGCAAAAGGATCATTTGAGCCCAGGAGTTTGAGTCTGGCCTGGGTAACATAGTGAGACCCCATTTCTGTAAAAAAAAAAAAAAAAAAAAGTTTTTTACATACTACAGAAAGCTAAACAAAATTTGGCAGCTTTAGTTCTATTAATTAAGAAAAAAAGCTAAATTCATTCTAATTTCATTTTTAATTATCAGGAAAAACTATATTTAAAAATAAATTACCTGCAAAATAAGCAACTGAGTTATACATGATCCAGTTTTATGCCCCAAGACTGAAGGAGATGCTTTTTGACACTTTGATATTAACGTTGATATTAGTGATATTAATATTTTGTATTAGTATTGCACATATTTTCATTTCCCTTTGATTTCCCATGAAAAAGTGGCAACCCATTCCCAACTTGAAGATTTATCATTGTTTTTCCCAAACTTAAAGAACGAGCAATTGAGAGAAAAGTGCCTCTAACTAGGTATGGGCTATTCCCGTTTTGGTAGGTCCTATAGTGAGAGTTGCCTTCTCTGTGAACTAAAGACAGAAAGGAGACTCATGGGAGGGTGAGGAATGGACTGACACTCTTCCTGCATCGTGGTTGACAGTAAACCACAGTACCCACTCCACAGATTAAAGCATTTTTGCTGTCTTGGGCAGTCCTTAATTTTAGTTCATTTTCCTGTACCTATTTATTTGATAGCTCATTAATTGCCTCAGAGCAGAGAAAATGTTTCCTTTAAGAAGGTTAAACAAAGAGTTTATTGACATAAGTGAATTGGTTGAAGAAAACATTATTAAGTAAAAGGCACTTATTTAAACACCAAATTAATCATTTAAAGGCAAATTAGAGGTCGTATCTCCTCCTAAATAAATAATGTTAACCAGTAATGAGATATCCATTTTAGATTATAAGCATACTTACAGGTTTGGGCTGCTGGCTGCAGTGTGCCTTAGCTTTCCAAGTTTATTCAGGGCCTATAATTACACTAATGTTTGGAAATTGCAACATTTTAAACTACAGTATATTTTATCTACAATATGTCATTTTTCATTATATGATTTTTTTAAAAAAATCAAAGCTTTCCTTTCATCCCAGCAGAAGAGAAGACTAGTGCTCTGAGAGAAGATTCCCTAGCAGTGGAAACGGATTCACCTCTGGCGCTGTTTCAAGTCACTGAACTTATCTAACAAGCTGGTGCACAAGTGCCCTTGGCATTGCCCTCGTAGCTCTGGCTGGGCCACAGGTAACTTCTCAATGTTGTAGCTGGGGCTGTGTGCACGGGCCACACCCAAACGTATTTCAGGACGCTTCTAATGTAAGTTCTGGAGACTGAAGAGAACACACAACAATTTTCATTGTGGAAGTACTGGTGTCCCCAAAGTTGTCTGGTATTTTAGCTTTGGATTTTTCCCTTCCACTTGGAGGGTGTCTTAGCCGCCTACCCACATCCAGCCACACATTTTTTCCATGCAGGCACATGGGCAATGCCCAAAACCCTGCTCCACCGCTGGGCTCGCATTAGCCGGCCTCCCAACCACGATGACTGTTAAGTGTTGACAGGTACCAGACATTCACGTTCCAGGCTCTTCCATAGCAAAACAACGCTGATACCAGCAGCTTTGTTTCACATGGCATTGCAGTTTTGTTTTTAGCCAGACAGAAGTCAGGAAGTTTAAGGTTAGTTAATCAAATCTGACGTTAGTCCACCCTGATGATCTGATCATCAGATGGTCCAGCAGATTCTCCTTTTTCTCAAAATACTTTATTGTGCACTTGTGGAGAAGATGGAAAAAAAGAATCCCAATGGAGGATAATTTGAATTGATGGTTTTTTTTTTTTTTTTTGAGTGTCAGTTCTCATCTGACTTTTTAAACCCTGTTGAAATCAATTATTCTTGCTATTATAATAATCGTCTTGATTTTGCATGTTTTATCAATGAATACTGTTCATTTCAACTCACTGCTGCCCTTATTTAGGCAACTTACGATTTTTGAATGCATGGGTCTAAATTCAGGCTTTTCAGCCTTGAGATAACTAGAGATGTCACCCAACAAGCTAAGCCTCAATGTTCCTGCCACATACTAACCAAAATGATGGTGTCCTCCCAATGGCACTATCTTTATTTTTCTCAACAGACACAAGTGACTCTGCTTATGACAAACTGTACATCAGAAAAGACAGATCTCTATGATGTGGGCGGGCAACATAATTTAAGATTCTGCAGGCTTATGGTCAGCCCATTATTTTAAGGATAAGAAACGTAAAAGGAAAAGTTGGTTCAAGGCATCCTGATACTGCTCATTAACTGGGAGACAGAAAGGAATAAAACAGGACTTCTCTGATTATTTTAGGTCCCCTCCCGGATTTCCCTGCTCCACGCCCCTCCCCCGGTTAGACATTTACACTGAAAAAGAAAGGCACTTTGTGTTTAAGGTTAATCAAGTTTCAGTAAATTTTTTTTTTTTTTTTTTTTTTTTACAAACTAGAATCACACTAATCTTTTTTTCTTGCTCTAATGTGTGGCTGTTGAAATCCTCAGCTGTGATAAATTAAGCTACTTATTAATCTAATTATCGTACATTCATCCTAGAAACTTTCATGTGACTTGAAAAGGCTATTCAACCTTTTCCCTCCCCTCCTAGAAAGGGCTCAACCTTGCACCAATTAAGATCATTCTGAAGTAAGGGTTTAAAAAAGCTTTCTCTAATCACCCAATGGAACATGGACCAGTGGAAACCAAACTCAGAGCTCTGGGAAAAAGTTTAGCATTCCTTTCTGTCTGCCAACTTTTATGGTTTCATTGCACAAGGGAGGAAGACTACATTTTCCTATTTAGTTGTTCCTTCACTGACCTCCAAATAAAGTCCATGTAATTACAGACCAAATAAAGTTGCAGCATGTGTTTTAAAAATCAATTGCCATCCTTGGACTATAGAAATGTAACAATGCACAGATTTGCCAGAAAATACCCAGCGCAAACCATACGAACTAAACCCTGCACTGTATCTGTACAATGAGTAGTTTTGACCCCTAAAGCATGTATTTACTATGCAGATTTTTAAAAGGGCTTCTTTTATGACTTAACTATTGATATTAAAATGTCTCCATCCTAATATAAGTTCAATTTGGGATTAAAAATATGTTGCAAATGTATCATATCTTAAACATCCATTCATTGCCAAATGCCTTACTTCTTTTTTTTTTTAAATGATGGCATAAATGGAGCTATTTTACATTCAAATTAAACTAGCTATTAATTTGAATGCAAAGCAGCTCAATGTACAGGATGCAATTTCAATGACAGGTTTACTCCAAGATAGAAAGCAGGAGATAGTCAACATGGGTAAGTCCAAGCAGTTCGTCCCCTACTCTTGGTGCCTGGCAAACTTGCTCACTGTGAATAGTTTTTGAAGTGAAGATTAAAAGAGTGGAATTATAAAGTATAATTACATTTTATTGAAACTCTAGAAATCAGAAAAAATTCAGCAGGAAACTTTTAGTGAAACATGATGTGTTGTCATTATCATTAAAAGATAAAAGTTCCATACTGTTTTTATCTGTTTATTTGGAAGAAATCCAGCCTTTACAGTTATGCAGGAAACAAAAAACGGGAATGCAGGAGTAATTATTAAAACTGTGTGATTTGTTATCTCAGCTACTGTCTTTCCAAATGGTAATGCGATATCAGCAGCTGCAGACGGTTGCTGATTTCCTCTATTAGTAAACAAGTGCTTTGGAGACCTGTGTGAGGCACTTTAAGCTCGCTACTCCCCGAAGTGCTGTCAGGCTTAACTACTAATCCATGGTATTTCAGAGCACTGGAAATTCATCTTTATAAAACCTGAACAAAAAAGGGAAAAAAGCCTGGAGGGCATGAGCTCCCTCTGGTGAGACAAATGACATGTTCATTTATTAATGAAACAATAACCCTGGAAAAAGGATCAAAGCACATTCCATCCTCACTTTACAATCCCCAATTTTCTCAGGCCAAACCATTTAATTGAGCCATGACAATGGAATACTTAATTGTTACCTTAAAGTTTTGAAGAAGCGACTTCTTGAGCATCAATGTGAATTTCAGGATTATTATTCAAATATGGTGTAGCCAGATTAAAGATGGTGGAATTTGATTCCTCCTCCACTGGGCGGGGGAGCCTCTAGCTGGCAGAAGAGGTGTTTTCTTGAACATGCTTGCAGTGCCCATCTCAGATGTCCCTTGCCTAATGGCTGCCTTCATAGGTTGCTTCCTTGTGATGGGTTCCTTCCTCATGATGAATTCAGGTTCTTTTTGCCATGTCCCCTGGATCTGGGACATAAATGAGGAACAGGAAGGAGTCAATCCCAGAACCCAGAAGTTTAAGGAGTTTGAGACAATGCAACATGGAGCCCCTTATTAAGTCTTGACAGGCCCATAGCATCCACAATGGTAATGGGCAACACCTACACTCCCTCTGGGTTATTCACCAATTGTATTTGAGAGTGAGTCCATCCACCAAAAACAAACACATATGTAAATTTTTTTTAAAAAAATTGAAAGGTCTGGGTTTAATTTCAGTATATTAACTCGATTTCATATCAGAATTCTAGTTTGACATTTTTTGTTCGTACTTGTACAGTGGCTTTTCTGGGGTTTACTTGACTATGTTATTTTCCAAATTAACCAAACTTTCAGGAGAGTCTTAAGACACTGAGGTGGGGGGATTCGGAAGATGCTTGTTGATTTACTGGGCAAAGAAGGGAGTGAAGATTTTATATGTAATCTCTAGGACTCATATGTCTTATACACTTCAAGCATTCTAGGCCAGCTTGACTCTAGGGCCAATTTTCTATCACATGGCATCATCTGGAGTTTATAAATGGACTTTTAGTGTGCATGTGCTCATATTCATTCCTTAGGAGATTCATTAATCCAATGAAAACTAGTAGTCAGAAATGAAGGCTGTAAGCAAGAAAAATGCTCATGTTTCTGAGTTCTAGAACATCACCTATCTTATTAAGCCTTACTGTGAAATGGAGAATGTACTTTGAGTTGATTTTCATTACCTTTACCTAGGATCTTTCTTTCTGGTCTGCTTTTGAATACCAGTCTTATAAAAGTCTTTTTTTTTGCCCTAGCTTATTAGACTTACGGGTAAATACTGGAGTTATGAGTATGTTTATATTACATTTTAGTCAAGTTCCTGGGAAAGAGGGAAGAGAGTCTTTATAAATAATTTTTTGTAATAAGACTAACATTTTGAAAAGCTTCCATTTAGCTTGGCCTCTTTGTAGTAAAGTTTTCTGCAGTATAATTGTTTGCAGTGCATACAGGGGAGTGATGGTGATTCAAAGTATTTAGTACATACAGCTTTACCTGAGCCCTTCAGGAGAACAGAGAACCCTCTAAATCGACAATCATAGCACTGCCTGGCCTAAGAGCCAAAGGGAGTTTGAAATGGCAAGTATGCACCTGAAGCAGCAGAAACAGTTATTTTTTCAACCTTCCCCTTATCTTCCATCCCTAAATACAGAGCATTTATTTTAAAAAATACACACATAGGAAGGGTTCATGGGCTTGGTATGTAAGCATTCAAACTGCCATGACATTGATGACCGAACTAGGTTTCACATAAGCCAGAGCTGAGACAGAGTAACAGACATTTACATCTGCTGACAGATGTATTTCCACTCTCCATATGCACATTCCACTCATATTTATGTCATTCATTCATTCATTCAATCAGCTGTCCATTAGTCACTTCGTGACGATTGAGGCTCTATTCCATATGCATCATAACATAACAAAATATATAGCTGGGGTTATATGTATTTCAGTAAGATACATGGAAACTGCAAATGTATGTAGGATAGGAAACAGAGCAGGGTAGGAGATAAATAACATAAAGACGGGGGCATATTTCTTCTTTGACACTATTTTAATAAGGGGCAAAGACCGTTTGGTGTGTGTCTGTTGAATGTGTGATGGAAGTATTTATTCAACAGCATCTATCAAGCAACTGCCACATCTCATGTACTGTGTGGAATACTTATACCAAAAAAGAGTGCTGTCTCTGCCTCTCTGGATCTTCCATTCAACAGTCTGGCTGGGTGCACATGATATGCATACACAAAATAATTAATGCAAGGTGGATGACTAGGCTCCAGATTGAAGGGTATAGATAGCAACTACAAAATGAATTGTAAATTTTGAATAATTATGGGTTTCTTGATGTGGTTAAAGAGGATCGTCTGAAAGTTGAGGCTTAGTCTTCTTACCTCCCATTTTGCTGAGAAGTATGTACTCTGGGAAGGAAGGATGACAAGAGGCACACAAACAGGTGCATACATTCACCTTTTGGCCCTTCTCATCTCCCACCCTTATGAACTTTGTTCCTTGAAGGGAGAAACAAGCTCATTATTAAGAGTTAGTGTAATGTTTGATCATCTTTACTATCTGTCATAGCAGATACATAAACTGATATTCCTGCTATAATGGTGAATAACCCTATTCTTTAAAGTTGCAAGATGGAAGATTACTGACATACTTAGTAGGAATTTAAATTAGATGAAATACATATGTATATAGGGTTACATGAAAACCTTTAATACGAACTAAGAGCTGAAAAAAGCTGTGGTGTTCCTTGTCTCCTCCGCTGCCCAAGTAACAAAAAAATGAAAACAGTACTAAACTACGGATATGTAAGGAGGAGTAAAGATATAATTTTTTTCTGTCATGACTACTTAGAATTAATTTGGGATTACTAGGATTTCTCAAAATATTAATGATAGAATCTAGAATATTTTCTCTTACGTTTCCTGGTGTGTCCGGTGTGCTAATAATGGGTAATCCTACACCATTTTTGCATCAGAATATAAGATGGGGCTGTTTGTCTCTTCTACCTTTTACTAATAAATTAACTATCTGAATGTCGTGCTATGAATTCCAGTTCTATTTTCTTTCTATTTTCCCAAATTCTGTTGCTAGCATAGAGGATCTCTAATAACATACTAACCAGTTTTACTTCAGGGCAATTATTTCTTTTCAGTATTCTGAGGTCTGTTTAAGTTCTCCCAAATGTAACACAGGGATAAGGAATAAGTATTTTCTCTCTAGGTTCTCCTTGGCCCATTTTCATTTTATCGCATGCCAAAAGGAGCTTATAGTGAAGAATACTTAGAAAATATCTAAATGATTCTGAGTAAACTGTTTCAAGTAAGGCCATGGCTCTTTAAGTTACACACTAAAAAAAAAAAAAAAAAAAAAAGAAAAGAAAAATAAAGATTCTTCTTGAAAAAAAAATATACAAAAGACGATGTTGGGCTTAGTGTCTACTACTTGTTTATTGAACTTAATAAAGAAAGGAATGGTAGCTCAGTAATTGCTAAAATAATTAGTTGTCAATATATAATAAAGTCAAATGATAAAACCTAACACAAATCATTTATGATAAAACCTAACACAAATCATTTATTTTCTTATTCTCTGAGGTTGAGTATTACATTTAATGTTACTAAAAATTATGTAATATGTAAAATAAAATGTCTTAAAACTTAAATGTTACATCATTTCATACAACGTATGTTTAATAAGAAAAATTTTAATTAATAATTACTTTTTTCTACTTAAGATTTATCCTTTCCTAATATCTAAGGTATTATATATAATAATTTTTAAAGTTCCTATTATATTTTTAAATCAAGCAGTAACTCATAAACAAATACTTCTCTTCCCATTTACTCTTGTTCTCTTCATTCCACTGGACACAAGATTTTATTATAAAAATAAGTTAATTTCGTTGAGTGTATATACATGATGACATAATAGTATCAATATTAAGATAACACACCAAATACACACAAAATAATGTATATCTCCTGCTTGAGTAATTTCTGATTGCATTACAGCATGTACTTGTGTAGGCACTGTGCTTATATCAGGAGTGAACAATAGGCGATGGTGTAACTGCTGGGCACAGATATCAACGTGTTCTCAGCTTTGGGGAAACAAAATGGCTCCCGTGATCTATTTATGTGGAATGCAGAGGACAGTTTATATCACTTTAATTAGCTGAAATATCAAATGTATTGATCATTTTGAAATTTGTTGCTATATTTCTAAAATGCAGGTGGCTTACCTAACATGATAAACACTGGATGTTACTGTATTTGTTTGTTTATTTGCATATTTATGTCTATCTTAGTGATGAAAAAGTCCTAGAAGATCTTCAAAAAGACAATATATTTCAGCAGAGAGGCAAACATTACACATTTTTAATCACCAAAAGCAGATCTAGCCACAGAACTGGGTCTTGAAGCTGCTTCCCACAGCCCTCTGCAGCTAGGGATGGCCTCCAGGAGGACCAGCCTTAGGAAGGTGAAGGGTGCCTCAGGAGCACCCCTGCCCAATTCAACAACAAGAAAAAAAATGAGAGCTGATGAATAAAATGGAAAATAACTTTCCCAGACAAGAGAGAAAACACTTGGCATTCCTGAGGAACAGCTGCTTGCTGGTAGAAGTTTATGATAATAAACTAAACTGGGTGAGCATTTCCCGAGAAGAAATATTTAATTATCCTGCTCACCATTATGAGGAACTTCTGCCACTCTTCAGGTTATTATACAGTAAATAACCATTTTTCTAAAGGACAGAGCTGTTTTAATTATATGACAATGAATGCATAATTATTATGTTTGTTAGGAATGAATCACAACAGACTTGATATTGCTGCTCTGGTTAGTGCATCTTAATTACTTTTTCATTTATTTTGCATATAAAAGCGATTTGCTAATTGTCTTTGCTGTAAATATGCAAAATATAATTAGTCATTCATAATTCTTTATGTGTTATCTAACTGTACATTTGTTTCTAAGGAACATATATTAAAGTGTGAATATTTAATGGGCTTTTTTGTGTGAATTCTTTTTTTTTTAGACAAAGTTTTGAGTAAATATTAGGCACATTAGAATTTTAACTCTATTCTTAGAGAAACTTGTGCTGTGAAAAAATGGAGACCAAAAAATATGGAGTTATGAAGTGAATGCCAGACTGTGTGGAATTTAAACATATTTTCATGTGAAGACACAGATGGTGATGGGAAATATCCTTTACTAAGCCTTTAAATTAACCTTTTAGCTACTCACCCAAGCTACCCAGATAAATCTTTAAGCATTACCAATTTTAAGTTTTTACATATTTGTGTGGATACTTACCAGGAGAGAAGAAATCCATGGTTGTGCTGAAACATGCATTTTTAAGTGCTCCAAATAACTTGCTGGCAAACACTCTTGAAACTCTAAAATCTTAATTATGAGGACTATATCAAATCTATGTAATGGGAAGTATTTGAGAAGGTTATTTTTAATAGTTCATCAGTGACTATAATGAGGGTGTCATGGGGTAAACCCCTCATGAGGTTTCTTGCAGTCATATTGCCATCTCAAAAGTGAACCATACTGGCCAGTTTCTCAGTCTTAGGATGTAATTTTCTTTTTCTTTTTTTTTTTTTTTATTAGCTAGACACAGACACAGCACTCAGACTAGTTTTTTCTATAATTATTACTTCTATATGAACTAACATTGCTGGGAACATCTTAATGCACTCAGATTCATTACAGTGACTGGTTAAATGGACCACTTGTTTTCAAAATGGTACAGATATCAGGAGCATTGACCAATGATTAAAATTTTTCTTTTCACTTGTCTCCATAAAATCCTGCTAGTCCATCCTGCTGATGCATGTCACATTCCACTTTCTTCACCTCAAACATTTGATTTACTAACTGGTTGCTGGTTGTACTGTTAATCCCATGTCATGACACTTCTATTCACTTCTGCTTTTCAACTGAAAGCAGCTTCCTATGAAGATAAAGCTAGGTAAAATCTATTGTAAAGAGGAGAATAACTTGAATGCAGCTATCATATCAAAATGAAAACACACTTCTGCTCTCTTCACCCACTAGACATCCTGAATACTTTTCTTAATGATGGAGTCTAATAGGATAGCTGATGAAAATACAGCTGATGATAATTTTTTTTCTTCAGAAATAATCCTGCTCTGTTATTCTGTAATTGTTCTTATTTATGTTTGACAAATCTTTTGAAAGGAACATATATAAAAACAGAGTGATGGCAGGGTGTGAATTAGAAAAGAACTAGTAAACATGCTTTAGAAAACTATGATATTAATAAATTATATTGATTCCTATTTATCACAAAACTATCCTGAAGCAGCTTTAAATAAAGCTTTTTAAAACAACATTTGCAGGAACTATAACTTATATGGTTTTCTTTGTTTTTATTGTGAGATTTTCTTTTGGATTCTGTAAATTTTTTCTTTTGGTTTCAGAATAGCCAAAAAAAGTGAAATATGTATTTCAAATAACATTTGACTTGTGTGCAAAAGTTGTAGAGCTAACACGCTCTCTACTAAAATCCCAATCTTTAAAACTTGGTGTCCTATAGTGAAACAATTTAGTTCAATAAGGTAGTGAAATGAAGACTATTGTGTAAAAAGATAATAATTTCATCGTATCATCTGAAATAGTGAAATACACATCCTTGAATCCCTTTAATAGGAAACGTTTCATATATTTTATGTGTGTATCCATAGCATTAAGACGGTTTGCAAATTAAATTTCCATTTGTATTTTCAAACACCTTCAGTTTTAATAAGAAGAAGCATAAAAAATTATTTTATTTGTAATTCTTGTAAGCTTCCACATTCTTCAGTGATCCAAATGTATAGGAATGATCAGGAAATTTACTGTGTTATTTGAAATGTAACTAAATGTTCTAAAGAACAACAGGCAACAGGCCTCAGGTACAAAAAAAAATCTAATTTTTCACCTTAGCAAAAAAAAAATTTTTGATGATATTGTGTGGCATGCAAACATTTAAAACATTGGAAAATTCTAGACTTGCCTCCGGTGGTGGTGAGGATCACTATCTGTCCTCCTTTACAAGAAGTTTGAGAGAGTAATCACTTGAGGGGCTTTTGGTCTTTTAAAAATAATCCTTATCAAGCACCTATTTCACAAAGAATCATGTCAGAATAATAAACACAGTCTTCCCGGTAGCATTATGCAGCATAAAATTCAGAAGAATGTAAATGTGAAGGACTGATAGTGAATAGATGCTAGGAAAGTAAAAGCTATAAAAGCTTTCTCTCAGCGTGTTGACTAAAAAATTCATAGTCCTTTGTATTTTTCAACATCCTAGATATTTTTACATAGAATGTTCCAAAATATATGTTAATTAAAAGCCATCTTTACAAGATCTAAGAAAGAAAACATCCCTATCTAAATTGTTCTGAATTGTATATTGTGGAAAGGAACCATCCCATTGGCCTTAGTCAATTAACTATAGGCTCTCAATGCTCATAACTTAAATGTTAAAACACTCAAGGGAAGGGAATGGGAAATGGCCCATGGAAATGTTTTAATCATGTTTATAAACCTATGGAGATAGTAAATAAAAATTCTTAAAGTGAAAACCCTTAAGACATTCCTGGAGGAAATACTTTACATCTAATGCCATCTGACTGTTAAGAGGATCTGTGTGTGTGAGTGTGTGTGTGTGCATATACACACATATTATATACATACACACATATGTATATGTGTATATATGTGTGTATACTGCATACACAAATATATGTGTGTATATATAATATATATACACATAATTTAACAGATTCACACACACATACATATATTGTGTGTATACACATACACATTTTATACATATATACACATCTATGTATTCTAACCTCCCTTATGGAGAGAGATGATTCAATCTAAATCTATCAAATAATGAAATATCCCAATGGCAATCAGCGTGACTTTCATGAACTCTGTCCCTTTATTTCCACATTTTTTGTTAATTAGAATTTGAAGTCAGGAGATAAGAGACTAGTTCATTTATCTTTTTTCTTTCAATGTCCAAGCTCTACTTCCTTTCACTTCCTCTCCAAAAACGTTGCAACCTTTTACAGTCTAATCAACTTCTGTTACATGGTGCCATTATTTATCCCCTGAAAAATGGTCTCAGCTGATCATCTGAAGAGCCAAACCTAAAAAGTCCTACTTTCTAGAAATAAAAATAGTGTCTTCTCTGGTTTCAGACAAAGTCTTTGGGCTGGGGGAAAATTATCTGCCTAAGAAAAAACAAACACTCTTTCTACTCTGTGTTTGTGTTTGCATGGATCAATTGTGAGACAAACAACATTCATCGACAGTTGCTGGCCATGAGTCTGCCTGTTTGAAATACCTTAGTCAGGAGAAGTACCACAAACTGAACCGAACAATCTCTCACAAAACATCTGCAACCATCTGACCCTGGCCTTAACCTTTAAATCTATCTTTTCATATTCATCTCAAAAGACCTTGTCAATGGCCAAGGAGACTCAAGAAAAGGATTCTTCAACAAACAAAAAAGATACAGAGGAAATTCAACCCAGATTAGGTGGCAGAAGATAATACAGTTTGCTCATTTTTATTCTGCTGCTCAAACTGGAGTTGAATTCATTTTCACTTTATCTTTATTCATGTTATTTAAACATAACATTCATTAGGATTGTGAACTGCAACAGATAGAAGAGAACAAAACTACTCGCCAAATTTGTTGGGCATCTGTTCCCACTAGAGGCGGCCCCTTGCCAGCTCCACATCATGTCATTTTTTTTCCCTGAATTCATTTCAAAGTCAATCCATCAGTTTATGAACTGTTTGATCAAACTTGTCATTAACCAAGTGAAACATTTAATTTGTATTAACAAAAATGGGACAAATAATTAGTACAGGGATTAACCATTTCACTTTTTTCCCCCTGCATTTTATTTATCAAACCTGTTCATTGTTGATATAACTTTTTCATGTGACACTGTATGGTTTCTCCTGAAATAATGGAAAACATTTTCAAAAAATGAAAATACTTATGAACCGATGGTCATTAAAAAAAATCCATGCAAATAGGTAGATCTAACAGCCACCACCAGTAACTGCTAATTTCTAGTTGCTGTCTTCATTAAGATAGAGCATAAGTTTCTCAATGGCAAAGAGACTGTGAGCCAACAGGCTGAAGACTTGCAAGGAAATTACCACAGCTATATTAAGTATCAACAGAGATTTTATTTTTATTTTTTGAATAAAACTAAAATTTCATTTTGGTTTCCAGTCATACTCAACAAATGGCATAAGCAACTTACCACAAACAGCTCGCCTCCTCTCTATATTTGCTTGCAATGTTTATTTCAGTTTTTCCAGCCCAAATTGCTATTTATATAACACACGCACTAGAAATAGAACCAACGCTGTTGGTGGAGACTCTTGCTCTTGGGAAGACTTAGTCATCATCTCGTGCAATTGCTGTGACCGTGACCTCACTGGGCATTTGTCGGCATAGCTATGACATTTGTTAATGAACTGTTTTTGTTTTTAATTGCTTACTTAATTATGGAGCACCAACATAATAGCATTTCTAATTTGTACCATAATTGCATGCAGAGATGAAATGTTGTTGTCTATCATATGCTGCTTCTAATCATCTCTTGTTCATGACAAATTTTCCAAAGAGATATCTTCTTTAATATGATGATATGGTACTAGTCATTTGAAATGCACTTCCCTTAAATGCAATTGTGTATGTAAACTAACTTCAGACTCTCTCAATCTCTTTCTTTCTCTCACTGAGTATATATAAAATTACATATGTAAGTGTATATAAAGTTACTTAAATGTGTTCTATTTTCAATAAGATAAAGTACACAAACATGAAAAAATACCTCCTCTGGCCTACATACCAAACATTAAAATATTTGACAATATCTATGACCATACCAATTTTAAAGAATTTATTATAAAAATAGTTATTTTAAACTGCATGAGTTCTCCTCACTATTTCATTAACATTACTGCTGCTGTATAGAATGTTCAAGATTCTACGTGCTTTGTGAATCAGTTTTCAGTATGCTTCAAATCCATCAAGGGAAAATGAGGGCCATGATTCTTCCAAATGGAATCATTAACTAAGTTTGAAAGCTCAGAGAATTAAACCAAGTTTGTCATGACCTCAGTTTGAAAAATTCAGAGAATTAAACTGAGTCTCTTGTGAGACAGAGAACAAGTAGAAACTAGGCTTCAGAAAGGAAGTAATAGTAGAGGCCACTGAAGTAAGTCACCATTGACCTATGTCCCTCTCAATGAAGTTTCTTCTTTACAGTTAGTTCCTGCAGAAAAATATATTCAGTGCAATATATTAGTTATGGGTCCAACAGCACAGTTCAAAACATGTGTAGCTGATGTATGTTTTCCCCCAAAAATACAAGTATTGGGCCGTTCATTGTCATCTACACAAAGAACTGAGTCCTAAAATCCTTTACTCAACTAAATTCTTAATAAGTAAACTGAGACTAACCCTCTAATACCAGATTTGTTAAACAACATGATTTAGGTCCTTGCTATTCATGCACCTTGTACAACTAAAATGACTGGTAAAGCTAGAATCATGAAAGAGTCATTTTATGTAGCTGCTAAATTCCTCTCAAATCTCCTTGCAACTTAACGAGTAAAGAAAGCTCAATGTGTAATGCCGGCTAATGTGGTTTATGCTAGAAAATAGTATCAACCTATCTTTGTAGCTTATCTAAGCCAGGATAATACTTTTAGCCTTTATAGTAGACCCAACTCCATTTTTTCAACTCTTGACTATGTATTTCCTGAAATCCTTTTCCAAAGAGTTAAATTGGATGTGAAATCTGTACTAGGCTATGGAGCTGTCTTTGTTCTAAGTCTCGCCAGCAAAGCCTCGCCTCTGTATCACTTTCATTGCGTTCTGATTGAGCTTGACAGTGTGACAGGAAAGCAAAGGGAGGCAATTCCAAACTGAATGAGAGTCTTTTTCAGCCACACAGCAGCCTTCTCCTTAGCCCCTAAGAAAAAGAGGTAACAGATGCCGATAGCAAAGCATCCCTAACAAAGTCTTAACTTTGATGCAGGCAGAAGAAGAAAAAAATGTAAAAGATTGTCTCAGCGCAGGAAAACCTTGAATGGAACACAAAGGAAGCAAAATGAGAAAAATCGTGGTTCAGAAAATGGCTGGGAGAGTTATGTAGCTATCGTGCGTTTAAGAAATTATTTTAGTCTCAACAAGAGGTTAGGATCTGCAGAATCTGCTCTGCCAGGTATGGCACAACTGGAATAGTTGCAATATATGGGGCCCGAGCAAAAGGTGATCAGTGATGCTGTGATTGCTTGGCATGGAGGATGTTCATGATGAATGCCCTGTCCCTTGGGTGGAAAGTAAAACTCCATTGAAATGACAACTTTATAGTATAGCCATTACCTTTGTACTCTGGGGAGTAGATCTTTTCTGATTGAAAGAAGTGTTCAGTGGCTATTATAATTTTATACTTTGATAAGTTCTGTAATTAAGTGGATTGGAGCATCATTACATTATACTGCTTTATATTCGGAGGGATCTGCACCTGGCCTCATCAAAGAGTGTCTTCTGAGGTACGTTGATCTCTACAAGTGAACTATGTTAGTTGCATGACAAAAATGTATTGTAAGATATAAGCACTGAGAACATACTTATACTCATTTCTCTTATACTAGTTTCTCTTATTAAGAAAATGATTTAAAATATCAATATCTGTGCAATGCTTCTTAATCCTTGTGGCAAAAACATGAATCAGAGTAGAAAAGATCTGTCCAACTGGACCAGGGCATTGCTAATGCTCATGTAGTTCTGAGCCCATTGCTAAGATAAAGACTGAGAAACACAAGTGACTCTCTTGAATCTGCATGCAAGCCCTCGGGCTAGAATATAAGATTCTGAGAGTTTGTAGAAATAACTCACTGCTTTAGTAGTAGGAGTGGAGACACAGATAGAGGGAGAACAGTGTCTCATAGCGCTCTTGTTTGTATTTGTCTTCATGTATTTTCAGAGATTTAAAAACTCCAAAATTAATATGATATAAAGATTGCTATAATCTATCATGTAAAATAGTGGGGAGCATTTAAACGAAGAATTCCTTCCTTGATAATCCTCAGTGGCTGATGTGCTTGGTAAAGCTCTGTGAATTCAGAGCTCAGTGACATGATAAACGTCCCCTAAGGAGTCCTTATTGGCTATCGTGGTATCTATACGCTGGTGGGGTGGCAGTATAAATAATACAAGCACTAGGTCTTATTAGAGGCTAAACCTAGGCAAGAACCTGGTTCACTATGCTGAACACTTTTGGGGGGTATACTAATATCACAGGGGATTTTTATATTACATATTTCGTTGCATTCTTTTTTCTCTGGAAATTTTATGACTATTTTTTCTCTTAAATATGATCACGCTGCTTTGATCTCAGGTAAAAATGTTTCAATTGCATACCTATGCCAGGTATTAATAAAAGGTCAGATAGAGTCCATGGAAATAAAGCTTGAGCCAGGAATATAGAGCAAAAGATAGTTGGAGCAGTGCTAAAGCTATCTGCATGTTTTGCTAGAATTATGGTTGAAAACGTACAAAAGATAAAAGAGATGGAAAACATCATGAGAATAACCTGGAGCTTCGGAACTCCTAGTTTAACTTATAAATGATTATCTATTCATCTATGCTAAAATAATATATGTATATAGTTTAATTGATAATTATATGTTGAGTGTAAATATTGTAATTAACATGCACAGATGCATAACTCATATATGGAATACTCTTGCAGATTAACATGTATGTATATACAACTTCTCATATACTTAAAATGCTAGGAAATTAACAGTGACTTGAATCCTTCCTGTCATACTCATATACAGGTTATACTATTATGTTTTCCAGATAATTAATGTCCTCTGTCTATATTTAATATGATGTGATTTCCTTTAGAGATAGCTAATGAGATAAAACAGGCACTATGAACCAGTTAAATCAACCACCTAATCTTACACATGAAACATTAAACAGAGAGGAGGCATCTGCAATTAGCAAATTGCTTTGATGTGACTAAATATCTGGCTGTCTGCATCACCAACGTTGTAGGTCTAAGTCCCAGATGAAGCTGCTGATCTAGACGTGCTGAATGTAAATATAATGAGCACGCATTTTCTCATGTAGCTCACTTTTTGAGGATGGCAGTTCTATTGGACTCCAGGGAGCTCAGGGGGCTGTGGACAAGGTATGGAGGTGAGAGAGGAACAGAGAAAAGCAATCCCACTCTCCATCAGAAAGATCCTTATTTCTTTCCCGAAAAAGAGACAACAGATAGAAGACATTTTCAATATGTAGAAGGCTGTTGCATTACTTAATAAAACGCCAAAAATGCAGACCTGGTTAAGTGATGGCAATGATCTTATCCGAAGAGCGGATCTAGTCATTGGGCAAATCTAACATACACCTGACTGATGCCAGCAGAAAAACTCACACTCAACATCTTTGCTGTCTGCTTGAAAAAATTACAGTGTTTACCCAGGATGTGGATGGAAGAACACATCTCTTTCCCAACAGCATAGATGTAGCTGTGGGCAAAGCCAGGCAAGGGCCAGGCATGTGAGGAGGGTCTATGCACTTATAAGGAGGTGTGACGTTCTTCTTCAGTGTGATGGGATGCTATCGAGAGGCCTTGAGAAGGGAAATGGCATTGGTTGATTTACGTTTTTGAAAGACCAACCTGGAGAAGTATGAAGACTGGTGGAAGAGAAAAACCAGGACATCAATTAGGAAACTGCAGAAATAAAGAAGAAAGCTTCAACATTTAAATACTTATTTAGGAAAATAATGTTAATTTTTAAAATTAACTATGTGCTTGCTCCCGTTCTAAGTGCTTTACATGTGTCACCTCATTTAATTGTCAAAAAACACGTGGAGACATTATTTTTTATCACTCCCAATGAACGGATAAAGAAACTGAGGCAGAGAAAGATTTATCACTTGGTTCACAGTCTCACCGTGCAAGACGGCAGCACTGGGATATCAATGCAGACAATCTGACCCACACTTCCTACCCCCCGCACCCCAACTGCCTCAAGGACACATAACTTGAGATGATCATGGTTAGAAAAAGAAAAGGAGGCCCAGCATGGTGGCTCACGTGTGTCATCCCAGCACTTTGGGAGGCTAAGGCACGAGGATCAACTGAGGCCAGAAGTTCAAGACCAGCCTGGGCAACATAGCAAGACCCCCATCTCTTCTAAAATTTTTTTAAAATTAGGCAGGCATGATGGTGCATACTTGTAGTCCTAACTACTTGGGAGGCTGAAGTAGGAGGATTGCCTGAGCCCCAGAATTCAAGGGTAAGTGAGCTATGATTGTGCCACTGCACTTGGTGACAGAAAGAGACCTTGTCTCTAAAAAAATTAAAATTAAAATTTAAAAAAGAGTGATGTAATGGGAAGAAACAACAACTAAGACATGTGCATTTGAAAACCAGTTGGATTTATTGGGAAACTGATCACGATGATCAGATATTGAATGTGAACAGTTTTAGGTGTGAGCACTAGTGGGAAAATGAACCCCATTAAGAGATTTGGGAGGAAAAGGAAGTGACGGCCTAAGCCACTGGCATTTGACTGATGGAAAACTAGAGAACAGTGCCTAGGTTCCAGGCATGTTCTTGAGTGTCATTTTATTTAATTTCCTTAGCAACACTGGGAGGTAAATGTTACAGCCCCATTCTTAAAAATTTTATTACACTTTGTCTTTTACAGGAGTTTTAGGTTTACAGAAAAATCGCACAGAAAGTATAAAAAGTTTTTCTTTTTTTTTTTTTGTGAAATGGAGTTTCACTCTGTCGCCCAGGCTGGAGTGCAATGGCTTGATCTTAGCTCACTGCAACCCCCGCCTCCTGGGTTCAAGCAATTCTCCTGTCTCAGCCTCCCAAGTATCTGGGACTACAGGTGCATGTCACCATGCCTGGCTAATTTTTTTTTTTTTTTTTTGAGATGGAGTCTCACTCTGTTGCCAGGCTGGAGTGCAGTGGTGCGGTCTTAGCTCACTGCAACCTCTGCCTCCTGGGTTCAAGTGATTCTCCTGCCTCAGCCTCCCAAGTAGCTGGGATTACAGGCAAACGCCACCATGCCCGGCTAATTTTTTTATTTTTAGTAGAGATGGGGTTTCACCATGTTGGCCAGGATGGTCTTGAACTCCTGACCTCGTGAACCACCCACCTCTGCCTCCCAAAATGTTGGGATTACTGGTGTGAGCCACCACGCCTGGCCTAATTTTTGTATATTTAGTAGAGATGGGGTTTCACCATATTGGCCAGGCTAGTCTCGAGCTCCTGACCTCGTGATCCTCCCACCTTGGCCTCCCAAAGTACTGGGATTACAGGTGTGAGCCACCGCACCCGGCCAAAAGTTTTTCTGAAACTATGCTTTGCCCATCATATTCTTCCTCAAACTGGTAAAAATTAGCCATTTCTCTAATTAATAAATGGGCAAAATAGTCTGAATAACCTCGCTCTGAATTTCCCAACATAAGAATGATGCAATATTTCTTTAGTTACCTGGTCCAGAAACTTAGAATTATCCTTAGGTCCTTCCCTCAGGCTACCTTCACTCCTCCATTGAATAAGTCACAAAGTCCTATTAATTCTACTTCCTAAATAACTACATTTTTCTCTATACCCACTGCAATTCATTGTTCAACAAATATTAATTAAGCACCTACCATGTCCTAAAGCACTGTGCTATGCACTGGGGTTGGGTTATACTGGTGAACAAAACAGATGGAGTCCCTGTCCTCATAGAGCTTACAATCTAGTGGGAGAGAGAGATGATAAACAAGGCTATCTGAAGGAACAATCTAGGGAGTGATAGAGCAATGAAGATGAAGCAGAGGGTGACAGGAAGGTAGTACGTTAGATAGGATGGCAAGGCGTGGCCTCTGCAGAGTGGACATTTTCACAGGAAAACATGAAGTATGTGAAGGGTGAGCCATCTGAAGATCTAGGAGAAGCACTCTGGCAGAGAGAAAAGAAATTCCAAGGATCTGAGGCAAGAAAGAGCTTCTAGAAGGCTGGTGTGTCTAGAGCGGAGAGAGAGGGAAGTGATGAGGTCAGAGAGCTAGGCAGGGGCCATGAATTCTGGGAGGGTCTATGCACGTGTAAGGAGGTGGGATGTTTTTCTTTAGTGAGATGGGATGCTATTGGGAGGCCTTGAGAAGGGGAATGGCATGAGTTGATTTACATTTTTGAAAGACCAGCCTGACTGCAGTGTGGAGAAGATCACTGGAAGAGAAAAACCAGGACATTGATTAGGAAGCTGCAGAAATCCGGGCAGGTGGTGAAGAAGCTGATTGCTGCACAGGTGGCAAGAAGCGATCAGATTCAGAGTGTGTTTTGAAGGCAGTCAGTAGGATTTGCAGATAGATGGAGGGGCTTTTAGGGAGGAAAAGGGAACTATCACAATGACCCCTATGTATTTAGCCTGAGCCAAATGCCTCAATATAATTATAAAATGATTCATCTTTTTGCCATTCAGGGAGAAGGATGATCTATCCTTCTCATATAGTGAGTTTCCTTGTAAATTTGGATTTATTTCTGGATTTTGGGCTCTGTTACTTTGATCTATTGCTGGACCATGATCACACTTTTAATTCCTAATTAAAAATTCATTAAAATTACCAATTTAGATTCAATTTATATATTATAAATTTATAATATAGATACATATTTTAATAAAATTAATTTTCTAATATTCTTATTTCACAACTCTGCTTTGGTTATTCTCACATGCTAATTCTACAGATAAACTTTAGAATCATTTTTGTCACGTTTCTCAAAAAAGGCCTATTAGGAATTTGTTTTTGTTTTATTTATTTATTTATTTTTCAAGACAGGGGCCTCACTATGTTACCCAAGCTGGTCTTGAACTCCTGGGCCTGCCTTGCGCCTCCCAAAGTGCTGGGATTACAAGTGTGAGCCACCGTGCCCAGCCAGGAATTTATTTTTGTATTATATTTATCGTTTAGTGAGTTTTGCTGTTTTTCTTTCTTTTCTTTTTTTTTTTTTTTTTTTTTTTTTTTTTTGAGACAGGTTCTCTTGTAGCCCAGGCTGGAGTGCAGTGGCATGATCTCTGCTCAGTGCAACCTCTGCCTCCCAGATTCAAGCAATTGTCCCACCTCAGCCTTCCAAGTAGCTGGGATTACAGGTGCCTATCACCATGCCTGGCTAATTTTTGTATTTTTAGTAAAGACGGTGTTTTGCCATGTTGGCCAGGCTGATCTTGAACTCCTGACCTCAAGTGATCTGCCTGCCTCAGCCTCCCAAAGTGCTAGGGTTATAGGCATGAGCCAGTGTGCCTGGCCTATAATTTAGTCTGTAATGACATTTTAAGTTTTTCTTTTCACACTTATCAGTGTCCTCTGTATGTTTTATTTGTTTGTTTGTTTTTGGGATAGGACCTTTCTATGTTGCCCAGGCTGGTCTCAAACTCCTGGGCTGGGCTCAAGTGGTCCTCCTACCGCAGCCTCTCAAGTAGCTGGGATTACAGGTATGAACCACCATGTCCTCTAAAGGGGTTGATGTGCTCGCTGTAGGGTTTTATAACTTCCTTAATATAAAGCAGACACATTTCTGGTTTTTATTTTTGTGTGTGTGAATAGGAAACTACTTCATAAGTTTAAATTTTTTAACTAGTTTTTATAGGCAAATGAGAAAGTTATTACTTGTGTTCATATTTTAACCAGATAATCTACTAAATTCTCTTAAATTTCTAGTAGTTTTTCAGTTGATTCACTTGGGTTTTTAAAAACTATAATCTTTATAATCTGCAAATAATGACACTTCTGCCTCTTCCTACCCAATATTTATGCTTCTTATCTCATTCTCTCATCTAATTACATTGGTGAGCACTTCCAGAACAATCATTAAATAACTGTGGTGATAACAAGTACTCTCGTCTTGTTCCTGACTTTAATGAGACTACTTCTAGTTTTTCACCATTAAGTGCTGTACTGGCTGTTAGTTTGTGATACACAGATAAATATATGTTTTTAAAATATGGCTTAAAAAGTTTTTTTTTTAAGTTTTATTCTATTACCACTATAGTTATATCTTTTAAAAAGTTAAGATTTTTTATTTTTGTTTGCAAATATTGAAATCATCCTGTGGTTCAAATTCTCTGATCTATTTATATAGTAAAATCTCTTAACAAATTTTATATTATTATTTATATTGTGAAACTCCTCAGAAGTCTGGAATTACCCCCATTTGGTATTTTGAAATCTTATTCATTAGTCAGATTAGCCTGTAGTTTTTGTTTGTTTCTGTGCCATTGTGGCAAACCTCTAGCATCACTGTTTTACTGCCTTTGTAAGAAGAATTATTTCCTTTAACTCTGATATAATTAAATGATTTAATTATTTCAGTCCATGGAAAGCCTGGTCCTGGCCTTTGAGTTGTACTTCCTTGACCAGTTTGTGGTGGCTAGATAGGTTTTCTATCAGTTAAAAAAAAAAAGAGGGCCGGGCGCAGTGGCTCATGCCTGTAATCCCAGCACTTTGGGGGCCGAGGTGGGTGGATCACAAGGTCAGGAGTTCGAGACCAGCCTGGCCAACATGGTGAAACCCCGTCTTTACTAAAAATACAACAAAATTACCCAGGTGTGGTGGTGGACACCTGTAATCCCAGCTACATGGGAGGCTGAGGCAAGGAGAATCGCTTGAACCAGGAGACAGAGGTTGCAGTGAGCCAAGATCACGCCATTGCACTCCAGACTGGGTAGCAGTGCAAGACTCCATTTCAAAATGAAAAAAGAAATCTAGTTTTGTAGACTTATATTGTCTTAGGAAATGGTCCATTTTACTCAGATTTTGATATTAGCATAGATGATAAGAAATATTTAATATTTTACATAAAGTTGGGGTTTGCTTTCTTTTAAGTTTATTTGGATGTTCATATCATTTACATTTATTGTTATAGCATATGTTTGACCTTATGTCAGTCTTTGTATTACATATTTTATGAGTTTAATACTTTCTTTCCACCTTCTTTGTTACTACTGTCTTTGTAAGAGTAGAGATTGTTTATTTAGAAGTCTAAACATTTAAAAATCAAAACTTTTCTACCAGTCCAACTCTTATGGTGGTGCAACTCAAACAATGTAGGCAAGATGGAAAGGTTATGATGAATGAGAAATAGTTTCTAGTTGTTCCATGTTGTAAAACATTTCATACATTTTATTTAAAAATGGTGATTTGTTACTAAGCAGAAAATGCTCTGTAGGTACATTCTGAGAAAGAAATTTGAGAAAAAAAAATGACTAGCAAGGACAAGCAGATACCTCTTTCCAAAATAGCTTGTTACTTCATCTGTTCTCTTCTGGTTTGCAAAAGTTGTTACAACATATCCTGATAATGAGTGATTTTTGCCACTATATGAAGATCAACGAGAATTTCTTGGTGAATGTAACTTTTATATATTTATATGCTTGCATTATATTCCTATCTCCTTCCCTACATTTTTAAGGAAATGTGAGTGCATTTCACAAAGGAATTAAGTAAAACACATTTATTATGTTTATAGTGCACAATGCTAGCTTTTATAGGTAAGCCCGATGTTTTAAACTGATGCAAAATTATGACAAGCGATTTAATATTCAATTCTTTGGCATGATATATTATTTATAATAAAAAGATATTCAAAGTATATACATTTTTAAAGACTATTTATTTCTTAACTTGACTTATTTCCTTTATTATATACTACATTTATATACTCAAATTTGTTCTTTGATTACCCAGCTCTTTTGGAAGGTACATATGTATACTGTCATTAATCTGAACAGGTTAAGTCCTTGGAATTCCGGATAAAAGATCTCCTACTGTAAGTAATCAGTGTTTCCACCCCTTTAGCCCTCCTCCAACCAGCCCTACCAGCATTATATTATTGAATGCAGACACTGTTTTTTATTCTATTAGCAGTGAATTTTACAACTTGTAATAATGTACGTATGCCTATATTTCTCAATTATCAATTTAAAAAATTAAAATTTCTATTAGTCCTTTGTTGAAGATGAGGAAATTTGCTCAGTTTACATCTTTTTTTTTTTTCTTTTTCTTTTTAGAGGCAGGGTCTCACTCTGTCTCCTAGGCAGGGGTGCAGTGGTGCATTCACAGCTCACTGCAGCCTGGAACTCCTGAGCTCAGGCGATCCTCTCACCTCAGACTCCGGAGTAGCTGGGACTACAGGCAGACGCCACCATGCCCAGCTAATTTTTAAATTTTTTGTTAAGACAGGGCCTTGCTTTGTTCCCCACACTGGTCTCGAACTCCTGGCGATCCTCCTGCTTTGGCTTCCCAAAGTGCTTGGATTACAGGTGTGAGCCATTGCGCCCAGCCGCTTTATATATTTTTAGATTTTCTTTCTCTTTAGCCTTCTGTTTTTGTTAATAGCTATAGGACACTGAATCTATTATTATTTCTAAAATATTATTTAGCTTTGATTTGAAGGTTTTAAAGATTGACTTTATATTTGATAATTACCTAGGTGTAATAAGCATCACTATTTAGACTTCATTCAGTGTGTTCACATTTATTTAGGACACATAAGGAGTCCTTAGGACAAAGCTTTTCCATCTCCAAGTTAATTTTGAATTATTTTTTAATTGGGTAGATTATATCATCAAATAATTTTTTTAAGGAAGAAGTTATAGGTAGTATGTCTCTTGAATCTTTACGTATTTGAGAATTTTGTTGTTATCTTTACATGTTGGACAACAACTTCTCTGGGCCCCATGATTTTCCACTTAAAATTCGTCAGTTATTGCTCCCCAGTCCTGTGGCCTCAAATGTTGCTATGGAGTGGTCTGAAGCCAGCCTGGTATTTCCCTTCTTTGATTTGTTTCATCTGTCTAGGTGTTAGGAGAATTCTTTTTCTATCCTTGAAGTTTAGTAATTTCAGCAGGAAATATGCCTTGGACTAATTATGATATATTAATTAATTTAATCTGAAAATTCCACTCTTCTGTGATATCAGAAACTTTCTCTCTGCTACATCTGAATATTTTTTTCCTTGACTTTAGGAAGAGCAATTATCTGTATTTTGTAACTAGGTTGGCTACCTTCCATATCTACTAACTTCTTTGTAACTTCTTTTCAATTTTTCCCCTTTCCTCTTCATTCTGTGTGATTTTCTCATCTATCAACAAAATCACAAACTCAGTTTTCTGCAATTTTACTTGATGTTTCTAAATCATTTATTATTATTATTATATATTTTTTGAGACAGGGTCTCACTGTGTCACCTAGGTTGGGGTGCAGCGACAGGATTATGGCTCACTGCAGCCTCAACCTCCTGGGCTCAAGTGATCCTCCCACCTAAGCCTCCCGCGTAGCTGGGACTACAGGCATCCACCACCACACCAGGTTAATTTTTGTTTTAAGATTTTTCGTAGAGACCAGGTCCCACTATTTGCCCAGGCTGGCCTCAAACTCCTGGGCTCAAGCAATCCTCCCCCACTTAGGTCTCCTGAAGTGTTGGATTACAGGTGTGAGTCATCATGCCCAGCCTAAATCATTTATTATTTCTGCAATGAAATTATTTTCTCCTTTACCTCTGCCCGCTTCCTTTAGATTTCATTATTTTCTTGTCTTTTTATGTTTGATATCATCTTTCATAGAGCCTGTGTTCTCTTTAATTATATTAAAGTGTCAGCCATTTGTTTTATCAAATTTTCTACTGATTCTCATTCTCTTTTGAATGTGCCTCTTCTTTACATGTATTTAGCCTTCCTTCCTTCCTTCCTTCCTTCCTAAATAATAATCATTGCATAGGTCACATAACTTTTTTCTCTTTTTAACCCAGGAATGTTTTATATTCTGGCCTGTGATCTTCCCCTAAATTTCCTGGGTAGATTCTTTTCATTTTTCTTATTTACTTGGGCTTTATTAGGCTTTTCTCTTGTGAAATTAACTTGGGCATTGGGATGTATGTACTTTGGTGCTTTTTGTTCCTTCTTTTCCAACTGCCTCTAGGGAGTGATGAGAAGGCACAGGACCTAAATAGCTGAAGTGGGAAAACCTTCTCTCTCACCCTCTCTTACACACATACATTCTGAGGATTTTTGTTGACAATCTGGTATTACAGGTCAAGGCCTTTTTGCCACATTAGGGGAACATCCATTTCTGCTTTTAATCTGCACTTGCACTTTGCTCCCCACTACAGGGTGAACCAGGCTGTCACTTTTGAATGAAAGCCTTGTCTTTGGCATTTTTATAGTTTTTTGAAGCCAGATCTATCTATCTTCCTTCCTTTCTTCTTTCCTTCCTCTCTTCTTTCCTTCCTCCTTCCCTCCGTCCCTTCCTTTGGGTTTTCTTGCCACATATATAATTATGGTGACATTATCCTGCAGATCCTTCGTGGCCTCCACTCTTTTTTTTTTTTTTCTTTTTTTTTTTTTTTGAGACAGAGCTTTGCTCTTGTTGCCCAGGCTGGAGTACAATGGCGTGATCTTGGCCCACCGCAACCTCTGCCTGCTGGGTTCAAGCGATTCTCCTGCCTCAGCCTCCCGAGTAGCTGGGATTATAGCTGCTCACCACCATGCCCAGCTAAGTTTGTATTTTTAGTAGAGACGGGGTTTCTCCATGTTGGTCAGGCTGGTCTCCAACTCCCAACCTCAGGTGATCCACCCACCTTGGCCTCCCAAAGTGCTGGGATTACAGACATGAGCCACTGTGCCTGGCCTGGTGGCCTCCAGTCTCACTCTCTCCACACCTGCTGGCTCCCACAGAGGCCTCCACTGAATCATTGAGGCCAAGCAGTTTCATCCCTTGAAGGGGAAGATGTTCCTTTTCTCCTTGTTTCCTACTGTAGACTGAATGTTTGTGCCCTCCCCAAATTCATATGTTGAAACCTAATCTCCAGGGTGACGGCATTTGGAGACGGAGCCTTAAGGAAGTGATTAGGTCATGAGGGGGGAGCACTCATGAATGGGATTAATGCCCTTATGAAAGAGACACAGAGAGCTCCCTGTGCCTTTGGCCAAGTGGGGACACAGCAAAAAGACAGCTGTCTGTGAACCAAACAGCAGACCCTCATCAGACATCAAATCAGCAGGCTCCTGGATCTTGGACTTCCCACCTCCAGAACTGTGAGAAATACATTTCTGTTGTTTATAAGGCATCCAGTTTCTGGTATTTTGTTAGAGCAGCCTGAAAGGACTAGAACATTTCTCTGCATTAAGACTTCTTAGATGGCAAATCACCGTTTAGCACGTTTGTTGTTTCGCATTATAAGCATCCAGCTTTATTTTTAAAACTGTATGACCAGTGCTACTGTAGTGTGATTTGGGCACACTAGTACCCACTGTGCACTGTGTCTGGAATCAGCTTGACTCTCATGACCCAAGCCCTGGGGTTGAGAGTGGTCCTCGGCCCCCGCTAACTCCTCTCACCTGGTGAGCTTCCTCAGGTGCACCTCTGTTCTTGCAACGTGGCCTCAGTCGTAGCCACTTGGTTTATCAGATCTATCATACTACCTTTGAACCTCTGATGGGGAGAAAAAGGTAAGACCGAATCCTATTCTTTTCCTCCCATGGGCTACTCTAACTCCACATGTATTTAGAGTAATCAGATTTCTTTGGTAGCATCCAGGACCAAAATGTGTACAAAAATATTGGAGGATGAGTAATATCCTCTATGCTCAAGTTCCTTGCATGTTTCCTACTTATACCTGGCACATCCGAAGTTGCACATTCCATTAGAATGTGGGATTAAAATGACCTTTGGTCCTGTACCCTCCTAGCCCTGTGGGCTTGAGCAGCCAGTGGTAGTGCCCACAAAATGTGACTGTTACACAGCCAGCCCAGTGAGTGATATAACCCCTGAGCACCTTCTTCAAATAAGAGAGTGTTGGACCTACCAGTGCCCACATTTTACCTCCTTCTCTCCTTCCATGGGTTCATTCATGCAATAAAGCCAGACTCATTCATGTAATACAGAGAACATAAAATATTTGTTGAGCTCTACTCTACTACATTCCAGGCATTATTTGCAGTGATGGCAATATAATTGTGAACAAGAAATCAGTTCCTGCCCTCACAGAGCTTCCAGGTCAGAAGGTATTCTCAGCTGGAGAGATGGGCTCTGCCAAGCTAGACTTTACTTTCTTTTGGCTTGTATGTAAATTCAAAGGCAGTATCTCGCTCTACCAGTGGAATTTGACTGCA
Organism: Homo sapiens; assembly: GCF_000001405.40. Lineage (NCBI taxonomy): Eukaryota > Metazoa > Chordata > Mammalia > Primates > Hominidae > Homo > Homo sapiens. Next base: position 56,978,407 of record NC_000014.9, read on the forward strand.
TGATGTCTCACAGAAAGTTCTTCGCTCCCAGACACGGGTCCCTCAGCTTCCTGCCCCAGAAGTGCAGCAGTGGGCATTGTGGGAAGGTGAAGAGCCTCCCTAAGGATGACCCTTCCAAGCCAGTCTGCCTCACAGGCTTCCTGGGATACAAGGCTGGCATGACTCACATCGTGCAGGAAGTTGACAGGCCAGGATCCAAGGTGAATAAGAAGGAGGTGGTAGAGGCTGTGACCATTGTAGAGACACTGCCCATGATGGTTGTGGGCATTGTGGGCTATGTGGAAACCCCTCAAGGCCTCCGGACCTTCAAGACTGTCTTCGCTGAGCACATCAGTGATGAGTGCAAGAGGCGCTTCTATAAGAACTGGCATAAATCTAAGAAGAAGGCCTTTACCAAGTACCGCAAGAAATGGCAGGATGAGAATGGCAAGAAGCAGCTGGAGAAGGACTTCAGCAGCATGAAGAAGTACTGCCAAGTCATCCATGTCATTGCCCACACTCAGATGCACCGCTTCCTCTGCACCAGAAGAAGGCCCACCTGATGGAGATCCAGGTGAATGGAGACACCATGGCCAAGAAGCTGGACTGGGCCCGCGAGAGGTTTGAGCAGCAGTTACCTGTGAACCATGTGTTTGGGCAGGATGAGATGATTGACATCATCAGAATGACAAAGGGCAAAGGCTACAAAGGGGTCACCAGTCATTGGCACGCCAAGAAGCTGCCCCGCAAGACCCACCAAGGCCCACGCAAGGTGTCCTGTATTGGGGCATGGCATCTTGTCCATGTGGCCTTCTCTGTGGCACGCACTTGGCAGAAAGGCTACTGTCACCACACTGAGATCAATAAGAAGATCCATAAGATTGGCCAGGGCTACCTTATCAAGGATGACAAACTGATCAAGAACAATGCCTCCACTGACTATGACCTGTCTGACAAGAGCATCAACCCTCTGGGTGTCTTTGGCCACTATGGTGAAGTGACCAATGACTTTGTCATGCTGAAGGGCTGTGTGGTAGGAACCAAGAAGCGAGTGCTCACCCTCCCCGCAAGTCCTTGCTGGTGCAGACCAAACAGCGGGCTCTGCAGAAGACTGACCTTAAGTTCACTGACACCACCTCCAAGTTTGGCCATGGCCGCTTGCAGACCATGGAGGAGAAGAAAGCATCCATGGGACGACTCAAGAAAGACCAAATTGCAAAGGAAGAAAGAGCTTAATGCCAGGAACAGATTTTGCAGCTGGTAGGGTCTCAATAAAAGTTATTATCCACTGGAAAACAAAAATAAAAACAAAAACAACAAAAAAAGGCAGTATCTCCTCAAACAGCAGGGACCTGCATTGTTGCTGTGTGAGTTCATCTTTGTTTTGCAGGCATAAATCACCAACCCCTTTAAAAAACAAATTAAAATGTATTTTCTAAAGTTAACTTATGTAAGAGAAAGTTCCAGAAATGCTGCCTGGTCCTGCAGGGCAAGTGAAGCATTAGCCTGTCTCTCTGAAGCTTTGTTTCAAAACTCCACAGGTCCATTTGCAACCTGTATTTTGAATGTGATTAGTTACATAATAACCCTTTACTTTTTTCCACACTATGGCACCTTCCTTGGAAGAGCTTAAGGTGTTTTACAGCCATTATCTCATTAACCCTCACCGTGGGGAGTGTTGGGGGTGGCACAGCATATATTATTGTCTCTATTTTACAGAAGGGGACATTATGATGGCATAAGAAGTTAAGTGTCTTGAGCAATAGTACAAAGGAAGTCAAGTGGAACTAAGAACAGAAACAAGTTTCACAAACAGGCTTTTGCTGGCCTGGCATAAATCTATCTGCTTCCCTCTATCAGAAAGAACGCAGTAGGCTTGGTGATGGTACTGAAGATTTGATCTTCGGTTAAAAAGAATGGGTTAAATATATGTTGGGAGGAAAGAGCAGATGAGTTAAGTTGAATCATCCAGGCTGATAGAAAGCTGCTTAATAAATGTCTTCAAACAATACACGCATGTACTTCATGCCTACTCCAGGCTGCAATGCTGCTAAGTGCTGTAGGAGAAATCTAGGAAGGCTCTCATTGGTACCAAGTAGGTACTAGATACAAATTTGTTGAAGGAAAGAAGGAAGGAAGTTGGGATATCTTTCTCATCTTCAAGGAGCTTATAACTGGGGAGGGAGAAAAACTACAAACTATTACAAAGGTAAGTATGTGCTGAACTAGGGAGTATTCTCTGTTGATGCAACAGGAGCTCGAAGAAGGAAGAAACTACCGCTGCCTGGAGTGGTCATAGAAACCTTGCAAGGGATAGAACCTGAATTAGGGTTGGAGAAGTGGGGGATTCTGGAGAGGTGAAGAGGAGGACGGATACTATCTTTGGAAGTGCAAGGGCCTGACAAGGCTGGTGGAAGAGGCATACGTACGAAGGTGTGCAGCCACATGGCATGTTTTCTGAAAAAAGGAAGTGGATTTTGCAAGATTGGAAAGAGGGACTGTTTCTTTCAATAGGTATTGTGAAGTTTCTGCTATTCACCAGAAGACAAAGGGTAAAGAATCAAGGCAAACTCCTAGATTATGAAGTTGAATGAATGCCACTGTCAAGAAAGCAAGCTTGTATTTTGGAGTGTTTCTAATTTTTGAGTGTGTAACAACTTCGGTACATTACTGTCAGTACATTTATTTTGAAACTTTATTGATGCCTTCATTTTCTCAGTGTCTGTTTCTTCCTTAAAGGTGAGATTGAGCACAAAATTGTTTTCTGCTGTTACTGAATTGGTAGTCTTTTTTTTTGTATTGTTTTACTCCGTTTTATTTAGTGAAACATTTGTTATTATAATTATTATTTTTACTGTTATTCAATTCTAAATAAATGCATTATTGCATCCATTACCATCCTATCTCTGCTTCACATTTATCCCTTAATATGGCCAATATCTGGCAGAGATCTTTCCAGCAACTTTCTTCTTCTGACTTAGGTTGAACAATTAGACTTATATATTTTGAAAATAGCTATTATTGTATTTTGGCATTTTCAGCCTCTTCAGGAATCAAAACTCTTACTTAGTCTCTTTTTCTCTTCCACAAAACAGGGAAGATGAAAAGCTTCAGAGACCAAAATCTCCTTTATTCCCAGATAATGTCAGCCTAAAACTAGAGGGGGATTGTCAAAATAAGAAAAAAAATTAACTCAACATCATAGGAAATGCACATCAACCCAAATAGGAGATTTCAGGTTATTACCAGATGATTTCAATTATTGGGGGGTCTGAAGAAGGCAGAAGGGAGTCTAGCTCCAGAGTTGGAAGGCACTTTGGACTCCAATGATTCTCAACAGAGAGGCTAAGTTGGAGGTATTAACAGGTGCCGGTGCAGAAAAATAGGATCTGTAGATTTGAAGACCAGTCTCAGATATGATTTGGGGGTGGTGCACATGGGCAAGAAGCTTAGGTGTCTGTCTATATTTCAAGTATTCCAAGCATACAGCCATAGGGAGAAAAATATGTAGTAAAGAGATGGGCAGAATTTTTCTGAAGTTCATTCTCTCATTTATTACCTTTCCATCTAATGGACAGCCTTACTGAGAATGAGGTTCATATCAAATTCCTATTTCTCTTTTCTGTCTGTGAACGTTCCCAGTTTAATTCGAGTGTATGCATTATCAAACATCTGTTTTAATTACAGCTATTGTTAAGGTAGTTAATCAGTTGTCGTCTCTTGCCAACCAAAATCCTATATTGCTAAATTTCTGTACAATCAAAGATACAATAAATATAAAAGGAATTCTTGTATATCAGCGTGAAAAAAATGCATACAACTTCTTTGCTCACTGATGCAACCAAAACACCCAGGAGTTATTATAATGTGCATTCCCTTGACACAGACTTTTATTTCATGCAAATGACTGTGATTAAGATTCAAATACTTTTTTTTCATTTTCACACATTACTTAATCAATGTGAAGTACTGTGTAAAAATTGCATCTCTTCAAAACAGTGATTTTGACCAAGTCAAGTGTTGCTCCTAGAATTATAATCCAGACTTGTGATTCAATTATCATTTAGAGACTTTCTAAATTCAAATTAAGTTCATTCTTTCCTCCTCCTCCCAACACTGTAAACTTTATATCAGTATGGATCATTTGTAAGGTATGATCAGAATAACTTTCCATTGCAAGGAAATATACATTGTGATGTCTGATTTTTCCTTTACCTGCAAAAAGAGGCACAGCAATCAATAGGAACTAGCCATTAAAATGTATGAAAATGCAGAAGGTACCATCTATTTTTCCATTTATGTTAACTTAGCTTTTAGGCTGAATAAAATTGACACTCCCCAGAATACTTATCTATTTAAACCTACTTGGAACAGTTGCACAAACTCCATTTAAAGTTAAAAAGAACCCATGGAATACTTAAAGTTTGGCATCCTTGTTTGATAAATTAACTACAGGACATTCAAAAAGCACACTCTTATAGAATCAACAAGGAATGCATAAAATGAAGCAAGATTCCAGAGGCCAACTAAGCAACTCTCATACAACTATAAAACACTGATCTATTTACAGTTTACTGCACCCAAGCCAGAGGCTGAATCTTGTTTTGTTATTGTCTGTGACTACCTCTTTTTTGCTCATCTTGCATTTCATCTTTATTTGAGGAAAAATTAGATTTTGCCAATGACTAGGAATTAGGCTTCAGAACTGGCAGGTTTTGGGTTCTCATAATATCAACCTCACCCATTTATTAAAAATATGTACCATAGACTGAAGTTCTGTAGCCTCCAAGTTGAAAATAAAATCCAATTTTAAGTTGTTTTTCTTCTTTCAGCATTCACCGAAAATTCCTCCTTTTGTGTCCAATTGCAATAAGCAGAAAAAAACACTCATCTTTTATTCTCCATGGTTCCTAGAACACATCTTTATGCCATATTCCTAGAACATATCTCTATGCCAGAGCTGAATTTGTTGAATTTGAATTATTTTTTTTTGAGAGAAGTAAAATTTGCATTTGATGGAGTTTGATGAATTCAAACAGACAACGTTTGAATCTGAATATTCCTTTTCAGGAGTTTCTTCGACATGCTCATGGGATGTCCTGACTCTTCTACCATGAAAAGTTGAAGGGACATTCACAATTAGTCCATTTGAAGGGTCCCAACTAGTAAGTACCCTGGCCAGTTGGAACCAAAGGTCTAGTCCTGAATTTACTGGAAGACTAGGAAATATCTGTGAGATTGAAGTGGTTCTGCAGGGGGAAGAATTGTGAACTGCTATAGATTCACCTGAGAAGCCAAGATAGCATTCCATAGGAGTAAAGGTAACCAACCATGTTGGGTCTTTTGAAACTAGAACTGGGTCGTTTGAAGTCAGTCTAGGCTGCTTACAGAAGACCAAATGGACAATTCCTATTTATTCTGGTCCCATTCAGGAGGTTCTGAGGATGTTTTAGGATAAAGCTTTGGAGAAAACAAGTGAGATTGTGTCAGAGACTACTGGTTGGGCCTCAATGTCCAGTCTTCCTCATCCCATTGCGATAGATTTTTGCTGTGCACTTGGCTGCTCAGAATAAAGGCCTCATTTCCCAGGTGCCCTGTAGCTAACAGTGGACCCATGACTAACTTTTGGCCAATGGAATTTAAGCAGAGCAGAGGTCCAGAATTCCATACCCCAAATTCTTGGGGCCAGATATGGTTTGGAATTCAGGTTTCTTTTGATTTTGAAGGTGATATGATGCATATACGGCTTCTTATGGAATAACTCCATTGAAGTCTGGAGCAGCACCTCATAATTAACTGCAACAAATTATAACAGTATTCACCCTAAGTGGGATAAATGAAGACCATAAGGCCACTTGTAGTGGCTCACACATGTAATCCCAGTGCTTTGGGAGGCTGAGGCTGAAGAATCACTTGAGACCAGGCAACAAGACCAGCCTCAGCAACATAGCGAGATTCCATCTCTACAAAAAAAATTTATAATTAACCAGATATGGTGTATGTGTCTGTAGTCCTAGCTGCTCAAGAGGCTGAAGAAGGAGGATCATTTGAGCCCAGGAATTCGAAGTTACAGTGAGCTATGAGTGTGCCACTCCACTCCAGCCTAGGAGACAGAGCAAGATCCTATCTCTAAAACAAACAAACAAAAAAAGAAGACATACATAGTGTTACATAGTGTCATATTAATTCAGATTAGGTTTTGCCTTCAAATGAATTTTTGTTGAAAACTTGTGAAAATTTTTGTTTTCAGAGTTTTTTTTGGATTTTAGAATTATCTATCATTTGGCTGCTTCTAGAAAACTATAGAGACCACTGACAAATATCTTTTGCCCCTTCCATGTTGCTTCCTATATCCAGTCTCCTGGAATGTGATTTTCCTCAGATCATGAGGACTGTATTTATAAAGACAATATAAAACTATTCCTATTTGGTATTTTCCTCAAAGAGCTATTATTATATTTTAAAATGTGAATACTCTTATGTTATGTGGCATAATTTATTATTGAACACACATTATGTGCAACATACCTTGCTAAGTATCTCATTTAATGTGATTATTAATTCCATTTTATGGATGAGAAAACTGAGTTATAGGAAGTTTAAGTATCTTGGCTAAAGCCCACAATCAATGAGTGGCAAAGCCAGGATTTGAAACTAAGAAGTCTCTTGCCAGGGCCGCATGTTTGTCCACAGTACTATTTCTACCTTCTTTCCATGAGACCATAGTTACTATATAAAAATATGAAGACTCATTATAGAAATCTGGGTAGAGTTGCCTGTTTCCCTGTGGTTCTGGAATCGCATTTTTTAGATGCTTTGTTGGGACATGGTGCTTTTTCTCCTGCCCCATTTTAGTTGCACAAGTTTGACTCGCTATTAACCAGCTTTCTAACCATGCCAATGGACAACCCCAAAGGAAGAGAGTGAAGCTAGAATTCAGCTGTTCTCAATAATCACAGTAACGCTGAGAACCACAACTACATCGTTATATTAAAGCATCTTGTCACAGTGTCTTATAGCTATCACTATTTTATAGCCATACCTCCAGGCCAAATTAAATGTGAATATAAATTTTAAAGAACCAGTTAATCTGGCCTCTGGGCCATACTTGCTGGGTCACACCTGTGTGTCATTTGAGGTGTCACACACTCAGTGACTGGTGACATTTTACTGTTAGCACCCACCCACCCAAAGAAGTCACAATCTAATAGCAAAACAATCCCAGCTCAAATCTGAAATGAATTTAGAAGTTATGAATGTGTTCACAAATAACTGTGATTATATTATTAGCATTTCTGGCACCATTACCTAGAAAATATGAAAATGAAAATGTAACTAGTTAACAATAGGGAAGGGCAGTGCTGATGGAATTGGTTTTGAGTCCAGAGATGGATGTCAGACTAAGCCCTTTTCAGTTTCAGAGCTTTGGCCTCAACTCATTAGAGTAGTTGGATCTCAAAAATTACTATGGGAAATATAACAAAATATTAACAATTGCTAAATCTCGATGACGAGCAAGTGGATATTCATTATAGTATTCTCCCTACTTTTATGTAAGATTGACAATTTCATAACAAAAAGTTAGAAAACAAAAAGCAAGGGAAAATCCATTCAAATGATAACTTTTAAAATTAGCATGCTAAAATGCATTATTTCAATGAAATTCTTCAGGCATTTAGCCCTGTACTATTCAATACAGTAGCTGCTAGGCACATGTGGCTATTTAGATTTAAATAAAAATGAATCAAAATTAAATAAAATTAAAAACTCAGTCCCTCAGTTGCATGAGCCACATTTCAATTACTCAGTAGTTACTGGCTATATATATTTTTTAATGACTTAAAAAAATTGTGGTAAACTATGTGTAACATAAAATTCATCATTTTAACAATTTTTAAGTGTACAGCTTAGTGGCATTAAATATGTTCACATTGTTGTACAACCATCACCACCATCCAGCTCCAGAACTATAAATATATATATATATTCCATAAACTATTTTAAATATAAACTTTTAATCCATATTCTAATTTTAACTATTTTTTAATTGCGGTAAATAGATTACAAGCATATTTAGAACCTGCTAAATTTAGTGCCGTTGTCTGTTTCCAAATTTCCTAACAGTATCAGGTTACTACTTGCTTGTCATTATGTTGATTGCAAACTGATTAGGAAGTCACAGAAAACCAAGGCATGGGAAATGTAAAGGAGAAAAATTATAAATTGTGAAGCTTTATAAATTAACTATTTTTTTTTCCTGGCAATGGGGAAGCGGGAGGAACTCCATTCTTGAACTGCAGCAATGAAATTAACCTCATTGCACTTGTGGACCCCCAAGGCTCTTGAACATAATTTGAGTTAAACGTCTCTACTGAAGTACAGGCTGATTGAGTCAGCAAACATTCGTGGAGGGCCCACAGGTGCTGTGTCTGTGGTGGGACCATAATGGTGAACAAGACAGGCAAGACTCCTATTTTTATGGAGCTTCCTTTCTAGCTTGGGGAGACAGACAATAAACCAACCCACTCACAAGTAAACCAAAAGGTTTATGGACAATGGCGATAAATGCTGCAAAGAATGTAAGATGAGGTGATATAATAGAGATCACCATGAATTTATATACATGTATTTATTTATTTATTTAGACGGAGTCTCATTCTGTAGCCCAGGCTGGAGTGCAGTGGCGCGATCTCGGCTCACTGACAACTCCACCTCCCGGATTCAAGCAATTCTCCTGCCTCAGCCTCCCAAGTAGCTGGGATTACAGGCGCACACCACCACACCCGGTTTTGTATTTTTAGTAGAGACAGGGTTTCACCATGTTGGCCAGGCTGGTCTCAAACTCCTGACCTCAGATGATCCGCCCACCTTGGCCTCCCAGAATGCTGGGATTACAGGTGTGAGCCACCACACCCGGCTGAATTTATATCTTAATGTATTAGAAACTTTCGCTGCTTCTAAGTTGTAAGCCATCTTCAGAAGCAAGTTCTAAATTAGTTGTAAATCACCTAAAAACAATAAAAAACGAAACTTGCCACTACCTTTTGATATTCCTGCCTCCTGGCTGTGACTTACTAACTGGTTCTACTGAATTACTTACTCAATAAGCTTGCGTCCTACAAATTTGGTAAGTGTTCAAGTAACTCACACCTTATCTTGATGTTTAAGAGAAGCCACCTGTAGCTTTTGCAAAAGAAATTTATCCTGATTGGTGCTGTGTTGCAAATTGAACCCCAGGTTTTAAATGTATAAAGGAAAAAGTCTGGAAATAGGAAAGAAAAGCCACAGATATGTCAGACAGTTTTTGCATAATGTCTGTAATTGTCTCCTCAAGCCCCGTCAAGATTTGAAGCAATGCAGGCTAATATTTCCATAGACATTTTCTCCACTGCAAACAGACAGTGGGTGCTTCTCAAGTTTCACCTCTATTCTAGGGACAAACACTTGCAGAGTGAGGAGCTGTGTGAACCTAGGAAGAAGGTAATATGAGTCAGCACAACTTTCCTCCTCTCAAGAAATACGCAAAGCATTTCCCATATTCCCATGGAGTTTACTATCTTACGCATTCTATATACCTAAGTCTGTTTCAGTTCAGGAGAAAATAAATGCATGACAAGAGTATTTAGTTTTTATTGGGTAAAAGTTGAAATTAGTAGAGCAAGCAATGATATAATTGTCCACATAATGGGAAATAAACAAGTTGGTCAGTGTTCAAGAGAGAAGTGCAAACTTTGCTTCAGGTCTTGTTTTGACGGTAACACCTTAATCATTTTCTTTTTTTTTTTAATATATTTTTATTTTTTTATTTTTTTATTATTATACTTTAAGTTTTAGGGTACATGTGCACATTGTGCAGGTTAGTTACATATGTATACATGTGCCATGCTGGTGCGCTGCACCCACTAACTCGTCATCTAGCATTAGGTATATCTCCCAATGCTATCCCTCTCCCCTCCCCCCACCCCACAACAGTCCCCAGAGTGTGATATTCCCCTTCCTGTGTTCATGTGATCTCATTGTTCAATTCCCACCTATGAGTGAGAATATGCGGTGTTTGGTTTTTTGTCCTTGCGATAGTTTACTGAGAATGATGATTTCCAATTTCATCCATGTCCCTACAAAGGACATGAACTCACCATTTTTTATGGCTGCATAGTATTCCATGGTGTATATGTGCCACATTTTCTTAATCCAGTCTATCATTGTTGGACATTTGGGTTGGTTCCAAGTCCTTGCTATTGTGAATAATGCCGCAATAAACATACGTGTGCATGTGTCTTTATAGCAGCATGATTTATAGTCCTTTGGGTACATACCCAATAATGGGATGGCTGGGTCAAATGGTATTTCCAGTTCTAGATCCCTGAGGAATCGCCACACTGACTTCCACAATGGCTGAACTAGTTTACAGTCCCACCAACAGTGTAAAAATGTTCCTATTTCTCCACATCCTCTCCAGCACCTGTTGTTTCCTGACTTTTTAATGATTGCCATTCTAACTGGTGTGAGATGGTATCTCATTGTGGTTTTGACATACTTGGAAGTAAAGCTCTCCTCAGCAAATGTAAAAGAACAGAAATTATAACAAACTATCTCTCAGACCACAGGGCAATCAAACTAGAACTCAGGATTAAGAATCTCACTCAAAACCGCTCAACTACATGGAAACTGAACAACCTGCTCCTGAATGACTACTGGGTACATAACGAAATGAAGGCAGAAATAAAGATGTTCTTTGAAACCAACGAGAACAAAGACACAACATACCAGAATCTCTGGGACGCATTCAAAGCAGTGTGTAGAGGGAAATTTATAGCACTAAATGCCCACAAGAGAAAGCAGGAAAGATCCAAAATTGACACCCTAACATCACAATTAAAAGAACTAGAAAAGCAAGAGCAAACACATTCAAAAGCTAGCAGAAGGCAAGAAATAACTAAAATCAGAGCAGAACTGAAGGAAATAGAGACACAAAAAACCCTTCAAAAAATTAATGAATCCAGGAGCTGGTTTTTTGAAAGGATCAACAAAATTGATAGACCGCTAACAAGAGTAATAAAGAAAAAAAGAGAGAGGAATCAAATAGACGCATTTTCAAGCCTTCTTGATTATCCTGCCTCTTGAATGCGCACTTCTGTCAGTGTTTCATCTTTAAGAACTATTTACAGCCTTGGAAATAGCCTGGGGCAAACCGCAATTTATATAAGGACAGGCACAGAATGTGGTTTTCAATTACTCTACTATTTGGGTAACTCTTGAGCTGGGGTGATGCGAATTTGAGTGGATTTTAAATGGTAATGGTGACAGAATCATGGCCAATATTTATTTGTAAGGTTTCTTAATCAGTTATCATATTTCATTTGTATATATCCCTTAGATTTTGGAGAAATAAATTCCCAAACTCAATATCTTAGGTTTAGAATATTGACCACAATGAACTGGGTGCCGTGGCTCACACCTGTAATCCTGGCACTTTGGGAGGCCGAGGCCTTGGGATGAGTGCCTGAGCACAGGAGCTTGAGACCAGCTCGAGTAACATGGCGAAGCCGCCACCTCCGCAAAAAACAAAATATAAAAATTAGCCAGGTATGGTGGTTTACACCTGTAGTCCCAGCTGCTCAGGGGGCTGAGGTGGGAGGATCACTTGAACCTGGGAGGTTGAGCCTGCAGTGATCTGTGATGGCGCCACTGCACTCCAGCCTTGGTGACAAAGTGAGACCCAGTTAAAAAAGAAAAAAAGAAGCATAATACAAGTCTCCTTCACTGAAATCCATAGGGATAGTTTTCAGCATGAATAACAGTAACACTAATAACACAAGCTAATATTGATTGTGTACTTACTATGTGCCTAGTGCTGTGCTAAGATCTTGGCATATATTATCTCGCATAATTCTCATAACAACCTCCATGTTAGTAACGAGGAAATTAAGGGTTACAGAAGTACAGCAGGCAGCAAAAGCATGAGCCAGCAACTCCCTGTCATCTGCCCAATGGTGGCAATGAGGTGGGCGGCTTGGAAGACTTGAATTTACCATGACCTCTATCAGAACTGCCTCCTCCAAGCCACCCAAATAGACGTTTTATCCAAGTGAGGACAGTTGCTAAGTAAATACATATGGCAATCCAGAAGACCATCCCAGGTAGAAATTCCAGAGCTGTCACTCTATCTACACATGACCGTCACTGCCAAATTCCTATTTACAGAATGCTCATGATGTCTGGAACACTAGATTAGACAATGTACGGGATAAAAGGGAAGCAGGAGACCTGGAAGGAGCCCAAGGCAATATGGCTGCATGGAATAGCGGAACAAGATCAGTCCTGGGTGCCCGGCAGGACTGCCTTCTACTTTGGAGTCTTAGAAATTATTTCCTTAGTCCTAGACAAGTTACCTAGTTTCCCTGAGCCTGGGTTTATTAGATGTAAAATGAGAGGTTCAACTTAACAACATTTTAAGTCCCTTGTAGCTATAAAATGTGATGATTCCAGAGGTCCTGTTGAGAGGTGACAGCATGCTGGCAGTCCTCACGGCCCTCGTTCGCCCTCAGCGCCTCCTCTGCCTGGGCTCCCACTTTGGCGACGCTTGAGGAGCCCTTCAGCCCACCGCTGCACTGTGGGAACCCCTTTCTGGGCTGGCCAAGGCCGGAGCCGGCTCCCTCAGCTTGCGGGGAGGTGTGGAGGGAGAGGCGCGGGCGGGAACCGGGGCCAGCACGAGTTCCGGGTGGGTGTGGGCTTGGCGGGCCCGGCACTCGGAGCAATGAGGGGCTTAGCACCCGGGCCAGCGGCTGCAGAGGGTGTGCTGGGTCCCCCAGCAGTGCCGGCCCACGGGCGCTGCGCTCGATTTCTCGCCAGGCCTTAGCTGCCTCCCCGCGGGGCAGGGCTCGGGACCTGCAGCGCGCCATGCCTGAGCCTCCCCCCACCGTGGGCTCCTGTGCCGCCCGAGCCTCCCTGATGAGCGCTGCCCCCTGCTCCACGGCGCCCAGTCCTATCGACCACCCAAGGGCTGGGGAGTGTAGGCGCACGACGCGGGACTGGCACGCAGCTCCACCCGCAGCCCTGGTGCAGGATCCACTAAGTGAAGCCAGCTGGGCTCCTGAGTCTGGTGGGGACGTGGAGAACCTTTATGTCTAGCTCAGGGATTGTAAATACACCAATCGGCACTCTGTATCTAGCTCAAGGTTTGTAAACACACCAATCAGCACCCTGTGTCTAGCTCAGGGTTTGTGAATGCACCAATCGACACTCTGTATCTAGCTACTCTGGTGGGGCCTTGGAGAACCTTTGTGTGGACACTCTGTATCTAGCTAATCTGGTGGGGACCTGGAGAACCTTTGTGTCTAGCTCAGGGATTGTAAACACACCAATCAGCGCCCTGTCAAAACAGACAACTCGGCTCTACCAATCAGCAGGATGTGGGTGGGGCCAGATAAGAGAATAAAAGCAGGCTGCCGGCGCCAGCAGCGGCAACCTGCTCGGGTCCCCTTCCACACTGTGGTAGCTTTGTTCTTTTGCTCTTTGCAATAAATCTTGCTCTGCTCACTTTTTGGGTCGACACTGCTTTTATGAGCCATAACACTCACCGCAAAGGTCTTGCAGCTTCACTCCTGAAACCAGCAAGACCACGACCCCACCGGGAAAAATGAACAACTCCAGACGCCCCGCCTTAAGAGCTGTAACACTCACCGCAAAGGTCTGCAGCTTCACTCCTGAGCCAGCGAGACCACGAACCCACCAGAAGGAAAAAACTCCGAACACATCCGAACATCAGAAGGAACAAACTCCAGATGCGCCACCTTAAGAGCTGTAACACTCACCGTGAGGGTCCGCGGCTTCATTCTTGAAGTCAGTGAGACCAAGAACCCACTAATTCTGGACACACTGTCTTCCAAGAATGTACAATCCAGTGGGGTGATGAGAAGTTCAATATTTCAATATTCAGAAATGTTTCTAAACTTTATATTAGAATTGCTTTGGTGTTTCTTTTTTCTTAGGGCTGTGGGTGTCTTCTTTATCTCCTCCAAGGCTCAGTGTACGGTAGGCATGTTTGTGAGACAGCCAAGTAAAAACGCGTCCCGGGAAAACCTCTGACCAGCCTGCGCACTGGGAGGAGTCTGCAATTGGGTGGAGCCTCCGGAAGCTCGCGCTGTTTGCAGGGCGGAGGAGCTTGGTCCCTCCTCTTCCTGCGTGGTATTTGAGATTCGATTTGCGAGGCGGGAAACGTGTACTAGCAGGACTGTCGGTCTGCGGAGAGTTCCCGTTTCCTTTTTTTTCCTTTTTGCCCAATAAGTTCCATTTTTCTCACCCTTCAAAGTGTGCGAACCTAATCTCTCATCGTCATGTGACAAGGACACTGTTTTTAGCTGAACTAAGGAAAATTCCTACAACATTAGGGGCCTTATAAATGTTTGTTGAACAAATGAATAAGTAACATAATGAGTGAGTATATGAATAAACACATAAATTTAATTTCCCAAAGCAACAATATATACAAAAGTGAGCTGTCACTCTTATCTACCATGACCGTCCCTTCCTCTAATGCTAAAGTTCAGGTCTCATTTTCTATCATTTATTCCCAGCAGCAGATCCAGGTTTCTGTGGAGACTAAAGTTTATAGAATATAAGGGCCCTTCTTTAAGGAGGATTAAAGATTGCAAATGGAAAATTCAGTACAGCTCCTTTGCAGGGGTCTGTGCGAGTGAGGGGCACCGAAGTCTGTGCTTTTGGCTTCACAGTCAGCTCGGCCAGCAGGGCCCTTCTACACTCCGCTCCAGGGACACCTGCCTTCTTGCTTCCTCAAAAGCTTGCTCCTACCTTAGGGTCTTAGCAAGTGCTCCTCCCCCTCCTAGTCTTTCTCTACCAAGATCCTTGACTTTTTTTAAAAATTGTGGTTAAAATATGCATAACATAATATTGATCATTTTAACCATCCATGAGTGTAGATTTTGGTGGCATTAACTAATTCACAATGTTGTGTAACCATCACTGCTATTAATATCAATACCCCCCATTTAAAAAATCATTTCCAGTTTAAACTCTCTACCCATTAAACAAAAACTGCCCTTTTTTCTCTCTTCCCCACAAACCGTGGCAACCATTATTGTATTTTTGCTTCTATGAGTTTGACTATTACATATACCTCATATAGTGGAACCATACAATATTTGTCCTTCTGTTTCTGTACTAAATATAATGTTTTCAAGGCTCATTGTGGTGCAGCACCGTGTAAGAATTCTATTTTTCTTGATGGCTAAATAATATTCCATTGTTTATGTTTGCAACATTTTGTTTACCCATTTATCTGTTGATGAATACTTGGGCTGTTTCCACTTTTTGGATATTGTTAAGACTGCTGTGAACATGGTTATACGAGTATCTCTTCAAGTTTCTACTTTCCATTCTCTTGGGTATGTATCTAGGTGTTGAATTGCTAGGTAATATGCTAGGTTTATGTTTAACTTTATGAGGAACCTCAACTGCATGGTTTTGCATTCCCACCAGCAATGCCTATGGGTTCTAATTTCTCCGAATCCTTGCCAACACTTGTTGTTTTCCTGTTTAAAAAAATTGTAGCCATCCCAATAGATTGGAAGCAGTATCTCTTTGTGGTTTTACCTATTTTTTCATAGTCTTTAACATTATATGAAATGGTCTTGTTATTTTCCTTTACTGGGTTTATTAGTCTGGAAGTTCATGAAGGCAGAACCATTTCTTTTACGTTCGTTTCTACATTTCCAGCATTCAGAACTGTTCCTGTCACACCTAGGAATTATGTTAAATAAATGAATGCATGGATGTTCTTCTTGCAGAACTATATGACTATCATTGCTAATTTATTTGTCCAAAAATCAGTGCTTAAACAACAGCACATCAATTAGATAACAAGTCCACAGTTTGTCTTAGGCATCAGAGCTGTGCCCCTCCCACTCCCAGTCATTCTCCACCAAGGTCCTTAACTTTTTAAAAAAAGTTGCAGTAAAATAGACATGACATAATATTGATCATTTTAACCATTCATGGGGGTAGAATTTGGTGACATTAAATAATTCACAATGTGCATTTGTGTGTAGCCTTGAACCAATAAACACCATTATCTTAGGACTTCTGAAAGTGAAGACTAAACACAATTTAAATGAAATGATGTCATAAAAGTTATGCATAAACCGCAGATTAAATTTAGGTATTAGAATTGGAATTCAAAGTGAATTAAAAATTTTCATAAAGCTTGCATGGAGAATTGTACACCCCTTTCTAGATGCCCAGTACTAAGGTTGCATTGTACTATGTGTAAATAGGAATGAAAATATTGCACTGGGGGAGCTGGGTGTGATGTCTCACGCCTGTAGTCCCAGCACTTCGGGAGGCAGAGGTGGGAGGATCACCTGAGATCGGGAGTTTGAGACCAGCGTGGGCAACATAGAAAGATCCCGTCCTCCACAAAAAATTTAAAAATTAGCCGGAAATTGTGGTGCATGCCTGTAGTCCCACCTACTCAGGAGGCAGAGACAGGATGATCACTTAAGCCCAGGAGATCAAGGCTGCAGTGAGCTATAATTGTGCCAGTGCACTCCAGCCTGGGTGACAAAGCAAAATACTGTCTCAAAAAGAAAAGAAAAATATTGCATTGGGGTCTGGAAGGAGCTGTGTCACAGAAACCTAACTCCTAAACAAACTGAAGTCTGAAAATTAGTGAGTCATTCACAACAGTATGTAATTTTAACACATGGCTTCTGTGCACTTTACAAACACAGAATTTCACAATGGAAAGTTTTCAACAATGCCATTCCCGATTGCCAAGAGCCAGAGTCACTGGGTGAAGGGATCCTGGAAATGGCCTAAGGAGCTGTAGCAAACAAACAGGGCCTATGTGCAGTGTTGCACCACAATATATTGCAAAGTACACTACAGGGTATCATACATGTCCACCTGAGCACCACCCAGTCTCACATGATCCGTTTGCTAATGTTTCAGACACAAATCAAACCATGCCTATTGTGTAGTCTGCAATTGCCCCTGGCCACTCTCTGAGTTACCAAGCCAAGTTGCAAAATGATAATATTTTGAAATCATGAAGTTTGTGTCTCTGAAGAGCAAGGAACCAGGGCTCCTGAGCATGTAAGGAGGACAGCAGATGCCCCTGAGGACAGCTGTCCTGGCCAGAAGCAGATTCGCCCTGAAGCTAATAAAGGTGAAGCTTTGGGGCCTGTAACTTACACAGGTGCCTTCCAAGGTTGGTGGGGACAGCAATTTTTCCTAAAGAGGCTCTCAAATTTTTTCACATCCACTAAAACCTGGATCCACCCACCTCTTCTTTCTCTAGCCATTCTCAGAAAATTTTGAAAATGCGTTTATTGGCCATTTTCTACAGGGAAACATTGACAAATACCGGTGAGATTTCTGGCATCCCCTACAGGGCCTAGCACAGAGCCATCCACATGGTAGGGCTCAATAACCATTTGATACATAACATTAAATGCATAAAATAAAGTACACAGTTCCTTGTAGTGTGTGTGTGTGCGCGTGTGTGTGTGTGTGTTTTTGATACTCATCTTGAACATTTGCCTTTAGATGTTCAGGGTTTACTTATTTTAAATGAAAAACCCAATGACATTTGTACTCAGAACACCTGTCTAGGAGTAACTGAAAGTTTATCTCTGAGGACCAATGACAAGAGACTTGGAGAAAATTGTGCTTTTGTTGGATGACTATAGAAAATGACTAAGTAATTTCCCATTTGCTTTTTTTTTTTTTTTTTTTTTTGAGACAGAGTCTCTGTCACCCAGGCTGGAGTACAGTGGTGGGATCTCAGCTCACTGCAACCGCCACCTTCTGGGTTCAAGTGATTCTCGTGCCTCAGCCTCCTGAGTAGCTGGGACTACAGGTGTGCACCACCACACTTGGAAAAATTTTGCATTTTTAGTAGAGACGATGTTTTGCCATGTTGCCCAGGCTGGTCTCGAACTCCTGGCCTCAAGTGATCTGCCCACTTCGGCCTCCCGAAGTGCTGGAATTACAGGCATGAGCCACCATACTCAGCCCCTATTTGCTTTTATTATTTGGTATATACACCATTGAATTTTGTTTTACTCATTGGCAATCAAAAAAAAAAAAAAGAATCTGTGACTTTTAGGTTGAGATATTATTTATTTCTACCCAAATACTCCTCCAATTAAAATAGCTTTGTGCAAACTATTCTGAATGTACTGCAAATCTCGTTGCACAGTTACAGTTAACTGGGGTCAGAACTGAAACATTTAAAAATGGCAGCACCTCCCCCACCCACAAATGCCTCCTTTGGCCCTCCCAGACTTTGAAATTTGATCTAAGAAGAAACATGTTTGCTGTGAGAAGTTCTACCTAGTTCACTTCCAGTTAAATAGTCAATATTATAATACTCAGGTGAGGCCTTGGAGTGATGTGTGGAAAATTCTCAAAATTATCCATTTCAGACAGATGCTTTGTAAACTTCCTCATCACACAGGACCAGTGGCCACGTCCATAGATCCCTATGGTTTGTGCCCCGCATACCCGTTTGTGTTCCCTGTGAGTCACTCCCTTTTTAAGGGCTTAACAATAAAACCTGACTGTCCAGTTTTAGACTCCGTCATCGTCTATTAGATAGGAGCTTGGTGGGCATTTCATATTTCTTTCCTTTCAGCCCCGAAAGTAGCATTAGCAGGGAAATTCAAAAGCAAGCAGAAAACTGGCATAGCTAATTTAGGCTAATTAGGATGGCAGAAGCCGAGATGCGTACTTCAGAGCTTCTCATGCCCTCCCGTGTCTCCACCTGATTGCTTTGTCCAGCAGCAAACCCAGGAGGCACTTCCAATTACATCACATCCTCTTCAAACACCAAACCACTCAAGCTAATTTTATCCTATTAAACAGACTGAAGGATCCAGAAGAAAGGTTCTCTCCCCCTCCCCAAAAGCTTCAATTACCAGGGTCCCTGATTATCATCGCTTCAATCCTATATGCACTGCTAAATACTTTTTTTGCTTAGCATTGCCTTCTTCATTTAGATGAAAAGCAAATATTATGAGCATGTCTTTACAGTTCTGGTGAAGTGACATTAGGAGTAGAGCTAAAAAGAAGCACGCTGGTTATTAGCATGGTTAATCAAAGTCAAGTTTGAAGTTTCCAAAGACATTAGAATCACAGAAATTTCAGCACCTCTCTGAATATTAGCATTTAGAGAAAGCACTGCAGATTTCTATTTTTCTTCTCTTCTTTTCCCTTTTCTTTCCTTTCCTTTCCTTTTCCTTCCTTCCTTTCCTCTTTGCTTCCTTCCTTTTTTTCCTCCCTTCCTTTCTTCCATCTTTTATAAGAACTGTTGTAAAAATTACCAATAAGTATCCAGCAAAAGGAAATGTGTGATTCATGATAATAAATATGGAACAAGCAACTTGGCCATGGATGCAAATGTAAGGAGAGCTAGTGAGATAGATAACACAGCCATTCATCATTCCATCTACTTCTTCCTAGCAAACAAATGCAAATCGTGTGTTTTTCATGACACATATACCAAAGACCATCACAGAGTACAAACTTTTTATTTCCAAATTCAAACTCAACTTTCCATTCCATTTTGACCCAACAAAGAGGTCTTAATCTGAAAGATTTTAATATTTTTTCTGATTATAAAAATAATCAAACAGTGTTCTAATTCTTTTAATGTAAAGCCCCTTCCAAACTAAGTTTAAGACTTGGAATCAAAATGAAGCATTTAGTTGTTCTTGATTCTTTCTTGGAAAAAGATTTTTAAAAGCCACTTTAAAAAATCCTTGCTTAAGAAGACATGACAAGTAAAGATATATGAATTTACATGAAGAGGGTTACGGCGTCTGAAAGACTTGAAAAACTGTTTTTGAAGTTAAATACATCTACTGTGCAGGCACTGCTCCTCTTCTCAATGACAAGAAATAGGTTTGACAAATCTTAAAAGGTACCAGTGTAACAAAGAAAAGTTTTCCACCTTCAATATCACCTACATGCCTGGAGGATCCTTTTGCAATGACAGGCATAGTGATTTTTCATTTCTTCTGGAAATTTATTGTAACTTTTTTATAAAAAAAAAAAAACCTTCCCAAGACTTGTGATGGACATCAATGCATTTGTCAGTTTTAATTTCAGAAAGTCTCATCTGTATTCTGTGTAGTCAGTCCAAATGACTGAAATTAAATGTTTGCTTTTTTAACAATCTCTTTCCTTTAGCAGAAAATCTACCAGTAACTCTTACACAATTGTCACTATTTCACTGGTATCAAAAAGCCATTGTCTTGGGACAATCATACCCCCCTCCCCACCCAAAAGAAACAGCCACTAAACAACAATCCATCTAAACTCTGTTTGGGCCAATTTTCTTAATGTTTCAGCAAGGCTTAATCTGTTGGCATAAGTGTTTAGTCCCATTAACAGCTAAAGTGACAGAGCCCACAACTCAAGGTGCTGACAGTAAACAAGGAATTTGAGGAATGGCTTTTAAACAATGACTAAGCCTCAAGCCATTTTGTCTTCAGATGCCCTGAAACTTGTCCATGGCTGTAGGAAGAGTTGCCTCCTTTCTACAGTCCTACTTCTACTTAGAATGCACCTCCCTCCCGCTGTCTTGATATTAGCTGATTAGATTTGTCTTGCTAAAATCACTCTCCTCTGATTGGCCACTGAGGACCCACATGGCTGTTAAGATAAGCCACTCATTATTATTTTCTAGAACAAGCTTTGGCAAAAACTGGAAAATAGGTAAGTTTGCACATGCTGGATTTCTCTTGGGATAACATCTCTCAGCCTGCCCTGGGACAGGCTCCTTTGGGCAAAAGCAGGGATTTCCTGACCTCTATTATAGTCTGTTGTGCCTGGAGAGCAGAAAACACAATAAAATGTGTGGGCGTGGATCTCCCCACCAACAGAAAAGGACCCACAAGGGGTGCCAAAGCATAATATTGAGAAGAGGACAATTCTTTTTAAATATCTAACTTCATTTTGGAGACTCTCCAGGATGTTTTAATCAACACGTGTCCTCTCCTGTGATCTCTCCAGCCAGTATTACCATATTTATCACTTATGCTACAAGAGCTAGCCAACAACTTTGCTGCTGCTTCTATGTCTTTTTACTACTCCCCAGCCCCTTGCTGTCTTCCATCACCCCACTGCCTACTCATGACCTACAAACAACAACAAAAGAGAATATTTGCCTCAGGATCTTCATAGGATTCCAAGACCAGGGAGATTCCCCTAATGGTCTTGAACTCCCAACCTCAGGTGATCCACCTGCCTCAGCCTCTTAAAGTTCTGGGATTACAGATGTGAGCCACCAAGCCCGGCCAAAGTTCCATATTTCTGTAACCTTTCAACAATGTTTAACAGATGCTTGCTGTATGTCAGATATTGTATATTGTGCATACTGTGTGCTGGGAGTATGGGCATGGCAAGAAGCATTTACCTATCTATAATGTGGGGGGGGAAACAGACCAGAAAATTGATCATTACTATCCAGTGTGTCAAGGGGCTTTGGGAGCCCAGAGGAGGAAACCAGAGGAGAGGCAACTAAGTCTTCTGGGGGCGGGGAGTGCTGGGGCTTAGGGATAAAGGATGCCCAAAGGAGGGAGTGCTTTAGATGGGTGTTGAGAACAAATGGCCACCACTAAGCAAATGGGGGTAGGGAGTTGCAGGGATGCCAGGGTGTAATGAGAAGAGGGGCATCCCAGGGTAACAACAACAACAACAAAAAACAGCTGCAAAAGCCCAGAGGTATGGCATATGTGGAAACTGAAAGCATCTTGGAATAGCTAGTGGTTAAGGGGAGGCAAGAGTAAACAGAGTCCAAGCTCTCAACTTACCGGAGCCTATAAATGAACTGTGACTATAACTTATTTTCATATTTCATCCATTTCAAATTCTGGAAAAGATGTAGCATTCTAAGATTTGTAGTTTTACCCAGATAACACTATTGCAGTATCTGAAAATCTTGTGGATGTCAACATGAGCCTTATGGCAGTAGTCACAAGTTATCTTCATAGAGTTCTTTTTATTCCCTGCAGCGTTCAACTCTAAGATTAGGCTGCTTCTTCACAGAAGCCACCCCTAAAACACTGGTGCTGTCTAGGGTTTTGTCTCAAGTGTTCTTACTTTGTCTGTTCTCTCTGGGCAACTTTAACCACATCTGTGGCTTCAACAAACACTGTAAACCAGTGACTTCCAAATGATACTTCTAGTCTAGATCTTCTTCAGAGTTTCCAGTCATTATTTCCACTTGTCCACCTAAAATACAACATGTTCAAGACTGGACTCTTCCCTGTGCATATCTGCTTCTCTTCCTCTAGTCCCTGTCATGTGGTGACTCCACTGCTCCTCTAAAGCTGGAGACACCTGGGCTAATCCTAGACTTTGTACTCCCCTTTCCCTGACTTATACATTTAAATCCAAAGTCCTGTCAATTCTGTGTCTGAATAGCTCTTTTATCTTTCTTTCTTCCTCTCCATCTTTATTTGCCAAACCGCTAAAGACATTCAGTTCAACTATTTACTGAAGGGTTCCAATTTGCTGTTTATTAAGTAGCTAAGACATGGCCCATTGAGGAACCAGGCTAGGTGATGAATTACCATCATCACTCAACTCCTTGCCTCCATCTTGTCCCCTTTTTATCACATCGCTGCTTCCCAAAAAGTTTCAATGGCTGTCGTTGTCTAAGATCTAGATGTCATAACATAGAAGCAACTTGAAGGTTGGCTTCTGACTTTCTGTTCAATATCATCTCTCCACACCCTCTATACCATAGCCATTCTGGAAGGAGTGCTACGTATGTGTGCATGCATGTATGTATGTGTGTATGTATGTATATATGTGCATATTTAGTGAGCATATTATGTTCTGGTATACCTCCATGGTATGTTATTGCCTATGTCAGGAACATCCTAGTAGACTCAGAAAACTTTTCTCCCACCTTCAAGTCTTAGCATTTATGTTACCCTCTGTTCTTTACTGCCCTCCACCCCCACAATCCCCGGACCCTACCCACAGGCACCTTCTTCCAAGATCCTTTTACACCTTGTGAAAAACCTCCTTTGAACAATTTCTATATTATGTTGTAAATGATTTCTTACAGGTCACGGCTATTCCCTCGCTGAATGTTAGCACCATATCCATGTGGGTCTCTTCGTCTCTGTACAGAGACTGGACCAGAGTGGCTGCCCAATGCATTGTTCAAGCTCTTCTGCAATAAGATCCTATTGTGTGCCTCAGGGCTGAAGAAGGCACCTTGGTTCCTAGGACTTGTGAACGGTCCAAGTGATCCAGCCCCCTGGCTGTTCTTTATTTGTAGGAATAGTGGGTCCTAAGCCCCATGGGGTCCCTGGGCACACATACCTCATGCCCCTTCCAAGGACATCAACGAGGGTGGGCTAGTAGAGCACCACCCAGAGGGCAGTGCCTGCCATTGAGTCCTCCCTGGGGCAGTCAGTCTTCCAAAAGACATGGTCCATTTCTCCAGAGTTCTTTAGCATATGTCCTCCTGCTCTTCCTACTCTCTAGGGAAACACGACCACTCTTGTCTCTCAGAATTTCTCATCTCTGCAGCCTTGCTCATAGCTCTTCACCGGGACTGCCTGGCTTTTGACTCTACTTCTGAACTCATGTCCAGTCATTCTTCAAGACTAATTTTAAATCATTTTGTTCATGAAGTTTTCTCTGCCCTCCAAATTGGAATGGGTCCCTCTTCCTAAACATTTGTTGTTCCTACTTAATGGCACTAATTATATCTGCTTGTTGTTATTTGTGCCCTTCCTACCAGCTGGTCAAACTAACTCATAGTTATTTTTAGACCTCAGAATCCAGTGCAGCATCTTGCACAAAATAGATGCTCAATCAATTCAGGTCTTAGCTTAGATTCTTACTTCTGGGAAGTCTTCCTTGACTTCCTTAGTCTGGGTTATGTATCCTTTGTTTACCTTTAGTATCTTGTATTGCTCATGGGTCTGTCAGCTTTGTGGTGACAGGGATTGTATCTTTCTTGTCCACAGTGGTATTCCCAGTATCTCACATAGAACTGACCTCAACAAATACTTGTTGAACAAACGAGTAAACAAATTAGCGAACAGGGATGATTGAATGAGTAGAACTCAATTATCATGGGGCCCGCAGAGCAGCAGCTTTTTGAAATATCTGATTGAGTGACTCTGTGCCTTGATTTCACTCTTCTGAGGGACGTTGGAAAATGGAGATACTACCTTCAAAGCAAAGGAAAGTCCAGTAATTGTCCGGGGATATCAAGGAGTCCTGGCTAACTGAGAGATGAAGCTGGATGTAAGGTTTTGGAAGGAGTTGGTGGGAACAGTGGAGATGAAGCCTTGGTGGGGCAGCATCAGGTCCCTTCACTGATTGGTAAAGGGTGACCCCTCCTTTCCCGATACATATGCTCATTCCTCAACCTCTTACAATTTAGGCAAAGGGTGGTGTGCTGCAATGGGCCGAGGGAGGCTCTGATGCTGTCGTCCTGGCATAGATCTCCCTGTCCTCAGAGCATGTCCTACTCTCCATAGATTCAACCACAGCTGCCCCTTGGCTGAGGAGCTTTGGGAAGGGTGGATGGTTTGCCTGGGGTAGAACGGAGGGAGAAAAGTAACATATCTTTAGTTGGAAGGGGAGTCTTTTTAGTATGAGGAAGTATTATTTTTTCTTTTTGATTTTAAAGGTTATTTAAATTTTGTAGTCAGTCTACCCTGTTCATGGTTCTTCAGAGTAAGAGTCTTTTTCCTAGCTTAGCTGCAAGCCTCCAAACTGCGCATGCACAATTTTCACCCCAAATGGGAAAAAGTAGACCATATTCACAACCGACAATAAAAATGTATCACAAAACCTCCCCAAGAGCTGTATTATTCAAGTTACCATCATTCAGTTGGATATTATGAAGGCAAAAAAATTAGAGATTGTGAACATCGCTGCTCTCGTTTTCTCTTGTGCTCATAAATGAATGTTTTTCAGCCTTCCCCATCCATCTTCATTAACATTGTAAGCAATTTGTATTGGTCCTGCAATGCAGCATCTTTACATTGTGCAAATGTATGTGATGTTCTGGAAATGGGCAATTTAATATGAAAAGCACACCATGTCTCAGATTTTTTTTTATTTTCTAAACAGTAATTTCTGCTAGGAATTATTCCATGATTTGTGCATAATTTCATGCAGATGGTTATTTAAATATAAATAGAGAAATCTGTCATTTAATATTGTGCCTGCCTCTCCTTGGGTTGGCATGCCCACATTTTAAACTCGTGCCATAAATAAAAGATAAAAACATCTCTAAGCCCCACAGTAGTCAGAAGATAATTGGGCCTGCTCATTAATTGTCATTTGAGTGACCTCCAATTAACTCTCTTAATATTTTCCAGTTTCTTTAAAAAGAAACTTAAATGGGGTCTTTTTTTTTGTGAAATGTGTTTACAATGTAATGAAAACCCTCTTTGTTTACCTAATGAAGACTACATTCTCCCAGTAGTAAAAACAAAACTCCTTTTCTTTGGGGACCAACTCACTTTCCTCCTTGGTAAATGCTAACTTTTGACACTAAACTAACATGGGAGTGGTTGGGATATGAAGCCACAGATACAGGCCTGAGCCGACCATTTTATAATTCAGGTATATCTTTTGCCAAAAATGCCATATCATTGTTTACCTTGACAGGTCTTGTAATAATTGAAATAGACAACATGAGGAAAAAATGTATATTGAATTAACCTTCTATATTTGAACAAGATTTAAGTTAGTGGCAGCAGGTTAAGAGTTCAAAGTTTTGTGAATTCAAGTCCAAAACATTGCTTAAATAAATATCTTACAACACTTATTAACCAAAAAAATATGGCTTTGAAAAATGGTGATGAGAATTTATAAAATGGAAAAAGAAAACGTATCACTCCTCTTCAAAGCTCTGCTCTCTGCTTTGTCACATTGTAGACCATTTCCTCATCTATTCAAGTCAAAAGGCAATACAGGTTTTTCCAGAGCAAATTCATTTCTATGAGTGTGAGTGTGAGCCTAACTTAGAACAAAAGTGCTATTTTCCTATGTCTAAAAGATGTCTTGGCAGCAAGAAGTACAAAAGAAAAAAAGGTGAAGTTGTGTGTGTGCGTCTGTGTGTGTTTAAGAGAACTGGGAGTTCTAGTCTCAGTGTGCCATTGACAGTGTAAGTCATTTTACCTCTCTGCATCTCAGTTCCTTCATTTGTAAAATAACAGGGTTAAAGTTATGAATTATTAACTCCTTTCCACCTCTCACATCCTATGCATCTAGAGGCCTGGATTAAATCTCCAAACCGGGAGTGCAGGATCTTATGACAATTGCTATCTGGCTAGTCCTATTGACTCTACATATATCCTCTCTGCCTGCCTAGAGGTATACGTCCCACTATAATAATCCTGCAAGCCTAGATGTAACTTTGTATTCTCAATTCTATTGCACATGTAAAAGGCTAGTGTAGTGTTGTGGTTAAAACAAACTCAAGTCAGATTACCTGGTTTTGAACCCAGCTTCACCACCCACCAGATGCATGACCTTGGGCCAGTTACTTAACCTCCATGAATCTCAGTTTCCTCCTCAATAGGAAGGGTATAACAATAATAACAATCCATATTTCATAGGGTTACTAGGACCAAATGAGATGATCATTGTAAAACCCTTAGAGTGGAACCCCAACCTTGGTTAGAGCTCAATCAAAACTAGCCACTAAAATAAAATAGCCTCTTGTTTTCACATTATAGATTAATCAGTAAAATAGATTAATCAGAATATGTCACACACGACTCATAATGTTATTCTCTTCTAAACATTATTTGTAACATCTGTCTTTGTAGTTATGTCTGAGAGGGACCCATGCTTTTATCACATTGTTAAAAATGGACACATTCTTATTGTCATCATGACAATTTTTACTCCTAAGACTGGAACGTCTCCTCTTTCTTAATAGCTGTGTACATAGTCAGAGTCAAAAAAGCCAGTGGATTTTGTAATATAGAGCAAATGACATTTGGAAAAATAAATAATAATTTATACAGCGCCTATCTGCAAAAAACGGTTTTAAAATCCTACTTGTATACATTAAAAGAAGCTAATATCTTTAAAATGTGAACTATGGCATTATTATATGTTTAAAAAGGCAAGTGTCTTTGTTCATCCCTAACAGGAGTCATGAGGTTTACTAGGCTAGAGTCATATTTACCATGCCCATGTTTTCGGAGAATCTTATTTGTATCTTCAAAGCATATCTAATCATAGAATTCAAAATAATTTAGCTAAGGGTGTTAACGACTGTGTGGCACTGAACTTGATGACAAGTTATATTTTTTATTTTTTATTATTATTATTTTTTTGAGACTGAGTTTCGCTCTTGTTGCCCAGGTTGGAGTGCAATGGTGTGATCTCAGCTCACTGCAACCTCCACCTCCCAGGTTCAAGCGATTCTCCTGTCTCAGCCTCCCCAGTAGCTGGGATTACAGACATGTGCCACCACACCCGGGTAATTTTGTATTTTTAGTAGAAATGGGGTTTTACCATGTTGGTCGGCTGGTCTCGATCTCCTGACCTCAGGTGATCTGTCCATCTTGGCCTCTCAAAGTGCTGGGATTACTGGCATGAGCCACCGCACCTAGCCTGACGCATTATATTAAATAGCTACTGCCATCATGGAGGTTTAACTTTACAAGGGACATTATGAATATATCAAAGAAAGGTCAAGTAGGTTAATCTGAATAGCATAATACTATGTATGCAATGTAAAAAGTGTGTATATGCAATATTCTGTATAAAAAATCGCACTGCTAGTGATACATTGATGAGCTAAAAAAACATGGATTCTGTTGATTAGCAAACTATATTTTGGTTAATCACAAATGACTTTTATTTTAAAGCTCAAACCTGATATTCAGAAAGATATTTTGACTGTCTCTCTGTTTTTGGTCTTCATAAAACTCTAAAATAGGAAGTTTGTCATCACCTCTTCTCTGAGCCTTTCCCTCCACTTCATTACCTTTCTGAATTCTCTGTCCCATGCTGAGTTCTTATTCCTGGCCACACTCCTTTTTTCCCTGTCTACTCCTGACATTGTGCTATTCCAGGTCCAGAATAACGTAAAAATTGCTTTTTAGGAAGCCCTCTATTCTGCAATGCCATTGCTTTCAAGTCCTGGAAAAAAAAAAAAAACTCTTCAGACCTCACTTTTAGTTTACCCAACAGAGGATATTCTATGTCTGGCTGACATTACATTTCTCTGAATTCAACAATTTGGACTCTAGACTTAAGAATCATTCTCTTATTTTCTAGACTATTAAGAGCCATGTTTCTGAGGGCCGGTCCCCCTGAAAGGAAGCCCACATCTCTGATCTGTGAGGGTGTAAGTGTGCTTATGCATGAGAAGAATCTAAGTAGTGTGAACTGAGCAGGTGCAAAACCAAAAAACTTATGTGAATAATAAAGAGCCAATGATTTGGGAACAGCAAATCGCAAGTTTGATTAAAGTGTGTCCTTAGAAAATTAGCAAAAGTGTTAGCGACTGAAGACCATGTTATATCATGAGCAACTATGTATGTAGCTAGCTCCTTGTAGCCACCGATATTTCTGTCCACAAGTAAATGTCAGAGGAAAAATATAGATGTTACAAACTATAAATATTAAAATAACAAAGAGTGACTCTTTTATCTGCTATGATAATTAAAGTAATTAAAGAATGATATCCAAATTCACATTTTTACAGTAATTTTATTTTTATTCTTTCTTTTTTGTCATGTTTCTAATTCTGCACATCAACTCCCGTGGAGACATAACCATTGCAAACTAAAGTGATTTTCTCTAAATGAAGACAACACAATTGAGTCTTCTGTGCTACCTAGGTTCACAGTCTATTTCTAGCCAACAGAAAGACATTTGACCAAAAATTCCAAAAGAGAATCAATAAGTAAATAAAGAGCCAGGATTGGGTTCTCTAATTCCAAGGAAAAGCTCAATGAATCTTTTCCCTAGTATCTTAAGGCTTGTAAAACTTGAAATAGCTGCTTCCTATGGAACCGAGTTTGCATTACTCTTGTTAATAGTTAAAACATGTTTTTTTAAAAAAATTAGTGTCTCAAAGACAAGCTAAGAGTGTCCTTAAGAAATATGATATGAAACTGAACCAGAATTAAGGCTAGGATTCTGTGATTTATTTGGGGGCTGGGGGGACAGTGGCACAGGGTGATGCCATCCACAGAAGAGTGAAAAAAAAATGAAGATAAGTAATAACTACTGTAATAAAGAATCTCTAAGCACACAAACCAACATAGCAATGCCTCCTCTGTTAAACAAAAACATCATCTACCTTGAGAAATTTAAACTGAGATGTATGCAGATAAGCACTTTTACTTTTAGTGAATATTCTGTTAATTCTTAAAAATACACTTTTGCATAAAAGGTTCTTTTTCTCCCTTCACTCTCAATGTGCTTCTCCAAAAGCCTGCATATCTGGAAATGTAAATAGATATCCATCCAGTTAAATATGAATTAATTAGACAAATCTGCTTTTACCTACATGCTGTGTGTAAAACAGCTTAAACGTACAACGAAGAGAAGAGAAGAGAACAGAAGTGAAGAAGAAAAGAGGATTTAAAAGGGAAGCAATCCAAGACTTCCATTTTCTTACTTCAGATAAACATATTTAACACCCACAAATTATACAGGAAGTTTCAGACAGCTTTAAGTGAGCCCCACAGAATTATTTACTAACAGACCCAAAATGTACATTTTACTGCCTTTAACTTCCCGATTATATTTTTAATTACTGTCAAAGTACCTTCTGCAGACTACAATATCATCGTGTGAAAACCACACATTTCCTTTTAGTTCCCCCTGCTCAGAAAAGTTCTACATTCATTTAATCCTGAATCTGATTTCATCGGTCTAAAATTTTGAGTGTGTTCAACTACAGAGTGTTTTCCTTTTAGAAAACCTGAGACAATAACCAGAATTCATAGCAAGTTTTCCCATTCAACCAGACATTTCTTGAGGGAATTGCAAAAGCTCTGCGAAGAAACAGTTAATATGTATATATCTCTCTGAAATTGGCAAATGTCTTTTATTTCCTCTAATATTCTAGCCAGAGATCTGAGCTCATTTTTTCCTGTCCATAGGCTCAAAAAAAAAAAAAAAAAAAAAGGACTGTATTCGCTAATTATACATCCTGAAAAGAATTTGGTTCAGTGTAAGATGATCCTAGTGATATGCTAATCCCTTTTTCTGCTTGGTGCTGCCTGAAGCTTGTGTCTAACATTTTTTTCAACTGTATGACAATAAAAGTTCTGGCAACAAAAGAAATAAATGGGCAGCTAAAGAAGGTATAGCTAAACACATGGCAGGCCGTCTCTCCCTCTCCTTCTGGCTGCTCTTTTGTAGCCTCCAGTTTGGTATCCTCAAGTCAATAGCCGAAATCCAGCCACCTTAGCAACTTAGTATGACACCCAAGCCCTCTCTCTTTACATTCATGAATAGTCAGCACCCAGCAGACAAAATAGAACTAATCTTTTTTGACAGAATTGTTCAATTTTAGAGGAAAAGCTTTTGAGTCTTCCACACATTTGCAGAATATGAGACAACAATGGCTGCAATCAAATTTTAAAAACAACAGTGGCCAACAGGGCTGGAAAAAAGTCTCTTTGAATTAAATAGCACATTCAGTCAGTCCCAGTGGTCATAAACTTGGGGCAAACATTCATTTCAATACGTGAAAGAAAGAGATAAACAAATGAAGAGTATATCCAACGGTCCCATTCTGAGCTTCATGCAGTAATTCCTTCTGCTGTGATACATGCGTATATATTTTTTCTATTTTCTTTCCTTTTCTTTTTTCATAGACTAATACAAATATCTTTCCTCTCGAAAATAATTTTGTTTGGGGGGGTGCCCAACAAGTCTCAGTTTAAAATGCTTTTTATTCAGCAACCTTTTGTAGTCATTTGAAAGCAATTTTACCATATAGAAATCCTCTAATGTATCAGTCACTCGCAAGTCTAACATGTGTTAAAAATGAATCTTCTCTCCATTCCAACCCCCTCTATTTAATACAAGGCATCTCTATACCTTTGGAGACAATATGAACAAGAAGAAAATTCTACCCAGTTCATGGCAAAAACAGAAGTTAGCAACATGGTCCATGCAGCTGCAACATTGCATTTAAAATTCAGTTTCCTCATAGGAAGAGGGCTAATCCTGCCCCCGTAATTCCCTACAGCCAAAATGTGCCCCCTCCCCGCGTGACAGTGCAATGCAAAGACACTAGCATGCTTATCTTGCCTAACCAGATGGCCGACTTGGATCAATGCACACACACCACGATCAATGGGAGAGATAAAGAATTAGGAAAACAGTGGTACATGCTCCCAGAAAGCTTGTACACTGCATAATTATTTTATGATTCTACACATGGCTACATGTGATACTGAAGTAGAGAAGGAAAGGATAATTAGAGTGCCAGGAAGAATTTTGTAGTAGACTACACTTTGTCTGTCAGCACTTCCCACTCTAGCAAACTCACTGCCCTTATCTGAAAGTGAATTTAGAAAAACATGAGCGAAAATGTCAGGGAAGGTATTTCCATTTTTGCCAGGTCCTGTCACGTCCCAAAGTTTAGTTCAAAGCCTGAGGAGGCTTCCTGGGATTTGGATATGCCTCTCATCATTAGCCACCCCTAGCTGCCCAGCCAAGGAAACCCACAGATAATAGTTGAATGTGATGCAGACTGTAACCAGGAAGAATTTGGTCTCCAAGTGATTCAGGCAAGTTCATTCAGTAAAATAGAGCAGGACGAGGCAGTCCCTTAATTTCTGTTTCCTGATTGGCTAACCAAAGCAATGTTTTTCAGCAGGTTGGTTACGCACTTGAGACTAAGAAAAAAATAGGAACCCACATCCCTGTCACTCAGCCAGGTAATAAGGAAAGTATATGAGGCTCTGAAGCTGGCACATTGCTACTTTATCCTGAATTCAGACCAAGATCATAAACCAGAACAATAAACCACTGTAATTCCCCACTATGGTCATGTATTAATCAGAAAAAAAACAAAATGTTCCTTCAGCTCTTAGTACATGGTGGGTACTTATTAAATGATTATATTATTATTGTAAATATGAATAATCCTTTACCCTGTACTATTCCAACGTGTTACTCTCTTTTCACCTTGCATTAGATGCAACTAAAAATAGTGTTAGATTTTCCTTTGGATTTGAGACTCAGCTTGCATGCTAATTAAAACATTCAATGAACTTTTTACACCATTTTTTTTTTTATGTAAAGAGAGACAGGAACTGAAATCTGGAATTAGACACAGCTCTCCACCACTGTCAACCTCAAAAATCCTGTGGGTAAGCTAGTCATTCTAAGTAGCCTATTACATTTGAAATAGAGCAAATATTCAATATCCAAATAATTAAAATCACTATAAATTATTTCCTAAGGATAAATAAAATATAGGTTGGGTAAAAATTCAAAGGGAAAAATATTGACAATTGTGAAAAGCCATAGCCACCCTCTTTGTAAGTTATTTTAGTTGGGATAAATATTATGCTCTAAATTTTCATATGACTCCCTTGTTCTCTGTGGAGTTGTTTTGTTACATTATCCCTGGCCTATAACATTTCTCTCCTCAATGTTGGTACAAAACGGATAGCTATATATAAGTAGCACTTAGCTTTGCTGCCCATTATCAGATTTGGAGAAAGAGCCTGGGTTAGGAATATGATGCATATTACCATATCTATTTTCAGTTCAAAACCCTTTAAAGGCAGGGCCATCATTTTACCTTTTAGGGCTTATTTTTCTTTTCTCTGAGACTAAAAAAGGTAAGTGTAAACATGCAGTATGACAGACTCATTGAGGCTCTTGCTGTAAAAATTGATTCTGCATGTACTATATTTTATACCATGTAGTTGAGCTTGCAAGATGGAGGGAAACTTTTGGATGTTGGGGTAAAGGGGAAGTTCATGAGTTGGAACTGGAACTTGTGAGTAGAAAGAGCATGCCGGGTTTCTCTGAGGGCAGGACCGAGGTGGACTCAACTTTGGGCTGGGTCCTGCCATTAAACCAGAAAACCTGGTAGGAAATGGTGTGCCCTCAGCTCAGTAGTTCTCCTGGATCTCTTTCAAAGCAAATCCAAATTCTGTCAGAAGTAAACCATCATCAGGTTAGACTCCCAGGTTTTCAGGGGATTAAGATTAATGAAATCTAATCTTACAACCAAAGATCACCAATCCCACAGGAAAATAATCCTCTGTAAGCGAGAGTCAGCAAAAAACAATAAATAACAGACTTGGATCTTCTAGGATGAAATTATCAGAATTTGTCAGATACAGAATGCAAAATAAACAGGTATAAAATGTTTTTAAAAATTAAAATAGGAATCACTAAAATGCATTAACAATAAGAAACTATCAAAATGACAGTAGGTTTGAAAATGAACCAAATAGTACTTTTATTTTTTCAAACTGATTGAGAAATAATTTAATACAATACAGTGCACCCATTTTAAGGGTACAGTTCAAAGAGTTTTGACAAATGTATATATCTGTGAAACCATCACCACCAGCAGAATGCAGACTATCCCCATCAACTGAAAATGGTAACTCATGCTTCTTTGCAGTGATTCCTCCCTCCACTCCTGGTCCCAGGCAACCCCTGATTTGGCTTATGTCACTATAACACACCTTGCATTTTCTAGAATATTATATAAATGGAATCATACAATTTGTACATCTTTGGATCTGGTGTCTTTGACTCAGCATATTGATTTTTGAGTTTCACTCATTTTGTTGTGTATATCAGTAGTTCATTCCTTTTTGTTACTAAGTAATATTCCATTATTTGGATATACCATGTTTTGTTTATCCATTGCCCAATTAGTGGATGTTTGAGTTGTTTCCAGTTTTTGCCTATTATAAATAAAAGTGTAAAGAACATCCTTGTAAAAGTCTTTGTATGAACATACGTTTTCATTACTCTTGGGTAAACACCTAGTAGTAGAATGGCTGGGTCTTACAGTAGGTATATGCTTAACTTTTGAAAAATTGCCAAAATGTTTTCCAAGGTGATTGTACTGTTTTACATTCTTACTAGTAGTGTATGAGAGTTCCAGTTGCCCCATGTCCTCTTCAACACTTGATGTTGTCAGTCTTAATTTTAGCCATTCTAATAAGTGTGTTATAGAATCTCATTATAGTTTTAATTTGCATTTCTCTATGATGAATGATATGTTTATTCACCATCCATATCTTATTTTGTGAACTGTTTGTTCAAATCTCTTTCCCACTTAAAATTTTTTTGTTTTATTGATTTGCAAGAGTTATTTTTGCATATATAAAATGGGAGAAAGAACATTTTCTTCCATTCTGTGATTCACTTTTTGTTTATTTAATGGTGTATTTTGAAGAACAAACATTTTAAATTTTGATAAAGTCCAATTTATCAATTCTATGTTTTATACCGTGTGCCTTTTTATAGCTTATGTAAGAAATATTTGCCTATCCCAAGTTTGCAAAGATTTTTTTCCTCTACATTTTGTTTAAAAAATTTTATAATTTCACCTTTTACATTTAGGTAGGTGATCTATTTTAGGTTAACTTTAGTGTATGAGGTAAGATAAAAGTCTGTGTTTAATTTTTTTCCCATTCAGATAATCAATTATTCCAGCACCATTTGTTGAAGAGATTTTTCCATTCCCTATTGGATTTCCTGGCACCTTTATTGAAACATCAATTAATCATATATATGGGTCTATTTCTGACTCCCTATTCTGTTTTATTGATCTATATATTTATCCTCTCATCAATTAAATTTTGTGATTTTATAGTAAGTGGAAATCAAGTAATGTTATTTTCCTATTTTTAATTTTTTTTATTTTCAGTTTTTGTGAGTACATAGTAGGTGTATATATTTATGGGGTATGTTTTGATACAGGCATACAATGCAAAATAATCACATCAGGGATAATGGGGTATTCAACCTCTCAAGCATTTATCCTTTGTGTTACCAACAATTCAATTCTACTCTTTTAGTTATTTTTAAATGTACAATTAAGTTATTATTGACTATAGTCACCTTGTTGTGCTATCAAATAGTAGGTCTTATTTATTCTTTCTAACTTATTCATTCTTTCCAACTTTTTGTGTACCATTAACCATCACCCGCCACCCCCATACTAGCCCCCAACTACCCTTCCTGACCTCTGGTAACCATCCTTCTACTCTCTGTGTCCATGAGTTCAATTGTTTTGATTTTTAGATCCTGCAGATAAGTGAGAACATGTGATGTTTGCCTTTCTGTGCCTGGCTTATTTCACTTAACATAATGATCTCCAGTTCCATCCATGTTGTTGCAAATGACTACATCTCATTCTTTTTTATGGCTGAATAGTATTCCATTATGTATATGTACCACATTTTCTTTATCCATTCATCTGTTGATGAGCACTTAGTTTGCTTCCAACTCTTAGCTATTCTGAACAGTGCTGCAACAAACATGGAGTGCAGATATCTCTTCAATATACTGATCTCCTTTAATTTCCAGTTGCTTGAGACTAGTATATAAATATATAATTGATTTTGTTATATTAACGTTGCATCTTATGATCTTACTAAATTTACTTATTAATTCTAATTGTTGTGTTCTAGATTCCTTAGAATTTTCTATATAAATAATCATGTCTTTAGCAAATAAGGAATTTTAATTCTTTCCTATCTAATATTTATGACTTTTATTTATTTATCTTGTCTTATTGCAATGGCGAGAGCCCCCAGTAAAATGTTAAGTAGAAGTAGTGAGAACAAACATCTGTACAATGTTCCCAATCCCAGAGGGAAAGCATTCAATTTCTTATCATTAAGCATATTAGCTGTAGGTTTCCTATGAATGCCCTTTGTTGAATTAAAGAATTTCCCTTTTCCTAATTTGCTGACAGTTATTTAAAATCATAAATTGATGTTGAATTCTGTCAAAAGCTTTTTATGACTATGGAAATTATTATATGTCTTTTCTCCTTTAATTGTGATTAAATACATCCCTTGTATTCCTGGGATAAACCTTCCTTGGTCATAATGTGTTCATTTTAAAAATACATTGTTGAATATGATTTATTAATATTTTTGTAAGAATTTTTGCTGCGAGTTTAGAAGGGATATTGATGTTGTATTTTCCTGTTGTTTTATTTTTTACAATGTCCTTGTCCATGTCAGTAGGGACATGATAGCTGTATAGCAGTGTGCTTATTTATTAGCTCTATATATTTATAATAAAACCCACAAAGGCTCAAGTCTGAAATATAAAAGGTACAGTCTTTTAAAGGAACTGTTTATTAGGAATAAACTGTGAAGAGGATGTGTTATTAAGGCCTCTGCTGAAATGTTAATGCAGAGGCCTTCCTGACCACCCTATCTAATATAATACTATCTGTTCATCAATCTTAGTTTCTTGCCATATTTTATTTTTCTTCATAACCCTCATCATGACCCAATGTGCTATATATTCACTTGTTTATTTGCTATGGTCTGTCTTCCCCATTAACATGTAAACTCCATGAGAAAAACATCCTGCCTGCACCCCCCCAACCCCCCACTTTTTTTTTTTTTTTACTTATCTCAACTCTTGGCTATTGTCTAGGATGGATTCTGGTGGATTTCCTCAAATATCTAGGATGTTGAGAAAGACTGCAAGAAAAATAAAGAACTGACCTTCCAATTGAAATGAGATGCCAAAAGACTGTGTGCTCTGGAGCCAGACTGCCTAGATTTGAATCCTGGCTGCACCATGTACTAACTACATGACCTTAGGCAAATTACTAAATTAGTTTTTGCTTCAGTTTTTCAATCTGTAAAATAGGCTATAGCACCCACCTCAAAAGGTTGTTATGAGAATTAAGTAAATTGATACATGTGAAACATTAAGAGCCTGACATCTCCGTTAGAGATCATAATAAATGGTCTCTAAATGTTTACAAAGTAAGTGATATGCATACCTTTCAGGTGGCCATGCATCTCTCCTGGACCCTTGGAATCAGAAGTTGGGCTGCCTTCACATCACGTATTCTTCTGGTGCATGCACTGCCAATCTTAGCTGCTTGATGCGTCTCCCGATCCATGCCTCAGCTCTAGAGTTGCAGTCCTTCCTCTAATGAAGATCAAAGTTTGCATTATCATTTCATGTCTGATAGGATGTTCCTTCTTTCTAAGATTTTTTATTTTATAAAGGTGTAATTTATATTTTTAAAAAATATCTTTTCTTTTTTTAACTTTTATGTTAAGCTCAGGGGTGCAAGTGCAGGTTTGTTACATAGGTAAACCTGTGTCATGGGGGTTTGTTGTACAGATCCTTTCATCACCCAGGTATTAAGCCTAGTACCCATTAATTATTTTTCCTGATCCTCTTCCTCCTCCCACCCTTTCACCCTCCAAAAGGCCCAAGTGTGTGCTATCCATTTAAGCTGTACCTGAATGGGTACAATTAAGGTGTATCCCAGTTTAGATAGTCCACAGCAATGAAATCTAAATGAGGTTCTTTTATGAATAAACTATTGGAAAATATCTGAATAACACCATGAGGGAATTTATATATAGAATGACTGACAATTAACTTAGATGTACCATGGTCTCATGTCAATATGAACTCTCCTTCCCTAGAGAGTTGATGGTGGACATCTTCTGCCAGGGTACTGCCTGTAGTTGTCTAGAGGTTTTACTGGGTCCCTCTGAGAATTGCTCCGTGTACTTTTATAGTACAAAAGGTTGCTGCCCTAACAGCAAGAAATGCCCTCTGTTGCTTCTGCTTTGTCAATACTTCCACCATTTATTTGCCATACACATTCCATACAATGCTAGGCTTCTCTCTCTTAGCTTATCAACTTCATGGCTGCTGAGCAAGAGGCAAATCTTTCTCAGTGGAGGAAACTATTTACTAAGTCCATTTAAAATCGAGCTAATATGAAGGATACTCCCTCCTCCAGAAAGTGAAAACAAACCTTACTGTAGTTTTTCCGTTTTCCACTTCAGAGTATCCTCTTGGATGAAAGAAAAGAACTAGGAGAAAAGATGCTATTCAGCAATAAAATACCACCTACTTCTCTATTAACTT
Organism: Homo sapiens; assembly: GCF_000001405.40. Classification (NCBI taxonomy): domain Eukaryota; kingdom Metazoa; phylum Chordata; class Mammalia; order Primates; family Hominidae; genus Homo; species Homo sapiens. The sequence goes on from NC_000014.9 coordinate 57,016,507, forward strand.
TTTGTTAATGATGATATGTGTTACATTTGTTTAAAAAAGTCTAGCCAGAATTTATGAAAAATTAAGTAACTCAGCTTTTATTTCCATCATATCTATGGGGCAGACTAGTTAGTTGCAAGTAGGATTAAAATGTTGCTTCCTTCCATTCTGGACATCTTAGGTCGTCCCTGTACTAAACTCATCCTTAAGGACATGGTTCTTAGAAGATCAACTCTTTTAAGTTTAGTCCATCTTAAATTTCTTAATAATAATAATTTCAATAATCTTTTTTTTCTCCCAGAGACCAAGTCTCATTCTGTCATCCAGGTGCATCTTGGCTCACTGCAACCTCTGCCTCCTGGGTTCAAGTGATTCTCCTGCCTCAGTCTCCTGAGTAGCTGGGATTACAGACACCCACCACCATGTCTGGCTAACGTTTATATTTTTAGTAGAGACAGGATATTGCCATGTTGGCCAGGCTGGTCTGAAACTCCTGACCTCAGGTTATCTACCCACCTTGGCCTCCCAAAGTGCTGAAATTACAAGCGTGAGCCACCGCACCTGGCCTCTTCCAATAATCTTTAGATTTCTAAGCCTGTAGTGGAAGAATCCAAAGAGACTGATCCATGGTCTAGCTAGGGATTGGCCTCAACTCCACGGTGTAGATATTTAAAAACAAAACCAGAAAACCCTACATAAGCTCTGAATCTAAGGTGTGGGATGGGCCTTAAGGTCCCAGAATGATAAGTTATTGCTAATTCTATGAAGTCTTATCTTTCATTGAAGAAAAACCTTATTCCTAATATACTGCTAGATGCACTGAAATGCTATTTTCTATAAAGATCCACAAAAATGTAATCAAATAAGAAAAAAGATTAGACTTATTGTCCAATAATCTTCAGTCTTATTGCCTTGTTTCTGTAAATACTTATACTAGGCATATCTATCATTGCCTTTCCTGGCATGGTCCCTGCTCAGAGGCCATAAGTTATATTAACCCATCCCACGGGCACAGCTGATGATCAGAGTCAGACATCTGACCAATGGGACCCACCCATTTCTTTATCTTGTGAATTTGAACTAAGAGACAAACAGAGCAATTGCTAGAACTGGAAGGCCATTGGACACAGGAGTGGTGCCATGTTTTGCCACATGTGAGATGAGTAGACACTGCGTGATATGGTTGGGCTGTGTCCCCACCCAAATCTCATCTTGAATTGTAGCTCCCATAATTCCCACACGTCATGGGAAGGACCCAGTGGGAGGTAATTGAATCTTGTGGTGGGTCTTTCCCATGCTGTTCTCATGACACTAAATAAGTCTCCCGAGATCTGACGGTTTTATAAAGGGGAATTCCCCTGCACAAGCTCTCTTGCCTACCACCATGTAAGACATCTCTTTGCTCTTCCTTCGTCTTCCACCATGATTGTGAGGCTTCCCTAGCCATGTGGAACTGTGAGTCCATTGAACCTCTTTCCTTTATAAATTACCCAGTCTCAGATATATCTTTATTAGCAGCATGAGAACAGACTAATACACTGCGAGTCAGTCAATATAGAGAAGCAGGCAAACAGAGAAGATGCTGGAGAAAAGTAAAGACAAGAGATCTGCAGCCTAAGACAGAACAGACTTCATTTCTGAGGCTTTCCAGTCACTACAATACCACATTCAGCTTGATTTTCTATCCTCAGAGTCTGTAAGAACTAGATCTGTAATAAACTGCCTTTTATTTGTACCAGCTTGAGTGGGTTTATGTTACCTGCAAACAATAGAGCTTTGAAAACAGCATAGCTTTCAGTGCTTGAGAGCAGGCTTGGTGTCTTATTCAGCTCCACAGACCGACCAGAAGAGCACAGTGACAGATACACAGTGAGGACTTGGCAAATGGGTTGAAATTCATGACTGTGACTATTTTTTTTATTTTCAATCTTTCTAAGTGTTTTCTACCATACAATTTCACTCACCCTTAGAGTAACCCTGTTATGTTTATTTTCTTTAACAACAGAAAAATAAAGTTCCAAAAACCCACCAGTTTTATAAGTAAGAAGAAGGATTATGCATAGAGTCATTTGGGGGCAACAGGAAGGCCTCATAGCCACACTTCTCTCTTCCTTATCTTGTCGTTTCTGAAATATGATTAGAATTATTCCTGAAGTCACTTCGATCTTCCAAGTCTCTTACTGAAATACAAATATCTAGGCCAGTATTTCCCAAAATGTGTTCTGCAGAATTCCAATCTCTCAAGATCTTCCATGGAAAAATAAGGGACAGAGACAAATGAGTAGGGAGCCACAGTATTCTATATTCTTATCTTGAGAGTCCCAAGGCCCTGTAGCATACTAAAGGCTCTGAGAAGTCTCACGGTAAAAAAATGGTACTTCTGCTAGTTTCGGGGCAGGTGAATATGGCACAGTCATTAAGGACACTGTCTGGCTTAGAACTGTGACTCTGCCACCCAACAGTTGTGTGACTTAGACAAAGTGAAGATTATAGTAGCCCCTCCCTCACAGGGGGTATTGGGACAATTCAATAAGGTGATGAGTATAAAACACTTAGCCCCTGACCAGCTCAAAGAAGTACTTAAAATGTTAGCTGTTTTTAGTGAGCCGAGATTGCGCCACTGCACTCCAGCCCGGGTGACAGAGCGAGACTCCGTCTCAAAAAAAAAAAAAAAAAGTTAGCTGTTTTTATTATTAATGTCGCATTTTCTAAACTTAGACTGTGCCTGTTAAACGCAAATCACCTATTGACACCTCTCAGACTGCATTCTTTGGGGGATATTAGGAGGAAGAAAAGCTATTTAAGAAAGAAAGGGACCAAGAACCACTGAAATGGAAGGGAGTGAAATGAACAAAGGTGACTTTGCTAATTTATAATTCTGTTTAATTTAGCAATTGTAAATTTAGATATAGCCTTCTTTCTAATCCTAGTACAGTGCTAGGCTTACAGCAGGCATTTAATAAAAAGATCTGCCATTTAATTAAGTTAAAATATAAAAGCAGGGCTGGGCATGGTGGCTCACACCTGTAATCCCACCACTTTGGCAGGCCAAGGCAGGAAGACCACCTGAGGTCAGGAGTTCAAGACTAGCCTGGCCAACTTGGCAAAATCCAATCTCTACGAAAATAAAAAAATTAGCCAGGCGTGGTCGTGGGCGTCTGTAATCCCAGCTACTCGGGAGGCTGAGGCAGGAGAATGGCTTGAACCCAGGAGGCGGAGTTTGCAGTGAGCCAAGATTGTGCCACTGCACTCCAGCCTGGGCAACAGAGCGGGACTCTGTTGCAAAAATAAAGTAAAATAAAATAAAAATAAAATAAAGGCAGATTTATTTTAACTCTGCTGTGTGCTGTTATCTTCCTTCTTCAGAGCAAGAAAAACTTCCTGATCTAGAAAAAATCCTAGAAAGTACTGGCAATCCAGACGTTATAAAGTGGCCTTAGAGTTAGTCCAGAGCCACAGAAATACTTTCAGTGCTCCAGAGATGGCAAAGTGAAGGTAAAAGCATCTTCCTCACCATTTCTTACTTTCTTCAGGCTCTGAACATAAGGCCAAACTCCAGCACCAGCACTAAAGCAAAGTAAAACAGCAGCAGCCCTGCTAGTTAGAAAACAAAGGGTAAACAAGTAGAGACTAGACTGATCCTAGCTTTGCTGCAGTTTTAACTGCTTTTGTGTTGAGGCTATACACAGGGGTGTAACTAGTGTTACCTCAGTCTTATATAACAAATTAGCAGCACCTTTTCAAAAGAAAAATGATAATAACTCGGTGGGGAAAAAATGTAAAAGGCCTTTCATTGTATTGTTTCAGATACACCCAAATGAAGAACATATAATTAAGGGTAGAGAAACCCAGCTCTGGCTGAAGTTTGATAAATATCTCCAACTCTCAAACCAGTCTGCAAGTGTTCACTTCTCATTAAATGTGTCATTGCTTTTGTGGCCAGCACCTCTCCTTTGCTTTTCGTGAGATAGACAGGCAGACTCTCAGACACAATGATGCATACAGAGGAAATTTACGATGGCCATTCAAATATATTAACTCTTCAAAAGCCCCTTATGTGTGTTACATCTCTCATCATGGGCAGGTACAGGAAAGCGAATACACACTAAGGGCTTGAGAATGCATGGGAAGAAGGAAGACTAAACAGTTAAAGACAGTATGCATTGGAGTGGAGAGCATGGATTTTATTTATTTATTTATTTTTTACTTCAAATATATAATTTTTTATTTTTTCCTTTTTCTTGCACAAAGGTAGCATATTACATGCTCTTTGTACTTCACCTTTTTTACTTAATAATATCTCTGGAAATCACTCCATATCTGTTGATAGAGATTTTCTTCTTTCTTTGTTTTTTTTTCTTTTCTTTTCTTTTTCTTTTTTTTTTGGTGTCTACATAATTCATAGTCATGTTATTTTATTTATTTATTTATTTATTTTATTTTTCTACTTTAAGTTCTGGGATACATGTGCAGAACGTGCAGGTTTGTTACATAGGTATACATGTGCCATAGTGGTTTGCTGCACCCATCAACCTATCATCTACATTAAGTATTTGTCCTAAGGCTATCCCTCCCCTAGCCCCCCAACCTCCCAGTGTGTGATGTTCCCCTCCCTGTGTCCATGTGTTCTCATTGTTCAACTCCCACCTATGAGTGAGAACATGCGTTGTTTGGTTTTCTGTTCTTGTGTTAGTTTGCTGAGAATGGTGGTTTCCAGGAGAGTATGGATTTTAGAATCAGAAATACCTGGAATCTCAATTTTGGTCCCACTACATAGTAACAACCTGGACAGATACCTCTCCAGCTTCGGTTTACTGAAGGTCATGATATCTAAGTTTCTAGGTCGTTATAAGGATGAAATTAGATAGTATATGCGGAATGTTTAGGACTGGGCCAGGTACATAGCCATAATAGTGAACATTTAATGAGCACTGTGTTCCCAGAATTGTGCTAAATGCTTTAAATGAATTATTTCACTTAATCCTCAAGATAATCTTTCAGGAGTAGATGCATTGATTATCTCTTATTTATAGGCGAGGAATCTGAGGATTAGAGACATTGGGTAATTGGCCTAAGAAAATGCTTTGAGTCCACATTCAGCTCACCACAGAGAACTCACTCCTGGCTCCCATATATTAATGCAATAGAGTAAGATGGTGGTTACTTTATTTATGGAAAACTCACAATGTGGCTGGAGCTTTGCAAATTTCACAAGTAATTCATTTAATACTTACATTAAATATTCAATTTCACTTCCCATTCTGCAGATGAGGAAATTAAGGCATTAAGAGATCAAATATGACCCTCAAGCAGGGCTGGCCTCATGGACCTTGTGCTTTGAAGGGCCTAATGCTCATTTAACGCTCTGCTATTGCCATCTTGAAATTCTCAAGCATCTTTGGAGAAGGGGACATATATATATAAATTGTTTTAATGTTTGCACGGGGCTCTGCAGGTTAAGCATCCAGTCCTGCCCTCAAATCTTTTCCTTCTGCACTGTACTCCCAAAGATTCTGGAATTTAACCTGGAGCAAGGGGGCCACTCCATTCTCTGAGGGCAGCATTAATAGCATCATATCTCTTTGGGATCCTAGAAACAGAAGCTCACAAATTAAAGTTTGCAATTACTGTCTAATGACAGGACAGTCTTAGAAAATGAATGGAATGGTAATAGAGTTAGAGCAGGAAATAAAAAACATGCTTTTATACTGCATTCTTGTAAGTACTCTCTACAGGATAGGAAACTTTCTCTCTCTTTTAAATGTTAATGGCATCACTAACATAAATTATACTATCAAAGAATAAATGCCCACCTGCACACTACCATTCTGGCCAGTAGAACCTGGAGAAAAAATGCCAAACAGATAAGAAAATCAAGATTTATAGTGGCACTATGGCTAAGATGCTGGCTTAATGTGTATTATAGAGTAAGAACTTGGTGTCTGGTTCATTTAATACTAGTAGAAATAGAGCATTTAATCACTATCAAACTTTGGTACGAGACACCAAGAACACCTCCAAATAGAAGACATTGTCAGAGCATTTTCACTTGCCTTCATCTCCTGGTTCTTTGCACTTAGCCTTCTTCTCTCCTGCCACAGGAAGGCTCTCTACCAATGGCAGGAAGATGGCTGCAGCCTACCGAAGGCTTGCATCCTTGTTGCTTGTAATCCACTTGAAAAAGTAACCATCTCTCTCCTAGATCAAATTATATGGAAAGGCTTGAGTTGGCTTTAACTGAGACAAGTATTTATGTGTTAGGCCAATCAATGTGAACAAGGGACTAGGGTCACGTGCCAAGCCTGGGTCACATGCACACCTATCACCTATGAAGCAAGAAGTAGGTAGGACACTTTGATTGACAAGGCCAGCAGATACAGTTGCTTTAGTTATTTCTACAGTATTTCGTTGTTTATCTGAAATTCAAATTTAGCCGGGCGTTCTGTATTTTATCACATGAGACGGAGGCAGAGCAGTTGCTGATAGAACAAGAAGTTGTGGAGTAACAGAAACAATATTTCCGAAAGAGGGAATACAGCTTGGTCCTATTGGTTTCTTATTCGGGCCCAAAAGGCTTGATCTTCGTTCCAGATTCCAGGGCAAAATGCAGTCCTTTCTGGCTAAGTTCTAGCTATAACCCCCTTTTCAGGGTCAAATGATCCCCTTATGCACAGCATTACCATTTGATGCTCTAAGTGGATGATTTTTGCCATCACTGATTTCTACGTCCAAAAGCTGCTGAAATTCAACTTAAAACTTTAAATTCATTTTTTGTAATCAAATGAGTGTTAATGAATCCTACCAGATGACAGTGCTTATGCCATTAATGCCTTGGTATTTATGATGTTTAAAGTTCACTGTAACATTTTGTTTTTAAATAGAACTAAAAGATTTGTTGTCATTTTCTTTTCTTTGTTAACAAACCAGGATATACTTTTAAAAATGTCGAGGCAAAAAAAATTTATTTTGCCAAAGGCCCATACTGTCAAATCCTATTGCAGAAATTAATCTATTTAATTAAAAAATATTTAAGGGAACTTTAGCCAATGGCTCAGATATTGCAAACAATATGGGATAAGACTTAAATTATTGCGCAAAAGAAAAACTTGGATGGTCCTCTGAAACATGTTGAAATGTAATTTATTCTTGAAAATCAGGCTCAAGTACTGTGACTTTTAGGTATATTTAAAAACGAAGATAAAAAATGTCCTTTTCTTCCTCTCTGTCTTCTGGCGGTTGTTCTGCCCTCCCTTGAATTCTCATCCTCATGTAAAGCATGATAAAAATGTAGAAAAAAATCTAGAACTGCACAGTCCAATAGAAATATAATGTAAGCCAAATACATAATTTAAATTTTATAATAGCCACATTTTAAAAAGTAAAAAGAAACAAGGCCAGTCACAGTGGCTCATGCCTGTAATCCCAACAGTTTGGGAGGCCAAGGCAGGCAGATCACTTGAGCCCAGGAGTTTGAGACCAGCCTGGACAAAATGGTGAAATCCCGTCTCTACAAAAAACACAGAAATTAACCAGGCATGGTGGCGAGCACCTGTGATCCCATCTACTCATGAATTAGTTCATTCTTACATTGCTATAAAGACATACCTGAGACTGGGCAATGTATAAAGGAAAGAGGTTTAATTGACTCACAGTTCCACATGGTTGTGGAGGCCTCAGGAAACTTACAATCATGGTGGAAGGCAAGAGAGAAGCAAAGCCACCTCCTTCACAAGGTGGCAGGCGGGACAGAGTGATGAGTGAAAGGGGAGGTGCCCCTTATAAAACCTCCAGATCTCGTGAGAACTCACTGTCATGAGAACAGCATGGGGGAAACCACCCCCATGATCCAATCACCTCCCACCAGGTCCCTCCCTCAATACATGGGAATTATGGGGATTACGATTCAAGATGAGATTTGGGTGGGGACACAGAGCAAAACCATATCAACTTGGGAAGTTGAGATGGGAGGATCGCTTGAGCCCAGAAGGTTGAGGTCACAATGAGCTGTGATTGCGCCTGGATGGATGACAGAGGAAAAAAAAAACAAAAAAGAAAGAAAAGAAAAGAAAAAGAAAAGAAACAGGTGATAGCAATTTTAACAGTACCTTTTATTTAACCTAACATATCCAAAACATTTTTATTTTAACATGTAATCAATATAAAAATTTTTAATATTTTACATTTTTTATACTTATGACACATCTCAATTTGAACACTCACCCTTGACTGGAAATAGTTAATCTACATTTAGATTTCATAAAATTTACAGGGGGAAAAACTAGATTCACAAACCCAAGTTGCTCTAAAACTGTTTTATAATTTTCCAGGAACTGAATTGAGTATTAGTTTTAAATTTTAAATGTAAATTAAAATTAAATGAAACTAAAAACCCAGGCCAGGCGCAGAAACTCACATCTGTAATCCCAGCACTTTGGGAGGCCAAGGCAGGAGGATCACTTGAGCCTAGGTGTTTGAGACCAGCTTGGGCAACAAGGGAGACTCCGTATCTACAAAATAAAAAAGAAATAAAAAGAAAACCTAGCTGGGGATGGTGGTATGTGCCTGTGGTCCCAGCTACTGGGGAGGCTGAGATGGGAGGATCACTTGAGACCAGGAGGACAAGCCTGCAGAGAGCCATGATTATGCCACTGCACTCTGGTCGACAGAGGGAGACCCTGTTTTAAAAAACAAAACAAAACAACAACAACAACAAAACACTTAAAAATTCAGTTCCTCAGTCACGATAGCCACATTTGGGTACCACATGTGTCTAGTGGCTACCATATTGAATAGCAAAAAACTAGAGTCACTTCACTTTCTAATGGGATTTTGAAAAATTATTCCAACTTTAAATGAACCACACATGAACAATTTATTTATATGTTTAAGGATTCTTGCTGTATTAGTTTTCTATTGCTGCTGCAATAAATTACCACAACCTTCATAGCTTAAAACTGCACAGATTTATTATTTTGCAATTCTGGAGGTCAAAAGTCTGATACAGGTCTCATTGGGCTAAAATCAAGGGTTGGCAGGGCTGTGTTCCTTCTGGAGGTTCTGGAAGAGAATTCATTTCCTTTTTTTAGAGGCTGCCTACATCACTTGGATCATGGCCCCTGTCCCCTATCTTCTTGACCACCAGTACTGCATCTCTCTGACCAGACTTCCATTGTCATATCTCCCTCTGACCACATTTTAATAGGTGTGTGGTGGTATCTCATTATGGTTTTAATTTTCATTTCCTTTTCCATGTGATAATTCACTATCTGTATGTCTTTTTTAGTGAAGTGTCTATTAAACTCCTTTGCCCATATTTAAACACTGTTTGTTTTCCTATGATTCAATCTGGAGAATTCTTATATTCCAGCTGTAAGTCCTTTATCAAATGTATAATTTGCAAATGCTTTCTCAAAGTCCTCAGCTTATTTTTCTTTCTCTCTTTTTTTTTTCTTTCTCTCTCTCTTTCTTTCTTCCTCTCTCTCTTTCTTTCTTCTTTCTTTCTCTCTTTCTTCTCCTTTCTTTCTTCTTTCTTTCTTTTTTTCTTTTTCTTTTTTTTTTTTTGAAGTGAAGTCTTCCTCTGTCGCCCAGGCTGGAGTGCAGTGGTGCGATCTTTGCTCACTGCAACCTACACCACCCGGGTTCAAGCTATTCTCCTGCCTCAGCCTCCCCAGTAGCTGGGATTACAGGGTTGTGCCACCACGCCTGGCTAATTTTTGTATTTTTAGTAGAGACGGGGTTTCACCATGTTGGCCAGGCCGGTCTCGAACTCCTGACCTCAAGTGATCTGCCCACCTCGGCTTCCCAAAGTGTTGGGATTACAGGTGTGAGCTACTGCACCTGGCCCAGTACTTAAGATATTCTTTTAAGAATATCTTTCAAAGAGCAGACGTTTTCAAGTTTGAAGTCAAATTTATCGTAGTATTCTTTTCTGGATTGTGCTTTCGATGTCACATCTAAGAAATCTTTGCCTAGCTAAAGTCACAAAAATTTTCTCCTTTGTTTCCTTCTAAAGGTTTTGTAGTTTTACATTTAGATCTATGATCCATCTTGAGTTATGTTTTATATAATACATGGTGCAAGGTATGGATCTTTTTTGTGTATGTGGATATCCAATTGTTACACCATGTTTGAAAGACTATCCTTTCTTCACAATTGGGTTTGCACCTTTCAAATCAATTGGTTCCATTTCTAAACTCTATTCTGTTTCATTTTTATGTTGATATTACACTATCTTGATTACCATAGCCTTAAAATTAAAGTCTTGAAATAATGTAAATCTTCCAACTTTGTTCCTTTTCAAAGTTCTTTGGACTATTTTAGGTCCTAGGAATTTTAGAATTAGCATATGAATTTCTGAAACAAAAAATACGTGGGGGATTTTGATTGAAAGTGAGTTGAGTCTACAGATCAGCTTGAGAGAAATGTACATCTTAACAATTTTGTGTCTCTGAGCTGTGAACATGGTGTCTCTATTTATTTAGGTCTTCTTTAATATCTCTCTGTAGTATTTTAAAGATTTCAGTGTGTGGGTCTTGTCTGTCTTTTCTCAGGTTTATCATTAAGTATTTACTTTTTGGTGTTTTAAAATATTCTATTCTTATATCTTCCAAACTTGCTAAACTCACTTATTAATTCAGTAACTTTTTGTGGATTTCATCACATGCTCAACATAGATGATTTACGAATAAACAGAGGTTTACAGTTTCCTTTCTAATCTTGCTGCCTTTTCCTTTTTTTTCTCTTGCTCTATTGCACTGGTTAGAACCTCTAATACAATATTGAATACAGGTGGTAAGAGCAGGCATCTCTGTTAACTCCTGATCTTATGTGAAAAGCATTCACCCTTTCACTAAATGTGATGTTAGCTATAGATTTTTCATAGACGCTTTTTATTAGATTGAGGAAGCTTCTTTCTATTTCTAGTTTGCTAAGAGTTTTGTGTTGTATGTGTGCTTTTTGTTTTTTTTTTTTTGAAATCAGCAATGGATGTTAGCTTTTGGTCAAATGCTTTTTCTGTATCATCTGAGATGATCATATGGTTTTTCTTTTTTAGCTTGTTAGTGTGATAAAATATTGATTGATCTTTGAATATGAAAGCAACCTTGCCTTTGTAGAATGAACTCCATTTGGTCATGATATGTTGCCCTTTTCATATACTGTTTGATTTGCTAGACTTTTGTGAAATTTTTTGCATCTGTGTTCATAAGAATACTGATCTGCAGTTTCTTTTCTTATAATATCTTTGGTTTTGGTATCAGGGTAACGCTGGCCTCATAAAATGAATTGGGAAATACTTTCCTTCAATTTTTCAGAAAGAGTTTATATAGAGTCAGTCTTTTTTTTTTCTCTCTCTCTTAATTGTTGATCAAATTCATCAGTGAAACCATCTGGGCCTGGAGGTTTTTTTGTGAAAAAAAATTTAACTGTAAATTCAATTTTTTTCATAGAAATAGAGTAGTTTGTATCTTTCAAGGGATTTGTTCATTTTAGAATTTTTTGACATAAAGTCTTTATAGTAATCCTCTACTGTCTTTCTAATACCAGCAAGATCTCTAGAGATGTCACTTTTCTCATTCCTGATATCAGTAATTTGTGTCTTCTCCCCTCACCTCCCCAAAATCAGTTTGGCTAGGGGCTTATTGATTTTATCGATTTTCTCAGATAACTAACTTTTACTTTCATTGATTTTCTCTATTGTTTTTCTGTTTTCTATTTCACTGATTTCCCTTCTCATCTTTATGATTCCCTCTTTTATGTTTACATTGGGTTTAACTTTCCTTTTTTTTAAAACTTCTAAAAGTGGAAGAAAAGTCACTGAGTTGATACTTTCAGTGCTATAAATTTCTAAGTACTCTCTCAGCTGCATATTACCAAAGTTGATATACAATATTCTCATTTGCATTCACTTCAAAACATTTTGTAAATTCACATCTGATTTTTTTTTTTTTAATTTAGAGACAGAGTCTTGCTATGTTGCTCAGGCTGGAGTGCAGTGGAGAGTAGAACACAGTATGCTCCAGCCTCAAACTCCTGGGCTCGAGGGATCCCCCCTGCAACAGCCTCCCAAGGAGCTGGGACCATAGGCACGTGCCAATGTACTCGGCTCTTCATTTGATTTCCAGACCCATGGTTAATTTAGATATATGTTATATTATTTTTCAACATTCACCAAGTTTCCAGTTATCTTTCTGCTATTGATATCTAGTTTAATTAGATCATAATCAGAGAACATATTTAAACCTCTTGAGCTCAGTGATCCTTTTACCTCAGCCTCCCCAGGAGCTGGGACCACAGGCATGTGCCACCATGCTGGGCTAATTTATTATGGTTTTTTTTGTAAGTCCTCTAACTTTATTTTTCTTCCAAGTTCTTTGGACTATGTAGTCCAGGATGGTCTCGAACTCCTGGGCTCAAAGGATCCTCCCACCTTGGCCTCCCAAAGTGTTGGGATTATAGGCATGAGCCACTGCACTCAGCCCCTCCTTTCAAATGTATTCAAGTTGCCCCATAGCTCATTGATATGCCAATCCTATCTTTTTTTTCTTTTTCTAACCAGTCTTTTTCCCTCTGTTTCATTTTGGATTGTTTATATTGCTATGACTTCACATTCAGTAATCTTTCCTTCTGCAATGTCCAATCTTTTGTTAATCTCCCTACCTCCAATGTATTTTTCACCTCAGACATTGCAGTTTTCATCTCCAGAAGTTTGATTTGAATCTTTTTAATATCCTCTGTGTCATTCCTTAACATGTCAATCTTTGTTGTAGTCTGATGAACACATGGAATAGAGTTATAACTGTTTTAATGTCCTTGTCTGTTAATTCCATCATGAGTATTATTTTCTGGGTCAGTTTCTATTAATTAATTTTTCTTCTCATCCATAAGTTATTAATATATTTTCCTGCTTCTTTACATGACTGGTAATTTTTTATCAGATGCCTGACATTCTGAATTTTAATCTGTTGGATGCTGGATATCTTTGACTTTTATAAATGTTTTTGAGCTTTGATCTGGGATGGAATGAAGTTATTTGGAAATAGTTCGATCCTTTTAGGCCTTGCTTTTAAGCTTTGTTAGGTGGGACCAGAGCAGTATTTAGTGTAGGGCTAATTTTTCCCTACTACCTTTCAGAATACCCTACCAATGTTCCATGAATTATGAGGTTTTTTTCACTCTGGCTGGTGGGAATAGGATATATTCCAGGCCCTGTGTGAGCTCGGAGGATTGTTCCCTATAATTCCTTTAAGTGGTTCTTCCCTCAGCCTCAAGCAGTTTCCTCACATTCATGTGCTGATCCTTTCTCAGCTGGAGCCTTAAGGGAGACCATCTGCAGATTTTCTGAGCTCCTTCTCTGTGAAGCTTTCTCCTCTCCATTGCTCAGCCCTGTGAACTCTAGCCACGTTAGGCTTTCCAGACTTTTAGTTCCTTCTCCCCAACTTAGGGAAACTGGGGCTCTGCTTGGGTCCCTCATCCAAAACTACAGTCCAAATATCTCTCCAAACAGTAAGCTGACATCATCATGTGGATCACTTTGTGTGTGTGTGTATGTGTGAGACAGGGTATCACTCTGTTGCCCACACTGGAGTTCAGTGATGCAATCATGGCTCATTGCATCCTCAACCTTCTAGGCTCAGGCAGTCTTCCCACTTCAGCCTCTCAAGTAGCAGGGACCATAGATGCACACCTGGCTAATTTTTAATTATTTTTTGTAAGGATGGGATCTTGCCATGTTGCTCAGGCTGGTCTTGAATTCCTGGGCTCCAGTGATCCTCTCACTTTGGCCTCCTAAAGTCTTGGGATTACAGGTGTGGCCACTGCACCTGGCCCAGATTATTTATTTTGTTTCCTGTCTCTCAGAGGTCACTGTCTTTTGTTACCTGCTGCCTGATATATTGTTTTGTTTTCCTTTCTATTATCATCCCTTATCTGGAGAAAGGGACCAGTGTTTTTATATCCAATTAGTTTATATACTTTGTCTGGGTGGTTTTTCTGTTTTCTTTTGTTTTTAGTTATTTCATGTGGAAGATTAAGTCCTATCCCTATTATTCCATCTTGGTCACATGTGAAAGTCTTAAAATACATATGACTGTATTGCATTTTTTCTATTAGGGATTATATTGATCTTCTACTTTTAAAATTATATTTATAAGTACATTTTATTATCTATGAGTTTTATTTCAGGATATGTATCAGTCAGGGTCCACTCAGGAGACAAAACCATACCAGTTATTTGAACAGAAAGAATTTGATACAAAGAATGGTAAGCTATACAAAATTATCAACTCAGTAACTAAACAGCTAAAAAGGGAGACATATACCCTCTCACAGACACAGCAACTGTAGGCAGCAGCTACCACTACTAGGGCTGGGAAAACAAAGAGAAGAGTTTGGAATTAATAAAACTTAGGAACATAGAGGTGGGGCCCTATGGAGATGAAACTCAGCCTCTGAGAAAGAAGCACTACCTGTCTAGTGCTGTGTTAGCATTGGGAGGAGGAGCCTTGTGGGGTTGAGGCCTGAACTTCTGAAGAATGATGCTGGTTGGCTGGTGCATGCATCTTTGAGCAGGAGTGGGATGAAGGGTTGGGAAAAACAGCAAGTAGGATCCAACCACTGATTTGGGAAGGAATTATCATTCCCAAGGTGAAGAAGCAAGCCTGGGTGATGTGCACAAGCAGACAGGAAGTCCACAGGAAATAGGAAGGAAAACATCCTTCTTCCTGTCCTAACCCCATTATTTCTCTTTAGTGCCCTTTATTGGCAGACTCTAACATGAAGCCAGCAAATAAGGCACAAATGTGGTTTTCAGAGTCCCAGATCCAGTACCACAAAGCAAAGTACAGAAAGGTGGATTTGGAGTTGAGAAAAAAGTTGTAACTGGCACCGTGTATGTGGCAGATTTGAACTGTGTCTATTTAGCTAAGCTAGAACTAATTTCCCCAAATTCTCTTCTCTGCAATGTTCCAGATTAGTATCAGCTAAAAAAACAAACAAACAAACAAACAAAAAACAAAACAAAACAAAAAAACAAAAAAAGACTTTTGTGAGCAATTTGAAGGATGGAAGTGAAAAAAAAAACCGGCTTTATTTTTCTCATCCTCTGAAGATTGAAACAGGGAAAGGAGTGCTTTCACATCTCACATATGTGGTCCTTACCTGCTGACTTGCCAGGTTGGTGAGCCCACAGCAACTCCAGCTCCTGCAACTTCCTCTTTCAGCTTCCCTGATACCTGGGCCAGGTGCATGTTTAGCTTCATGGTAAAGAGCACCAGTTTCAGCAGGATGCCTGCAGGGTTGAACTGGAAGCCTGGAGGTTGTGAAAGTCAAATATGGAGTCTAGTCCATCCTCATGTTTCCAGCTCAGCCTCATAGATTCTAGTTTATCACTACTTTCCTTATTTCATATCCATCTTTGCTTCCCAACTACTTGCCCTGTGGACTTGAGGTTTTAGCACTAAAGACACAACAGCCTCATATAGACTCTCACCAGATACCACAGTTCATAAGGTCAATAAATCCCCAATTTTCCACATGTGCTGTGTGTGTTTGTGTGTGTGTGTGTGTGTGAGAGAGAGAAAGAGACTGAGAGACAGTGAGAGGAAGAGAGAATATATGTATCCCAGTGGTTCTGCTTTCCTTCTGATAAAATTCTTACAGACACAGTATAGAAAAGGGAGCGTTACAAAATGTTTATTGTTTAAAAGAGTACCATTGGCTCTCAGGATTCAGTCCCACTGTTTTAGGGCACTCTTTGGCCACACCATATGGTCCTAATAGAGCTGTCAATCATAATGATTCTCATTATGTCCAATTCTTCAGCCACAGTGATTGTTCATGGGGCTAACAAACTAGCTGTGCCAACCTTGCATGAAATTGCCTATATGGATGTTAACAAAGAGGTTTTTCTTCTCTTATTTTCATAAACTATAAGGATATCAGTTTAGGTTAGCCAGAGCCATCTTTCTAGCCATTTCCAGTAAGTCCGTTTTGTTTTTTTCAGCAGAAGTACATGAGATTGACAGAAAAGAGGAGAAACTAGCAGAAGAGAGAGTTGGAGAGAGTGTGAGTGAAGGTCTTGGTGCTTGGCGCTTCACCTGGACTACTAAATCCAGCTGTGCTGGTGTTCTTCCAGTTCCATATGCCAGTCACCTCCTTTTCTTCTAAAGCTCATTTGAGCTGGCCTTCAGTCAGTTGCAACAAGTGATTTCTTTTTTTTTTTTCTTTTACTTTTTGTGTTTTTAGAGACAGGGTTCCAGTCTGTCACCCATGCTGGAGTGCAGTGGAGTGATCAAAGCTCACTGTAACATCAAGTTCCTGGGCTCAAGTGATCCTCCCAACTCAGCCTTACAATGGTAATAATTTGAAGGTGGCGTCTGCCACCATGCTCGGCTAATTTATGCATTTTTAGTAGAGACGGAGTTTCACCATGTTGGTCAGGCTGGTCTTGAACTCCTGACCTCAGGTGATCCACCCGCCTTGGCCTCCCACTGGGATTACAGGCATGAGCCACTGTGCTGGGATTACAGGCGTGAGCCACTGTGCCCGGCCAAGCTGTCCTAAAATGTTAAGACCTACATAACATCATCAAGCAAATAAATTTAAAACAGCCTGGTTACTGATATTCTCTCTTCTGAATTCAGAAATTCTATTTTAACTATTTTTAAATATAAATGTAAAACTAGAGTATATTCACATATTCCTTTAAATGTTAAATTCCCTCAAAATAGAAGAACTAGTCAAAACAGCACAAGAAACAGATAAATAAAAACTTTAATACATATATGGAGGAGTCTTCAGTACATATGGTGACATGTCTTATTCAGTGTCAAAGCCAGTTGCAGTGGAAAATTGTATTTAATTTTCTATTCACTACATTAAAATTGCACAGTCTGAGAGATTATGGCCAAATAATTTTTACTAACATAATTTTTCCAGAAATGGGAAAAAGAGTGTTTTTACTGTAAAGCTCTAAGATTTCTTTTTTAATTCAATAAGCTATTTAGGCTTCCATGTAGAAAGCTTATGTATTTAATTTGGGGTACTTAGGCAAAAGCCATCTCTCTTCTTCTTCAGAGAGAGAAAACACATCATCTAGACTAGGCTTCTTAATGATTCCTTTTTATTGCCCTCCATTGAAAGTCACAGCCAGACACACAAATATGTAAGAGGCAAGTGAATAATTGCCTATGTTTTTCAGATCATAAACTAAACCAGTTCTGAAATTTGGGCATATTCCCTTAAATAGAAAGCTGACCACCCTGGGAATAATAAACTTGGTGACAGGGCTTTCTTTTCTCCTCCTCCTCCTTCTAATTTTCTTTAATGTGAATCGATGAAGAGCTGTTGGCATTCAAGTTCCGTGGGGCTGTGAGGTTGACAAAACAGAAAACCGTTATGAGACAGAAGGCAGAAAATATGAGAAAGGGAGAAAAATTCTCCTAGGATAATCAATGACCAGATTTGTTGATCGTTAGCTGATTTTAAAAAGCAGTTTCTGTTCAGATACAAGGTTTGTTCCATGTTGGAAAGGCTGTGTTTTCAGTGGTAGTAGCTATGTGTGTGATTGGTGGTAAGGGTGAGAGGTGGGGATTTACATAATGAGAGGCATACGTCTTCATGTTCCCAGTTTCTATTAGTCTCTATTTTAATTGGGCCATGTACTATATGCTAATGTTTTCATCAAGTGCCTTGGTGGGTGTTCAAGTGGTTTCCAGGTGGAGGTTTCTCCTAAAGGACATGAAAAACCAGTGAACAGAAGAATTTGTCTTAATATATCCAGAAGTTTTCTGCAAGATCAAATTCCTGGAGCTGATTCTTAAACAGTGGTCAAATCTACCACCCAATCGGCGAGTAAACATGCTCTCTGCCATCAACTAGGATTCAAAGAAGAAACAAAAAAACTAGGCTATTCATTATAGTTTTGTTTGATTCATTCAAAAACTATTTTAAATTGGTCGTGTCACTGGAACCCAAGAATGCAACTAATGGAGTCAAGTAAATTATTGGACCATTGGAAAGAAGCACTAAACCATGCCCATTCCTTGATTCCCACTGTAGCACAGTGCAAGACATGCTTTATCCCACAGTATGCGAGTTGGGATTTAATTGTTTCTTTCTTGTGTTCATAAAAGACCAAAGAACCAATCCTACTGTGGTAATGTGGCAAAAAAGTACCTCCTAAAGCATGAAATGGCAATTGACAGTGGATATAAACTTGGATTCTATTGATAATAGTAGCTAACTTTTCGGAGAACTCACAACCTGTCAGGCACAGCATTAGGCAGTTTGCTTGGATTATGTAATATCAGATTAGTGGAAAAAGAAAACTGAGCAATGTTTTGTTTATAAGAAAAAAATCTAAAAGTAACGTTTTAATGAGAGAAAAGGCAGGTTCAGGGTGAAGGAGGGGAATTTTGCTTTTGAGCTGTGTGTGCTGCATGTAAGACGACAATCTAGGCAGAAATGAGTTGTATGAGTCTTGAGCTCCGAAGAGAGATTTGGGTGAGAGATGTATATTTATTTGTGCTTACAGGAGGAGGAGAGGAAATCAGAATACAGAGGAACACGTACATTTAAGGAGTGGGCAAAGACATGGAGAGAAACTAGGAGACTGTGGCGTCATACAGGCTGGTACCAGGTAGCATTTTAAGAAGGACACGAATAGAGACAATTAAAAAGACAGTTTATAGAGGAGATGTGATAGTCACAAACATACACAGCAAATAACTTTGCAACCGAATATGTAAAAAGAGCTTGTAGAAATGCAAAAACCTAATAAAATTATAGTTGTAATTTTTAAAACATCTCTTCCAGAAGTAGAAAGATTCACTACACAGAAAGATAAGCAAGGACATAGAGGAATGGAATAATATAACAATAAAGTAGATTAATAAAATCAAATGTAATTTCAATCCTACTGATATAGAGTGTGAATTTTTGTAGGACTATAAATAGTACAAATATTGATGATATATACATTTGACTACAAAGAAAACCCTTAAAAAACATTAAAACATAGAACACTCACAGGCCACAAACAAAATTAGAAGTAAGTAATAAAATGTTGACAAAAAACATTTTGGAAGCTAAGAAACACTCTCTTAACCCCAGCATCAAAGAGAAATTTAAAATTGAAATTATATGCTATCTAGAAAGCATGGAAAGGGGAAAGATTCACATTGAATATTTTATATTAAAACAGTTTAATTTATAGTCAGAGAAAAATGTATAGCCTCAAATTCCTTCATGTTTAAAGAAAATAAAAAATAAAATAATTTAGACCCATTGTTATGGGCTGAATTACATCTTCCCCAAAATTCACATGTTGAAATCCTAACCCTCAGAATCTCAGAAAGTAACTGCGTTTGGAAATAGGGCCTTTAAAGAGGTAATTAAGGTAAAATGAGCTCCCATGGTGGGCCTAATCCAATATGACTAGTGTTCTTATAAGAAGAGGAGATTAGGATGCACACAACACACAGACCAAGGGATGACACCATGTGAGGACACAGCACAGAGGCAACCATCTGGAAGCCAAGGAGAATCCTCAGAAGAAACCAAACATGCTGACCCTTTGATCTTGGACTCTAGCATCCGTAACTCTGAGAAAATAAATTTCTGTTGTTTAAGCCTTCTCTCATCGCAGCTCTAGCAAATGAATATGCCCATCTTAAGAATTAGTAAAAGAGGGCAGTCACAGTGGCTCATGCCTGTAATACCAGCACTTTGGGAGGCCGAGGCAGGTGGATCACTTGAGGTCAGGAGTTTGAGACCAGCCTGGCCAACATGGTGAAATCTCGTCTCTACTAAAAATAAAATAAATAAATAAATAAATAAAATTAGCTGGCCATAGTGGTGGGCATCTGTAGTCCCTGAAGCATAGGGTGTCTGGAAAACTTTACTTTTTGAGCCAGAATAAGGAGCTTTACCATTACTAGACCCTTCTGTAAAACAATGAAAACGCTTAGCAGGCTGCAGATTGTTTACCACAGGAATTGTAAATGCAAACTGTTCAGTCTTGCTCAGCTAAGGGGATAGTAAAGAAACAGTCTTTTAAATCTATGACTATTAAAGTCCAATTTTTTGGAATTATAGCAGGAGAAGACAATCCTGGCTGTAATGCTCCCATAGGTTGTATAACTGAATTGATGGCTCTTGAGCCAGTTAACATTCTCCATTTACCTGATTTTTTCTTAATTACGAAAACTGGAGAATTCCAAAGGGAAAATGTTGGAGCTATGTGCCCGTTTTCTAACTGTTCACTAACTAATTTCTCTAAAGCCTCCAGTTTCTCTTTATTTAGTGGCCATTGTTCTATCCAAATTGGCTTATCTGTTAACCATTTTAAAGGTATAGGTTCTGGAGGCTTAACAATGGCCACCATCAAAAATGATATCCTAATCTTTGGCGGGAACTTTTTAAACCTTGCAAATTTTTTTCCAGTCCCATACCAGGGACATACCCCATTTCATGCATCATATGTTGACTTTGAGGGCTATATAATTGTTCTGGAATTAGAACTTGTGCTCCCCATTGTTGTTCAGGTGTTCAAGACCAGCCTGGGCAACATGGTGAAACCCAGCCTCTACTAAAAACACAAAAATTAGCTGGATGTGATGGTGCACACCTGTAATCCCACCTACTCAGGAGGCTGAGGCAGGAGAATGGTGTGAACCCGGGAGGCGGAGCTTGCAGTGAGCCAAGATCGCACCACTGCACTCCAGCCTGGGCGACAGAGTGAGACTCGGTCTCAAAAAAAAAAAAAAAAAAAAAAGATACACAAATAAATGCCCAAAGTAATTAGCTACCTAAGAAATGTAATTTAAAATCACAGTGAGATGGAACTATATATCCACTAGAATTCACTAAAATTGAAAATACTGAGAATGCCAAGGATATACAATAATTGGAAATCTTGTACGGTGACAGTGAAAATGTAAAATAGCACAACAACTTTGGAAAACTTTTGACAGTTTTTTAAAAATTTAAAGAAGCCCCTACTATATGACTAAACAATTCTAATCCTAAATATTAACTGATGAAAAAAGAAATATATGTCTAATGAAAGAATTGTACACTAATGCTTATGACAGCTTTATTATGAATAGCAAAAACTGGAAACAGCCCAAGTGTCCATAACTAGGTGAAGAGATAAGCAAAATGTGGTAAATCCATGTAATTGACTTCTACTCATCAATGAAAATAAACTATTGAAACATTTAAAAAAACCTGATAAATCTCAAAATAATTATGCTAAAAAAGCCAGGCACAGAAGTGATTTTACATATTATTCCATTTTTATAAAATTATAGAAAATGCCAAATAATTTATAGGGACAGAGAGCAAATTTGTCCCAAATCTACAGGGACAGGGTTTGGGGGAGAAGAAAATAATGAATTACCCAGTGACATGAAGAAACCTTTGAGGGTGATTAAAATGTTGTGAAATACGAGAATTTCAGGAATAAAGAGAAGCTTCTAAAAACTCATAGAAAAAAAGCAGAAGGGCTATAAAGGATCAAGAATTGGGAGAACATCAGAACACTCAATCATAATGACTCAAATCAAAATGATGTCAAACCTAGAATGTTATAACAAATTACCTTAATTATCAATTATGAGGAGTTACAAGAAGCGGTTTTTGGTTTTTGTTTGTTTGTTTTTTGAGGCAAAGTCTCACTCTGTAGCCCAGGCTGGAGTGCAGTGTGCGATCTCAGGTCACTGTAACCTCTGCCTCCCGAGTTCAAGAGATTCTCATGCTTCAGCCTCCAAGTAGCTGGAATTACAGGCACCCGCCACCACACCCAGCTAATTTTTGCCCTCCCAACGTGCTGGGATTTCAGGCATGAGCCACTGAACCTGGCCAAGAAGCATATTTTTATTTCATCATTCATGCCTACTTCCTCAGAAAGCTACTGGAAAATGTACTCCTTCGAAATGAGTTTAAGCCAAATGAGAGTAAGACATGAGATCCAGGTAAGAGGAGCTAAAAACAGGTTAAAAAGCAACAGAATTCCCAGGAAGATCATGAAGCAGACTCACAAAACAACAGTAGTATGGCAGATCATGGAGAAAGAAGGGATCTAGGAGGATGCTTTCCAGGGGAAAAAAATGAATTCATAGATTATTCTATACACCTGGTTACATTGAGAAGCGATTTACAGTTCTGCCAGAGAGTTTGAATAAGAATTAGTATTAAGTACCTGGGGAAGAAAAACAAGCAAAGAAAAAATGAAGCAATTATTAAGCCTAGGAAGTTTTATAATAAGGAAGTAAGACAAAAAGTTTTACAAAAATAGGAAGTAAAGTCCTAGTACACTAAGGAAGTATGAATAATATTTGCATAGTCAAAATAATGTAACCAAAATAATAAAAGTTGAGATATACCTACATTGGTGGAAGAAAGAGGAAGTGTGTGTTTGGGGTGTGGGTAGCTGTAGAAGAGCTAAATATTCCTCTGAACTACTAGGACGTCATTGAAATTGACTGATGGTGTCCACAATTGAAATTTTAAAACTAGTTGTATTAGTATGTACTTTAGAGATATGGATGTAAATGACAGAAGAAAGAGCCAAAAAAATATAGAGCAGTTGCTGCTGGGGAACAGGTCCCATGAATAGGGAAGGGTGGGGCAATTTCTATTTTTCTCTGTAAGTGTTTATAGTATAATTTGACTGTATTTTGATCATGAGAGTGACAGGATGTTACTGATATTTTTTGAAGTCTTCACTGCCAGTTCTGTGAAAAGGGAAAGAACAGAAATAGGGAGAATCTTTAGAAGGTATAATAGGACAGGAAGAAGATGACAATGCTTGGTCTAGGTTGGAGCACCAGAGATGGTAAGAAGTGGTGGAATTAGAGATATATTTGTTGATAATAAAGTTGATAGAACTTGCTAATCTACTGAATATGGAGAGTGAGGGAAAAGGGAGCCGTGAACGATTCCTAGGTTTCTCACTCAAGCAGGTAGTTATGAATGGTAGAGTCATTTATTAAAATGGAGAAAGTCTAAGAACTAAATGTGACAGAGGAATCCATACTTCTGTTTTGGACATGTTGAGTTTGAGAAAGTGATTAAAGGCAAGGACTCTGGATGAAATGGCTTGAGTTTGAATCCCAGATTCACTGCCTACTAGCTGTGTGACCCTGAGTAAGTCATTTAACCTCTCTGTGTGTCATTTTCCTATTCTGTGAAATACAATAGAAATAATAATTTGTCTGCTTCGTAAAGCTGTTGTAAGAATCAAACTGTTAATTAATTGGTAGGGATCATTGTGTGATTCACTGATTTATTCCAAGCTCCTAGAACAGTGCCTGGAAGAGAGTGGGTGCTTAATAAATACTGCTGAATGAATGAATGGATGTCTATTACACATTTGAGAGGAGAGGTTGAATAGATAGATATATAGACATACAACTCTGGAAATTAGAGCCAGACATAAGTTGGGAGTCATCAGTAAATAGATATTTAAGTTAAGAAAGAAGTTATAATATAAGGAAAGTTCTTCAGATCTTAAAACTTACACAGCTGCAACATTTATGTGTATTACTAGTATAGGTACTGTCTGAAAGATCATTGTTACAGAAAAGATAGTAAAGAAACTAATGCAATAAAAGCGTATCAGGCTGGCACGGTGGCTTACACCTGTAATCCCAGCACTTTGGGAGGCCAAAGTGGGTGGGTCATTTGAGGTCAGGAGTTTGAAACCAGCCTGGCCAACATGGTGAAACCCAGTCTCTACTAAAAATACAAAAATTAGCCAGGCGTGATGATGGGCACCTGTCATCCCAGCTACTCAGGAGGCTGAGGCAGGAGAATCGCTTGAGCCCAGGAGGCCGAGGTTGCGGTGAGCAGAGATCGCACCACTGCACTCCAGCCTGGGCGACAGAGCGAAATTCCAAAAAAAAAAAAAAAAAAAAAGAAAGAAAGAAAGAGCATATCAGTTGGAGTAGATTATTCAAACAAACAATGGAGGTTGGGAAAATGAGAATATGCGGGGGATGGACAGTGGTGGTGGAATCCAATCAGATCTTTATGTTAAATGATGGACAAAAAATTCAACATAGGCGAAGGAATTGAAAGTAAAATATGAAAACAAAACCCCAAAATTGTTGAAGGAATTATGGGCAAATATTTACACTGATCTTGAGATGGGGAAGGACTTATTAAATGTTAACGCCATGGAACAAATCACAAAGAAGAATAATAGATACTATTTTTAATAGATGACATAAACATTTAAAACTTCAGAACATTAAAAAGTCATAAATAAAATTTTTAAAATGACAAACTGGCAAAATATATTTGAAATATAATGGATAAATGATGAATATTACATCATTATAATTTATTAAGAAAAGTAGGTTTGCAGCTGCAGCACATCAAAGTTACCGATTTTTTATGATGTTTGGTGGCTATGAGACTATAGAAGCATATGAAGATGATCTTTATAGGGACGAGTTATCTAGTGAACTGAGTGTTGATAGTGAGGTGGAATTTCAACTCTATAGCCGAATTTATTATGCCCAAGATCTTGATGATGTCATCAGGGAGGAAGAACATGAAAAAAAGAACTCTGGGAATTTGGAATCTTCGAGTAGTAAACCAAATCAGAAGAAGCTAATTGTCCTTTCAGATAGTGAGGTCATCCAGCTGTCAGATGGGTCAGAGGTCATCACTGTCTGATGAAGATAGTATTTATAGATGTAAAGGAAAGAATGTTAGAGCTCAAGCACAAGAAAATACCCATGGTCCTTCTGCTTTTCTTCAATCTAATGAGCTGTTTGATAAGAAATGCAAGAGTGATATTGAAGAGAGATCAGGTGTAATCCAAGAGGCCATGATTATAGAGGTCAGTTCAAGTGCAGAGGAAGAGAGCACCATTTCAGAAGGCAATAATGTGGAAAGCTGGATGCTACTGGGATGTGAAATAGATGATAAAGATAATGATATCCTTCTCAACCTTCTGGGATGTGAAAACTCTGTTACTGAAGGAGAAGATGGTATAAACTGGTTCATCAGTGACAAAGACATTGAGGCCCAGATAGCTAATAACCAATAACCTGGAAGATGGACCCAGCGATATTATTCAGCCAATGAAAACATTATCTGTAGAAATTGTGACAAACACGGCCATTTATCAAAAAACTGTCCCTTACCATGAAAAGTTCGTTGCTGCTTCCTGTGCTCCTGGAGAGGACACCTCCTGTATTCCTGTCCAGCCCCCCTTTGCAAATACTGTCCTGTGCCTAAGATGTTGGACCACTCATGTCTTTTCAGACATTCTTGGGATAAACAGTGTGACCAATGTCATATGCTAGGCCACTATACAGATGCTTGCACAGAAATCTGGAGGCAATATCACCTCACGACCAAACCCAGACCACCCAAAAAGCCAAAGACCCTTCAAAACCATCAGCCTTAGCATATTGCTGTCACTGCATGCAAAAGGCCATTATGGACACAAGTGTCCAGAAAGAGAAGTGTATGACCTGTCTCCAGTATCTCCATTCATCTGCTACTATGATGACAAATATGAAGTTAAGGAGAGAAAAAAGAGAGTAAAATAAAAAATAAAAGTACTCAAGAAGAGTGGGGATATCCCAGAGCCATCCAAGCTACCTTACATAAAAGCAGCAAATGAGAACCCCCATCATGATATAAAGAAGGGCTGTGCCTCATTAAAAAGCAACAGGTGGCCTCAAGAAAATAAAGAAACACAAAAAGAAATGAAGAATAAGAATAGAAAACTGGGAGAAGCACAGGAAGGCTGACAGACATCGTGAAGTGGATGAGGATTTTCCCTGGGGCCCCAAAACCTACTCTTCTCCTGGCAGTTTTAAAACCCAGAAGCCTTCCAAGCTCCAAGCCCTTTCATCATTCATCGCATTGCCATATATCGAGAGAAGACAAGTCTCCCAAGGAGGGTAAGAAGGGCAAGAGAAGAAAAAGGAGAGATGCTTGGAAGATGATGACAATGATAACTTATTTCTTATTAAGGAGAGGAAAAAAAAGTCTTAAACTGTCAGGCAGCCTCTAATGTGGCTTTCCGTTGTTCATTTGGCCTTTGTGTCCATAACCTTCTGGCAATGTGTTTATTATCTGTGATTAAATAAAGTCAGTTTGGGTTTTGCATTTTTAATTTCAGCCATTCCTAGAGTTGCTGGACATCCATGGAGATCTCAATTATCTATGTCCAACAGGTTATTAGGTAAGAAAGTAGAAAGATAAACCTGGACTTCTCCTGTTCCAATATGTCATCTTTACTCAGAATCCTAGGGCTAGGAAGAAGAACTCATCTTTTCAAGAAAGCTTTTTAAAAATCCTTTGGAAAAAAAACCGCATCAAAGGTAATTCATCCTCAGCATGAGTATGAAATTAAATCCTTGTAGGAAGAGAAATTAACACTAAGAAAAAGTCTTCAGTATTTTTCAACTTTTTTTTTTACATTGAAAAGGACAATAACTATAAATTTACATCCAGCTTTTCTCGCTGCTGAAGTTGTTATCAGAATCTTCCTTTGGACAAAACATCACAAGCTGACTGTAAAAACAAAAGCGCCATCATTGAAGCCCTGAAGAGGCAGGGAATTGGGCTTCAGCAAAATACAGGTAAAGAATCCATCCGGTATAAATATCAGAAGACAGATTTCCTAAAACAAGTGAAAGAGACATCAAAAATTTTAACATAATCACAATGAAATCATTTTTTACCACTTTTACAGTGATGTTTGAAGTGGACTGTCACTCAGATCTGTAGAGATGACTATTACTCAAAAAATTGTTTTGTTCTCTTGTATGTTTTTAACTACCACAAAGCTATATAGAATTTTTGGTACTTGTGGATCTTTTGTACTTCTCATACCCTAATGTCAGAATAAGAAAAATAAAATATCAAATAGGAAAAAAAAGTATTAGCACACTGATAAAAGAATTGACAGAATAAATAAATGGAAAATTCATAGAAGAAAAATACAAATAAATAACAAACATACGAATAACTTTAGTCTCTAGCAATTAATCAAAAACATATAACTGGGCAGAAAAATTTTTTGTATCAAATTAGCAAAAACTATAAAAATTATAATATTCAGTGTTACCAAAGATGTAGAGAAATTAGTACTCACAACACATTTTAGATGGGAAAACTCTCCAGTAGGAGTCTTGAAAATAAATATCAAAAGCTTAAATTTTTTTAGCATCTTTCATTCCAAGGTTTCATTTTTAGGAAAATTAAAATATGCCATTAAAAGTAATGATGTCAATCTGGTATTTTTTAATATGAAAAGATGTCCAAAATAGATTACTAAGAGCAAAAAGGGTTCAAAACAGAGTATACTGTGGTTCCTGTTTTGTTCCAATATGCTGTCTGAAAGAAAGATCAAAATGAATACATTGAAACCATAGAAATGATTATCTTTTGGTGGAAAAATTGGGGGTGATTTTATTTCAAATTTATACTTTACATATGCCAAATTTTCTGTAGTGGACACATTTCCTAATTATAAAACATTTCAGTTATAAATTCAATATAGTACTATGTAGGATATTTCTATTAGAAAAGTTTACTAAGATAGTTTGAGATTCAAAATAATGGTTGATGAAATGTAATATTATAATTGAAATTCATTCATGATAAAAAAATGGATCTATGAAAAGATCATCAAAGAATATGGAAGCCATGAGGTGAAAAATTGATGGGGAATGTTGTAATTGATATATCAGTTTGGCAACACCTGGGCCCCTGGATTAGTTTTAGCACCACTAAAAGTAGAACAATCAGACATTAAGACATTATGTGTCTTGCACTGTGATACAATAGGATGTACCTGGCACTACCAATGAATATTCTTGAAGAAAGAAAGACAGGAAGGAAGGAAGGAAGGAGGGAAGGAAGGAAAGAGGGAAGGAAGGAAAGGAAGGAAAGGAAGGAAGGAAGAAAGGAAGGAAGGAAGGAAGGAAGGAAGGAAGGAAGGAAGGAAGGAAGGAAGGAAGGAAGGGGGAACCTAAATGGATGTCCAGCAACTCTAGGAATGGCTGAAATTAAAAATGCAAAACCCAAACTGACTTTATTTAATCATAAATAATAAACACATTGCCAGAAGGTTATGGACGCAAAGGCCAAATGAACAACGGAAAGCCACATTAGAGGCTGCCTGACAGTTTAAGACTTTTTTTTCCTCTCCTTAATAAGAAATAAGTTATCATTGTCATCATCTTCCAAGCATCTCTCCTTTTTCTTCTCTTGCCCTTCTTACCCTCCTTGGGAGACTTGTCTTCTCTTGATATATGGTAATGCGATGAATGATGAAAGGGCTTGGAAGGCTTCTGGGTTTTAAAACTGCCAGGAGAAGAGTAGGTTTTGGGGCCCCAGGGAAAATCCTCATCCACTTCACGATGTCTGTCAGCCTTCCTGTGCTTCTCCCAGTTTTCTATTCTTGTTCTTCATTTCTTTTTGTGTTTTCTTTATTTTGCTGGGATTACAGGCGTGAGCCTGCGCCCGGTTGAATCAGGAGCATTTGTAAGGCTGCATTCCTCTTCCAGGATACTGCATGTCTAAATCCAACAAGATGTTCTTTGAGATCTCTGAATTGGGAGGCTGTAAGCTAACCTCGCATTTTCTGTTACACAACTAGCTCAGCACACTTGCTCTGCACCTTTGCTGCCCACTAGAATAAAAGTGTCATGAGGATAGGGCCCAGGCTTGTCAGAGTCACCCTCATGACCCCACCCCCTGCTACAATGCCTGGCACATAGTAAGTGCTCAATGAATACTATTTGACTAATTGATGTAGTACCTTTTTGTTACAAAATGATTTCCCAATCCCCTCTACCCTATTCTTAATATAAAGATTTGTGTTTTTTTACTGAGAAATGGCAAATAAAGGCTTTGGACCCCCTGAAGATTAAATACTAAAATCCCCATAACAATTTTTTTGGTGGTGTTCTTATGGGACTGCATGAATTCGAAGGACGTTTATAATGCCTCATAATGCTCTAGGAAGTGAGCCAAGAACTCCACCATCACTAGGAGTTTCAAAACCTTGAGAACTTTTCTCCCGGTGTGTTTAAGAGTATGCAGGCTCATTCTGCGCAAGAAATGTACTGGCTTACGTTGACATTTTTGTCTTTCCCTACCTCCCCACTAAGTACCACGGCAGTTTCTTTTCAGGGTCATACACGATTCCAGCAGCCTTTTTGGTGAGTGGAAGATAGCCCTACATGCTTCCCCCAGCTCACACGGCTCTAATAAGAGACAATCCCCGCAACACAGTACAGTTTCCCAGCAGGATAAAAACTAGTTTCTAAAAGGTAATATTTCTCTCTTGAGAAAGCATAGTTTGTAACTCTGGCACTATCAAATTTCCAGGTCATCTTTGCTTGCTGGGAAAAAGAATCCTTATGAAGAGAAGTTGCTCCCTGGAGGGAGAAGAAGGCAACAATTGCCCCCTGAACCGACCCAGTGTCCTGGAAGGATGGCTACAATGGACCCCAGGGAGGCCGCCAAGCTGTTGGTCAAAGGAGGCATGGGTGACCATAGAAGGGAAGATCCCTTAAATGGAATGACTTGCGTGGCCCCTCAGGAAAGCTCTCACAAACCGACCAACGCGGTCACCAACCATGCTCTGATCATTTTCAAGTTGTTGAAGTTGCTCAGCGGATTAATAGGATATTGCACTGGCTTTCTCAAATGCACACACACAGAATCACTTAATGCCATTTTCAAGGACAAAAAAAAAAAAGAGAGAGAGAGAGAGAGAGATCCAAAAGCCCTGCAAGTGAATAGAAAATAATAACAGCATAAAACAGACCCATCCTCCTCACCACCAAGCAGCGCTCCCCCACCAACCAAACAGCCAGCTCATGTCTCCTGTCTGTCCAGCAGGGAGAACACGTGATCTCCCACGGCATCTGCCTTGTACACTGTAAACCCTCTTCTGTCCCATTTCTTCTTCGTTGGGTCACCTCAGAAATAGAGAAGGGGGCTGTGCTAAGGAAAGTCCAGCTGAAAGTGCACACCCAATTTCCAGCCTCATTCTAGGCCAGAGAACACAACAAGGCAACTTCTTTGTGACCTCTGGAGTTTACCTTAATTTTTCAAAAGTCTAACTAGATCTAGTAAAGGGAGGGGGAAAAAAGTACTTGATGTAGAATTGCCTCCTGGATGCCTGATTCAGGTAGAGGTTTACAACATAATTATTTGGTCATATTTACCTAATGTCTTACCTGCTCTATTATCTGTTTTTTCAGATGTGTGCTGTTTTTGATTTTTAATTGCTCTTATTTACCAAATGTCTTATTCATTATATTATCTGGTTTTTCAGATGTGTCCCCTTTTTTATTTCACTGTAAAGAGAGCCTGGCCTAGCACAACTGGCGACTCGCTTAGTAACCCAAGAACTGTCAAGCACCCTGTCCAGGTTGAGCTCAGAGATTTCATAGCTGTGACTGATGTTTCTTTTTATCTTATAAAAAGCAATGCTTTTTATAAGAACTAAATAGCTTGGCTTCAAAGGGAAAGTTTAAATACTGACAATTTTTGTGTAGCAAATGCCTTCAAATGTTCAAAAAGATTGTTTCTAAGGTATCCCCATCATTTTCTAAAAACAAACAAGCAAACACACAAACCTTCAGGATCTTTTGTAATTTAAAGAAGTTACATTAGTGCTTACATTTCCAAAAATACCCATATGGATAAATATAGTCTAGTGTGTCCATGGGAAAAGTTAACAAGGGAAACATATTTCCAAAAAATACAAAGTCAGTGACAGACTGAATGAATATAATATACTTGATAGTGTTTTGGATGTTCTATTTTATGTCTTGCCATTCTTTTTTTTTCACTCAAATACTAGACAGAAAAAATATTTTGGTATTTCTATTCTCTTCTAAGAAAGTCTAGGCTGCTTTACTTGCGGCCAAGCACAAAGTTAACTAGAATCCTTTAATAATATAGCTCACTGTATAGATTCAGATAAGCTATGGGAAAAATCATGTCCAACAAAAGATCATAACGACATAGAGAAAATACCTGTAGCAGAGCATATTCCTGTTTTTCTTTTTCTATCCAAACCAATGTTTAGAAGGAAGTGCATTATGTTCCCTCTTAAAGATTTTCCTTTCCTTCCTTTCCTTTCTTTTCCTTTTCCCTCTTAAAGCTTTTCTTCCTATCCTTTGTTTGACCGACGACATTATTCCTTGAGTTTTAATCAGCACTCACAAACTATATATACTGTCTCAGTCAGTTCAGTCAGTGTAATGCCATAGACTAGTTGGCTTAGCAAACATTTATTTCTCACAGTTCTGAAGCTGGAAGTCCAAGTCCAACATCAGACTGCCAGCCTATGCCCCTACACGGCCTTCCTTGGTGCATGCATATAGGGGAAGTCATAGCTTTTCTTCTCTTTTTAAAAAATTTTTATTGTGGCTGGGTATAGTGGCTCATGTCTTATAATGCCAGCACTTTGGGAGTCTGAGGTGGGAGGATCACTTGAGCTCAGGAGTTCAAGACTAGCCTGGGCAACACAGTGAGACCCATCTTTACAAAATATTTTTAAAAATTAGCTGGGCGTGGTGACATGTGCCTGTGGTCCCAGCTACTAGAGAGACTGAAGCAGAAGGATCTCTTGAGCCTGGGAGGCTGAAGCTTCAATAAGCCACGATTGAGCCACTACACTCTAGCCTGGGCAACAGAGCAAGACTCCATCTCAAAAAATAAACATGAAAGAGTATCATCTTTTTAATTGACAAATAATGATTGCATCTATTTATGGAGTAAATGTGATGTTTTGATACATGAATACATTGTGGCAGGATGTATATTCAAATCAGGCTAATTAACACATCTATCACCTCAAATATTTATCATTCCTTTGTGGTAAGAACATTTAACATTTTCTCTTTTAGCTATTTTGAAATATACAATACATTATTATTAACTATACTCTTTATGCTGCTCAATAGAACACAAGAATTTAGTCCTCCTATCTAACTGAAACTTTGTACTCTTTTCCTCTTTTTATAACTACATTAACCCATCATGAGGACTTTACCCTCAGGAACTCATCTTACCCTGATTACCTCCCAAAGGCCTGACTTCCAAATACCATCACATTGGAGGCTAGGGTTTCAACATATGAATTGGAGGGGGCTGGACATAAACATCCAGCCCATAGCATATACAATCAGTTTATAGGTCCTTACAGTATAGATTCGTTAGGCTATTTTATGAACTCTCAACTATAAGTTCTCTGTGTGTGTATGTGTGTGTGTATCCAAATTACCAAAGGGTTCTTTTAAATTTCTCTGTCTCAAAACTATTTAAGAACTGACTGTTCTTGCAGCCACAACTATTAAGAAATAGCTTCATACATCCAATTTAACAAGGTGATGGTCTATGTGGTTATATTACATATTACAGGTGGATCATAAACTATTCTAAGGGTTTAAAATTTTTTCTTTTAACTTTGAGGCCTGACGTAACCCAGGAGGACCCACAGAAACCAGATGTCTACACACTCTCACATGTTCATATTTAACTCACTTCAACAAATATTCACTGAGGCTAGGTCCTGGGGTTCAAAGATGAGTAGGACACAGTTCTTCTTCAAAAAGCTCATAATCTGGGCAGAAATCAGTAAACAGATAGCCAACTGTTTTTTAATGTAATAAGTATACAGCTATCAATATGAAAGAAAGGATCTGTGGGTACACGAGAAAAATTGATCCCCGGAAAATGTGTGGCAAGATGGTGGGTTTGCTTTATCCATTGCTTCCCAATATTCAGCTTTACCGCTGGGTGGGATTGTGAGGAACTGACCACCCCCGCGGGGAGGGGGTAAGTTCCAGGGTAGGTTCCACAGGTAAGTCCCCATAAGTATAAGCCCTTCTGCACAAACCAAGACCTTTTCAAATGATTAGTTAAAAAATGGACTTTGTCTACTAGGGACTGATTCAAGGAACCTAATTTGGTCCAGCCAGAGGGAAATCTGGGACTTATGTTTGAAAGATGCCCTATCTCTCCCACTCCAATTTCTTTCTATTATGAGACTTCTTAGTCTCTTTTTCCAGTCCACCCTTCTCCCAGACCTTTCAGTGTCTGAGGGATCCATGGCTCAGTCTTTGGTCTTCTTTTCTGCTCCTTGGTGATTCCTTCAGTCTTGCGACTTTAATATTATGTGTCTGCTTTCAAATCTGAAATAGATATTGCCCGTCTAGATTTCTTTTCCAAATGCAGACTCCTAGAGCCCTCTACTCACTTAACAGCTACCCCAGGATGTCTAACAGGCTTCTAAAATTTAACGTGTCCAAAACTCAAGTCTGGATCTTCCTCCCAAACCTGTTCCTACCCACAGCCTTCCCCATCTCAGATAGTGGCTTAGGCAGAAATGCTTGGAGTGATTCTTGACTCTTCTGTCCTCTCTTTCATCCAGTCTGTCAACAAATCCTGTTAGCACTACGTTCAAACTTTTCCAAAATCCTACCATGTCTATCACCTCCACAGCAACCACCCCAGCCCAGCCACTATCACCTCTTCCCTGGATTATTGAAAGAGCCTCCTGAGTGGTTTCTCAGATACCACTCTCACTCCCCTACAGTCCCTTTTCAACACAGCAGCCAGAGAGATCCTCTTACACTTGGAGTTGTATCATTTACTCTTGGGCTCAATGCCCTGCTGATGAAAAGCCCTTGCCCTGGGCTCATAAATTTGGGCCTCTATTGCTTCCCTGATCTAATCTCCCACTACTACTCCTTCACTCATTCCACCCCAGCTACACTGGCCTCCCTGGCTGTTCAGACGTGCTGGATGCTCCTGTCTGGGACCTTTGTGCTGGTTGTTTCCTCTGGCTGCAATACCCTTCCCACAGCTATTCATGCATCTCACTCTGTCATATCCTCATGTCTGCTCAAATGCCACTTTCTTGGTGAAGCCTTTCTTGACCACCGTCTATAAATTGCAACTGACCCCTTCTTATGTTATCAATCTTCTGTACTCTGAACTGTTTTTCTTTTTTCATTGACTTTATCATCATTAAACATACTGTATTAGTCTGTTCTCATGCTGCTAATAAAGACATACCTGAGACTGGGTAATTTATAAAGAAAAGAGGTTTAATGGACTTACAGTTCCACATGGCTGGGGATGCCTCACCATCACGGTAGAAGGCAAAGGAGGAGCAAAGTCACATCTTGCATGGCGGCAGGCAAGAGAGTGCCTGTGTAGGGGTACTCCCTTTATAAAACCATCAGATCTCGTGAGACTTATTCGCTGTCATGAGAACAGCATGGGAAAGACCTGTCCCCATGATTCAGTTACCTCCCACCAGGTCTCTCTCACAACATGTGGGAATTATGGGAGAGATTTGGGTGGGGACACAGCCAAACCATGTCACATACTATGATTTTATGTATGTGTCTATATATATATGTATATACATTTTTACAGGATATCTTTCCCCATTTGAACATATGCTCCACAAGGACATGAATCTTTATTTTTAGACATGGGGTCTTGCCAAGTTGCCCAGGTTGGCCTTAAATTCCTGGGCTCAAGCAATCTTCTTGCCTTAGCCTCCCAAGAAGCTGGGACTACAGGTGCATGCCACCACACCCAGCATCAAGGACAAGAATCTTTGTCTGTTTTATTTTACTGCTATATCTCAAGGGCCTAGAAAAGTTCTTGGCATGTAGTAGGTGCTCAATAAATATTTGTGGAATAAACTTAAAAAACTTGGAAGTCAATCTGAGGGCAAATCTAAGACACATAGGAAAAAATTATGAGAACTGGATCTAAAGCCTTGATCAAATCATGCCTGAAGCAGACATTATTGCTGGACTTTTTCAGTAGCCTAAATCCACTATTGAATTTTACTTTTTAAGCCAGTCTGGGTTCTTTTTTCTGTTAATTACTAGCAAAGGCATCCTAAAAGATACTTAAGGTAAAGGAAATTTCAGAGATCTCATATAAGGAGGACCCTAAAAGGCAGAAAGGAGTTCATACTCCTTCACAGCCATGCCGCTTTTTAAGTGGCCTGTGCTCCCTGTCTGCATTTTCTCATCAACTCTAAAAAGAATTCCACACCTACCCCTGCACTGAAACTGCAGTCACTCAGCTCATCAGGGACCTCCTGACTGCACATTGTTCAACTCTTCTCTTGTTTATCTTCCCCGTAGAATCTGTCTTCTCTGCAGGGTTGGTCCCACCCATTTCTCCTCCCATGCTTTCTGTTACTTCACTTTTTCCTGGATTTGCCATTTTCATTCTGGGAATTCCTTCATTCCTCCATGAAAAAGGCTGGACATCTCATGAAAGTTGGTGTTCCCAGGGCTATGTTCATGGACTACGTCGCCTCCTACCTGTAGCCTTTCCGAGAGCAAGCTCATCCATTCCCATAACTTCATCACATACAGACAATGCGCTGCAAATTCCCAATGTTCTATGGCGATCTCAGACCACAGCACTCACGGATTTCACAGACTAACAGACCTCTCCTCTTAGGTATCACACAGAAATCTAAATCTAAAACTCAAGAAATAGGATTTATTTATTCTAAAACAAATTCTGTTCCCATCTTGCCTATTTGAATGATCCCACTTGACCCTTCATCCTTTCTTTTCCTACTTCTGGTTGGTTCTCCAGCCATTTCTACTTTATTTATTTATTTTGAGACAGGGTCTTACTCTGTTGCCCAGGCTGGAGTGCACTGAGGTGATCTTGGCTCACTGCAACCTCCGCTTCCCGGGTTCAAGCCATTCTCCAGTCTCAGCCTCCTGAGTAGCTGGGATTACAGACACACACCACCAGGTCCGGCTAATTTTTGTATTTCTAGTAGAGACGGGGTTTCACCGTGTTGGCCAGGCTGGTCTCAAACTCCTGACCTCAAGTGATCTGCCCACCTTCACCTCCCAAAGTGCTGGGATTACAGGTATGAGCCACTGTGCCTGGCTACTTACTTATTTACAGACAGGGTCTGGCTCTGCCATCCAGGCTAGAGTGCAGTGGTGCAATCATAGCTACCCGTGGCTCAAGGGATCTTCCTGTCTCAGCTTCCTGAGTAGCTAGGACTACAGGAGACAGGGTCTTTGTATGTCGTCCAGGCTGGAGTGCAGTGGCACAATCATAGCTACTTCTGGCCTCAAGCAATCTTCCTTCCTCAGCCTCCCAAAGGGCTGGGATTACAGTTGTGAGCCACCACGCCCAGCTCCATTTCTATTTAAAATTGATCTCCCAACTTCAAGTACCAGTCTCTGCCTTTTTCCTGTGAATCCTTTCACTAACTGCTCCTTATCACTGAAGACGGTACCACACCTAAGGGAGATTTTGAAAATGGGGGGCAGTATTTTTGTTATCACAAAGATTGTGAAGCAGTGTGAGTGTTTGATAGCCAGGTTCCAGGGAGCTAGATGCCCTGTAGTACCTGGGGCACCCACATGTCTTTCACAACTCTCAGATGTCTTGCCAGTTACTAGTGTAGTGCTACCAAGCAATCACATATTGAAATAATTTTCTTTTCATTTCTTCTTTATAATTAGGCCTTAGGTTGACTTTTAAAATATTATGATTAAATAGGTTGTACTATCTATACGTTTTATTTTAGCATAATGAAAATGATGACATGACTTATTTGCTATAAAAGACAACACTCCGCAGATAAAGTCTAGAATCACCAATCAATACCACAAGTTGCCAACTGGTGGCTGACATACCTAATGTGATTCATGTGCATATTTTGTTTGATCTAGGGTTGCCAGCCAAGATACATTACACCCTGTTAAATTCCAATTTCAGATCAATGGCAAATCATACTTTAATATATCTCATGCAATAGTTGGAATATACTTAACACCAAGAAGCATTCATTGTTTATCTGATATTCGAATTTCACATGGCATCCTGTTCTTTTATTTGCTAAATCTGGCAATTCTAAGCTTCTTGTTTTTGTTTTTGGTTTTCAGTCAATTTTTAAAATCAGTAGATTTTTACATTAAGATTTGATCTCTGGATTTCTTTGAAAGAGCAGAAGGTCTAGATTTGACCTACATTCTTGCACGAAAACAGACAGCTGGAGTGAAGTGGGGGCTGCTCCTCTTAGACGGGGCCTGCTCACCACAGTTCACCACAGTCCCCTACACTGTATTCCACCCAACACTGTGACAAGTAAAGCACTGCCACTAATCTAAGTAATTTCTGTTATACTCTTACAGCTAAGAGGAAAGTGAAATATTTCTTTTAATCATTCATTGAATCTCTTAAAAATGAAAAAGTAAAAGACAAACCAATAGGCCCACGTTTCTTAAAAAATGGGAGGAATACATTTTTCTTTGAAGAAATGAAGAATTTTCCTATGTATTTTCTTACCCTGGACCAGCTTCACTCATAAGCTGGGAAACATTTAAGTCTGTGATGTCTTCCCTAAGCTATTTTCAGACTGGTATACCCAAAGCTGCAAATATGATTATGTCACTTTCCCGCTTAAGTAGAAAAACCCTTCAGTAGCTTTCCATTTTCTCAACTTAAACATCCAAAAATTTTTAACATGACCCAAAAGCCCCTCCCAGCTTCATTTGTTCCTCCTCTCACTTGCTGTCAATTAATCCACTTTCGAAAGTTTTAAATTAGTTTCAAATATTCACCAGTTCCCTCCTTCCTTCATGCACGTCTAGGAAAACCTCTTCCTCCTTCCCATCTTTCAAGTCCCAGCTAAGGAATTACCTCCTATGAGAAGTCATCATTCCCTGAACCTCGCTTCCCTACCTCCAAATCTGGGGTAGGTCTCCCCTGTGAGCTGTCATAACTTACACACTCCCACTGTATTATAATTGCCCTTTTACCTCTTTGTGTGCCCCACCAGACTGTAAGCTGAATGTTAGAGACCTGGATGTATTCACCTTTCTAGCTCCAGGGCCTGGTACATAAGTAGGAGCTTAATATATGTGGAATTGACAAACAAATTAACAAAGAAAGGGAATTTCAGGCAAAAGGAACAGCATGAGCGAAGGCACAGAAGTATGATGGTGCATGTGTGTGTTTGGGAGATAGCAAGAAGTTAGGTGGCTGGTGTTGTACATGGTGACATGGCATAAATCTGGAAAGGATGTGGTATCAGACTGTACGTGTTTTGGAAAACAGAGACTAAGGAGGATGAACTTTCCTTTGTAGGCAATACAAAGCCAAAGGTGGGTTTAAGTAGGAAAAACACATGAGCAGATGTATTAACATGTGGCAAAATTGATGATAAAACAGAAATTCCACATTTTCTCTTTCTTCTTTTCCTTAATTTTTCTCTCTAGCACTGATGAAATTGAGAAGATGGAGAGAGGGAATCTGGGAGAGAAGACAGTGTACAAATATTTAAAAACACAGGAGTTAGAGTCAGACATATGTGAGGTTTAAATTTTTGGCTTTGTGTGAATTTTCTTAACTCAATTTCCAACACTGTTTCCCCAGCTAGAGATGTTAGGATGAAGATAGAGTAACACCCTCTAACCTTCTTCAGGGGGTTGCAAATGGCTAACTTAAACAATGTGTGCAGATTGCCAAGCACAGAGTTTATATAAAATAAGTGTACAAAAAATGTTAGTTGCCTCGTGTAGTCCATGTGCAGGTCGCCTCCATGGGCTACTTCTGGGAGGAAAGCAAAGAAGAGAGAAAGTTGCAGTTGAAAATGGAGGGAACTGCTCCTGCTCAGAAGAGAACAAATTGATACTTACTGATGCCTCCTCCTCTCTGCCACCAATTCAGTAACATTACTTTTGCTTTCCTCCTACTTTAAATTGGCTCTCTAAAATAAGGATCGTCTTCAGGCAAAACTGTGGTGTGTAGACCTCACCAAGGATCTCTGCTCATAACTTCCTGGTCCCTGAGGCCATCATGAGTGATTCTGACCCAGGTGAGACACCCCTGGGGGGAAACAGTTCTCCTCTTGCCCCTGACTCCTGGGCAGTTGTTCCTCTGGCCTACTCTTTTCTGTGTCCTGTTCCCTCCAGTTCTACAGATGTGAGCGAATGCAAACCAACCAATTCATTCACAGTGAAGGGGACAGTGGATGGATGCGAGCCCCCTCTCCCATCCCAATGAAGGATTGTTGAGTCTCTCCGTAAGGAAATGAATGTTCTTGGGTTTTCAGACACCAGAGGGAGGTGTGAAGGGAATGTGTCCGGAATTGGTGGGTTCTTGGTCTCACTGATTTCAGGAATGAAGCCGCGGACCCTCGCGGTGAGTGTTAACAGCTCTTAAGGTGGCGCGCCTGGAGTCTGTCCCTTCTGATGTTCAGATGTGTTCGGAGTTTCTTCCTTCTGGTGGGTTCGTGGTCTCGCTGGCTCAGGAGTGAAGCTGCAGACCTTCGCGGTGAGTGTTACAGCTCTTAAGGTGGCGCGTCTGGAGTCGTTCGTTCCTCCTGGTGGGCTCGTGGTCTCACTGGGCTCAGGAGTGAAGCTGCAGATCTTCGCGGTGAGTGTTACAGTTCATAAAAGCAGCGTGGACCCAAAGAGTGAGCAGTAGCAAGATTTATTGCAAAGAGCAAAAGAACAAAGCTTCCACAGTGGTGAAGGGGACCCCAGCGGGTTGCCAATGCTGGCTTGGGCAGCCTGCTTTTATTCTCTTATCTGGCCCCACCCACATCCTGCTGATTGGTAGAGCTGAGTGGCCTGTTTTAACAGGGCGCTGATTGGTGCGTTTACAACCCTGAGCTAGATACAAAGGTTCTCCACGACCCCATCAGATTAGTTAGATACAGAGTTTCCACACACAGATTCTCCAAGGCCCCACCAGAGCAGCCAGATACAGAGTGTTGATTGGTGCATTCACAAACCTTGAGCTAAACACAGGGTGCTGATTGGTGTGTTTACAAACCTTGAGCTAGATACAGAGTGCCGATTGGTGTATTTACAATCCTTGAGCTAGACATAAAGGTTCTCCACGTCCTCACCAGAGCAGCTAGATAGAGTGTCGATTGGTGCACTCACAAACCTTGAGCTAAACACAGGGTGCTGATTGGTGTATTTACAATCCC
This sequence comes from Homo sapiens, assembly GCF_000001405.40. Classification (NCBI taxonomy): domain Eukaryota; kingdom Metazoa; phylum Chordata; class Mammalia; order Primates; family Hominidae; genus Homo; species Homo sapiens. The sequence continues at coordinate 57,056,495 of NC_000014.9, forward strand.
TGAGCTAGATATAAAGACTCTCCACGTCCCCACCAGACTCAGGAGCCCAGCTGGCTTCACCTAGTGGATCCCGCACCGGGGCTGCAGGTGGAGCTGCCTGCCAGTCCTGCGCCGTGCGCTCGCATTCCTCAGCCCTTGGGTGGTTGATGGGACTGGGTGCCGTGGAGCAGGGGGTGGTGCTCGTCGGGGAGGCTCGGGCGCACAGGAGCCCATGGAGTGGGTGGGAGGCTCAGGCATGGCGGGCTGCAGGTCCCGAGCCCTGCCCCGTGGTAAGGCAGCTAAGGCCCGGCGAGAAATCGAGCGCAGCGCCGGTGGGTCAGCACTGCTGGGGGAATCAGTACACCCTCTGCAGCCACTGGCCCGGGTGCTAAGTCCCCCATTGCCCGGGGCCAGCAGGGCTGGCTGGCTGCTCCGAGTGCGGGGCCCACCAAGCCCACGCCCACCGGGAACTCCAGCTGGCCCGCAAGCGCCGCACGCAGCCCCGGTTCCCGCTCGTGCCTCTCCCTCCACACCTCCCTGCAAGCTGAGGGAGTGGGCTCCAGCCTTGGCCAGCCCAGAAAGGGGCTCCCACAGTGCAGTGGGGGGCTGAAGGGCTCCTCAAATGCCACCAAAGTGGGAGCCCAGGCAGGGGAGGTGCCGAGAGCAAGCGAGGGCTCTGAGGACTGCCAGCATGCTGTCACCTCTCAGAAACACAGGGAGCTGAAGTTTTCCAGGAGAGACCTTGGAGCTCAGAGCAGCTCTGCCTGTATTTGTTTTAACTTGGGAACTGCAAGATTTCCTTTAGTTCTGAAGATGGGAAAAAGAACGTCAAAAACCAGCAACCCGATTCAGACATTTTACACCAAAGGAAACTGAAGACCAGGGAGGTTACATGGCTTGAACAAGGCAACTCAGCAGCAGAATGAGGACCAGAACCCAGGTCCAGCTGACACTCAGCCCAAGGCTCTCTGAGCCGAACACCTCTTCAAGGAAATGGCTGTGCCCATGGCTCAGACTGTGGCAGGGCTGCAAAGCCCCTGGTTAGTTGACAACATTGCCAATTAGCTAGGGCCTCCCCTGACCAGTTCCAACCCACGAGCTGGGTTAGGACTGCAACTTTGACCTGTGTCCAAGGGCCCAGGGATACCTTGAAAGCTCAGACCTGCTGTGCCTGCTACTGAGGCCCTTGGCATTTTTGCCATACTGTGCACATCGCCACATAACCAGGGCAGAGTTCATTTGGGAAACTCCATTTCTGAAAATGACTGCATTAATAGAATTGAAAGGAATGTTGCATTTTCTAAAGAGGGCAGACAGGAAGGATCTGTGACTCTGATGGAGTGAATGAATGAATGAACATTGTTGAGTGGCTGTTTGTGCCAGTGGCTCTCCAACATGCTTCCGGAGTTCTGAGTATAATCTCATCTGTTCCCTGTGACCCAAACCTCCTGCCAAGTCTAATCTTATTCCCATTTAACACGTGAGGACACTGGGGATCAGAGGGTTAAAGTGACTCGCCCAGTATTACATCAGATGTTTATTTTGCCCAACCCCCAACTGCATCTGAGTGCCCTGTTACCCAACAGCTGCCACCCCAGGTGGCGTTTTGGCTGATGGATAAGGTCACTCATACAGACTCTTTCTTGCCAAATATTGTATGTGCACTGCAATGACTTACTGAAAAAAAAAGTTTCCAATAATACTGTTCCACTAAATATCTAGTAGGAATGGTGGAAGGGCTTCTTCCCTGTTGTTGGGGAAACTCCTCCCTTTTGATCCACATTTTTCCTTAAATTGCCTGGGGTATTCAGTGGGGTGGCGCCTGCTCCTGCAGCTGTCTGGTTGCCTGACTGCGATCATGGTACTTGGACACTGATCTGGAGTAACTCTCTCTGCTTCACCTATAGAAAGAGAGTGAATTGGGTTCTCTCTCTCCTCCCACCTTTGTATGTATAAAATATATTTGTGGTCTCCATTAGTGCTGTTCAACTATTTCCAGCTCTCTGCCTCCGGTACATCCGCCTTCTTGCCCCGTGTGAGTAGGTGGGGTCATAAGACTGGTTCTGGCCAATGAAGTTTGATGATAGGTGATATGTGTCACTTGTAGGCTGAGCTTTTCATAATTGCTGGAAGAAAAACTGCAGACTGCACTTCTCCTCTGCATGTAAACAACAAAATCTGAGGGGTGGCTGCTCCATCGCCTGGATCCCGGAATGACTTCGATGGGCAGACAACCACTGGCACCCCACAAATCTGCAGTGGACATCAGCATCAACAAGAGCTTCTCAGTTGTTTTAAGCCCTTGAGAATGTGGGGCTGTGTGTCAATGCTGTATAAGCAGCCTTGCCTGGCAGATACACATTTACAGACCCAAACGCTTTTTGTGCAAATCCCATTTCTTTCTCCAAATAAACCTAGGAGGTAGGTACTATTGCCATGCCCATTTTACAGATGAAAAAGCCCCAGCTGAGAGAAGTTAATTAAGTTGTCTAGGATCACTGCAGATGGCTGAGACAGTTTTCCATTCCATATCTCTGTAGCTCCAACTCCTGCTCTTAATCAACACACTCCCTCTGTTCTCTCTGCCTAGGTGCTTTCTAAGCCAGGAAGCAAATAACATTTGTTACACATTTTCCCAAAACATGTTTTTGCTTCATCATGTCACTTACCCTCACTCAACTTTCTTACTGTATTCAAAAGCCACATTAAAGAAAGAAAATTTGGTTTTTAACAAACTATTATAGCATCAAAAATTATAGTTCGATGGTTGACATTCTATCACTTTCTAGAAAATGTGATTTGGCAAATATAAATCCTCCTCACAGCAAGTAGCCCTCAGCTAAGAAAATTACTTTTATTAACCAAAAAATTATTCTTAGAATTGATGGCTGTGTAGATGACCTTTGGCTTACTGTAATATAGCAATGTGTCTACCACAGTAAAAATGCCAGAGCAAGACAGGTCCCACAAAAGGCAATAAAGGAACAACATTCCAAAGACAAATACACTTGAGACACATATGACAGCCATGGGAAGGGGAGAGTAATCAGTTATAAGAAATGACAGTGTTTTGGCAGCCTCAGTTACTTTAATTGACAGGACAAATAAAATTAATGTAAAAATTTTTTTTTATAAAAGAGCAAGTCATAAGAGTTACAGATATAAATCAAAGTAAGTTTTGGCCTTTGATTTAAATCTGTTGGGCATCCCTCTTTTTTCAGGGCACTGAGGGTGGTGTTTCCCTGTTACAGACATTAAAATGTTTCTAGTTCTTCTACTAATTTTTCCTTGGTTATCTGATTTAATCTGGATTTTATTCTGCTGTTAATCCTCTCAGACTTACTTTGCCCTTCAGATACTCTCTTTAAGGCATGTCCTCATCTGAGCATGTTTATGGCTAAATGCAAATCCTCTGTGAATTTAGGCGAGAATATAAAGGACGATCCATTAAAATAGTCATTGTTTTTTCAAATGCAACTGGCTCTAAAGAGATTGTGAGATATTGTATTGTGACTTTTGGACTTTCTCAATTTGGACCCCAAAATATTAACATGACTTACTTTAAAATTCCTTAGATACTCTCAGAGAGGCAGAAATGAAAGTCTTTCTTAAGTAATGTTCACATTTATTCTGTGAATAAAAATAAGAACTCCAAATAAAAAGTCTTGAAAACTGTAGGGAAATATTTCCTTTGATTTGTTTCTTGGGAAGCTTATCTATTAAAATGCATCAAGCGCTATAAATACCCTCCTCTTGATTATTATTCTTCACCTAGCATATCACTACTAGAATTGGGACAAACAAGCCCCACTTTATTTGTTGGTCAAAGACAAGGGTATTGGGATTCTTGCTAAAGAACAGGACATAAATCCAGGGCTTTTGAAGTCTTTAGTGGCTTAATGTTAAAACTTTGCTTCCTCAAGATGAAAGTTCAAACACAATTTAGGTCAAAGGTTAAAGAAGTCTGCCACTTCAGTGGGCAGATAAGGGTTTTGAAGGTTTCAGCTGAGGCCTAGTGACTGGGCCAGGCAGGGAAGAGGGAGGATAAAGGAGACCCGGCTCCACCCTCAGTTATCTGCCTCCTGTTTCCTTAAGAACTAATGTTCATTAAACTCCTCTGTTTTGATAAAGAAACAAAAATTCACAACCAAAAAAGTAAATCCTACCTTTGTTCTGGCAAACTAGGTCAGCATTCTCTGTTCCTGCTGTCAGTTTTCTGCAGCTTGGGTTTCACAATGAGTCACAGGTATGTATGAAACTGCTTGATTTAACTTTTCGTTTTTCCCTATCTGAGGACTCCAGGTTCTCTTAGTCAGACAATGATTGAGTTGGCGGGTGTTTCTCTTGGAAGACGCCTAAGTGCAGACAGCAGATCTGAGGTCTACCTTTGCACAAGCTTGACTTGGAACTGAAGCATCCCACACATACAAGCTGCGTGCAGAGATGCCACGGCCACATAAAAGCAGCTTAGCAGCATGGAAACTTTATTTTTTTACAACCCGTTTCAATGGGATTGGATCCAGTGGTACAAATTTCACTAAGCCTGCCTTTTAAAAAAAGAGATTCATTCACATTTTCCCTAGATTTCTGGTTCTTTTCTCAAACTCATCAATATTGCCATTTAGCACTTCTGTGTTAATTGTAAAGCCAAGATAAGGATTTTCTTACATAAGCTGTAAGACAATGGCAGCCTTTGGATATAGTTCTGAGGCATCAAAGACTATAGACACAGACTGTAGATGTCAGTGCAAATACAGAAAGTAAATCTTTCCCCTACACAGCAGATGAGGTGGCATTCATGATTTCCTCCATGTGCATAGCCTCAGGGATGGAGACAAGGGGTCCCAGGGCAAGATTTTTGTAAGGGGGGACTCAATAATCTGTAAAAAAGATGATTTCACGTGTGTGGTCCCATAGCTAGAGCCAGGGAATAAGAGCTAGGAATTCTTGGGTCTTATGATTACATCTATTGCCAACTCACTGTGCACTCGAGTCTTGGTTATTCTCCTCTGTTTCATGACTATAAATGAGTATGACTCAGTCATCAGGCCAGTGTAAGAAATCTATGGGTGGCGCTATATTTCCCCTCCATATTAGCCACCCTCTTAGAAATGCCTTTATGTACTCCTTCCCCTGTTAGCACTGGTAGAAAACAGTGCAGGGTATGGCGGGACCTGGAGCTGGCATCCCGGAGTGAGCAAATATACTTCAGGTCACACAGCTGTGACCCCAGTTCCCCACTTCTCTTCTTATGTGTCCCCAAAGCTTTCTTTAAGCTGTGTTAGAAAGATGCATTGCCATTGGTTAGAAGTGCTTCTGTCTTAAAACAAAAATTTTTACCTCAAACCACAGATAAGTCTATTTGAGAGGAAATTTAAGAATGGGGGCCTGAAGGCTAGTGTTGGGTTTAATTACATGCACTTACACAGTACTCTTCACACCTGCACTAGAGCAGCGCTTCACAAGCACATGAAACACCTGGACATGTTGGTAAATGCAGATTCTGATTCAGGAGGCCTAGGCGGCTCTGAGATTCAGCATTTTTAGCAAAGTCCCTGATAATGTGATGTTGCAGGTCTCTGGCCCACACTTGAGTAGCAAAGAAATAGAATATACCATCTAATTGCCCCCTTCCTTTTCCCAAAACAGAGACGTGGTATAATTTGTGCTTAAGAGTGAGGATCCTAGAGCTGGACTTCCTATGTTCAAATCTTGGTACCAGCAAGTGTCATCATAAGCAATAATTACTTAATGTCATTAAGCTTCAGTTTTTTTCTTCTGGAAAATGGGCTGATACAAGTATTAACCAAGATGATACCTTGGAAATCCAGATGAAAATTGATGAGGGCCTAAAATAAGGCTCTGGTAACAGGGGTTGAGAGAAGAGTATATGCTCCAGAGACACAAAGGAGTTCTGATTGACAGGACTGACCGAGTGTGGGAAGCGAGTACGGGAAGGAGTCAAGGGTGATTCCCAGATTTCTGGAGTGGATGCCTAGGCATTCATTCTAGCCACTGAATACACAAAAAGGTGCATGTGGTGAGTGGGGAGAGGGTGGCATTGGGGAGAAATGATGAATACAGTGTTGGACACAGTGATTTCGGGATCTGGGCTGGAGACACAGGTTTGAGAGAGCTCACCATGGAAAACCAAATGGGATGACAAGAAAGAAGAAGCTGGGACAGAACTCCAGCTAACACTGATGTTCAGGGAGTGAGCTGCAGAAGAAGATTGACAAAAGAGACTGAGAAAGAAGTATTGGAAAAGTAGGCAGAAAACCTGGAAAATGTGGTACCATTTCAGCGGGGAGGTTGGAAAATGGTAACACTGGCAGAGAAAGGGTGAGCAGAAAAGGAAGCACGTTTAGAAGAGAGCAAATTCCATATTTGATACAGCTTTTTTGTTGCTGTTTTTGGGGGGGGGTTTTTTGAGACAGGGTCTCGCTCTGTCACCCAGGCTGGAGTGCAGTGGCATGATCTCAGCTCACAGCAACCTCTGCCTCCTGGGTTCAAGCGATTCTTGTGCCTCAGCCTCCAGAGTAGCTGGGACTACAGACGTGCACCACGATGCCCGGCTAATTTCGGATACACTAGTTTTGAGATGTGAGAAAACTAAATCAACTAAGTAGGGATTTTGAAACACACTGTAGATGCCTCAGTAGAAGTAGGCAAAGACCTCTGACAGATAGCAACATTTAGATGCAATCATACAAGACCAGAGAAGTGAGGGGGGAGCAACCAGAAAACGTCTCGGGAAGAGAGGCCAGAAAATACACAGAAAAGGTATTCACAGAGGGTGGTCAGTGGTGGGTACAGCAGCTAGAAGAAAAAGGAGGACTTGTGTGTCATAGGCAATTTTTGTTTTTAAAATGTGACAATTCGAAAAGCTAAAAAACAAGCCCTTCCTCCATGAAAAAAATTAAAAATCTTAAAAATTGTTTAATATAATGTTGTAAGTACTAGAGATTGAAAACATCAGTGAAAATTTGGAGGAAACCTTTAAAATCTGCATCTGTATAACAACCACTCCACTAATTAAAAAGTTCAATAAAGCAAGGCTTGTAAGCAAAATAGCAAATAATTGGCCTGGATACTTTTTGACAGAATAGGCCAAACTGCTAGATAAGTTTTAACAGTGCACGTGTGCCTGAGACCTCAGTTAGGCTCCTTTTAGCACAGAATTTTTGGGTTTTCTTTTCCACATCAGCTGTGGTGATCCACTTTGGATAACAGCCTCCACTGTTCTTCTAATTTTTCTTGCTTTTGTAGTGACCAGAGAAAATCAACATCAGTCCCTAGATCTGGAAATACTGAACTAAAAATTCTGTGATATAATTAAGAACATAGCCTGGGCTGATGGCAAAATGAACAGCAAGACTTGGGAATCTGACCTTGTCCTGTTCATCTTGACATCCCAGCCTTTTGCGAACCCGGAACCCAACCCACAGGGGCACTTCACAAATGTTTGTTGAACGAAAGGCAACATAAAATATTGCATTTAACAAGCTCTGCTCAAATCCCACTACTTCAGAGGGCTTTTCCTGACGAATCCCACTCTCGGAAGGCACTTTGTACTCATGGATTTCTATATAAGCTTTTAATCTTGCCATCTTGCAATTATTATTATTCATGTGTTGTTTTTAATTATTCTCTTATTAATTTGTGTGTGTGTGTGTGTGTGTGCTTGCACATGTACGCGGGCTTTATTTCCTCAATTCACTACAAGTCCTCTAAGTCAGATCCCTTATTTTCCTCTGCTTTGAATTCCCAAAGTGCCTTATGCAAGTCTGGGGACAGTAGTTACTTGTAGTTGAAATATCTCTCCTCCACTTCGACTGCACTGTTAAATATTTCAATCGTTGCCAATAGTTCTTTTGTCCCTGGTATGCATGCCATTTTACTTCACAGAAAAATAAAAGGCTTGACATATTTGAGTGCTAAGATTTCATAATAGAATGAATTTCTAAAAGAGTAAATACTTAATTCTTCTTTGTAAGTCTGGTAGAGACTTTATTTTTTATTATTATTATTATTATTATTATTTATTTTATTTTATTTTTTTTCCCAGAAAACCTCCATGTATACCTAAAGGCTAATGCCCAGCAGGTGCTATGAGACATTCAAGTGGGGGCTCTTACACATCAGACACACCCTGCGCTTTAATTCTGTAGATCACAGGTGAAAGCACACTCCCTGGCTTCACAAAAAACAAAGATATTATGGGAAAGAGCCAAAGCAACAATCATATAAACTAATGAATTCTTTATGGTTTGCTTAAAAATAGACGTTTCCCTGGTGAGGATTCATTTAAGAAAAATCTTCTTCGGAAGCAGAAAGTTTTCCAAGTCAGAGAAGAATAAATCAGTTCTGCTAGATGCAAGAACATTTTAAAAGGGTAGGTGCTGCTGGTTCACACTTAGGGAAGTGCAAACATCAAAAGGCAGTATCTGTTTTCACTTTGATAACCATAATTACCATCTTCATGTAATAAATACCACTAAAATTTATGCCCTTTATCAGCTTAACATAATATTCATTTATTCATTCATTCAACGAATATTTATTGGGTTCCTACTACATGTCAGGCACTGATCTAAGTGCTGAGGATACAAGAGAAGAGGAAACAAAATCCCTGTCTCTAGCTACCACATTCTGGTTTAATAAAATAATATTAGCACAGCCGGATTATATATGTAAACTATAAGAAATTACTAAGGGGTTAAATTTTTTTGAAAATTGCTGAATATTTAAAATTTAAAATAACACTGCAGGAAATTGAGGACATAATTTTCATTTTATATAAACATTTTAAATCATTTTTGATGCAGTATTTTAAGCCCACAAAATAATAACCATCTAAAAGAACTGCTACCTAATTCTTACACAAAAGGCATGTTGAGCCTCTTGGGAAGTGCACATTTTCCTAATTTTTAGGCTTTTAGAACCGATTACTTGGGGTCTTCTAGAATATACAGCATGATCACATATCGGGTTAATTAAAATAGAACCCTTTCTGAGATTAATAATAAATAATTTACTTACAAAACTTTAATGACATATCAAAAATAAATTTCAATCCAGGCAAACTAGTTTTATTTATATCTATGAAGCTGCTAGGATGAACAAAGGCTTCTGGTACAAAGCACTTAACTCTAGCTCAACACAGATAGCTGGGTTTTCAAAAGAAGACCATTTGACTGATGGATTCTTTTGGCCTACGTGTTGACCCTGTTGTTGTTTCCCAAAGCTGTTCATGTTGTGGTTATTGTAATAAAGCTCAGCTATTGAAAATCTGAAGCCACGCATCATAGCATATGCTTATTGTATGACATGTTTATTATTTTTCTTTCTGTTGGTTTTATGGTACATTCCCATGGTGGCACATGAATAACTATTATATATTTGTTTTCGAGGTGTGTGGGTTGGCTCAAAAGACAACTTTTGCCAGCTTCACCTGTGGTTGTAAGCTCATTAGAATTCCAATATCCATGAAGGACTAGAGGAATCCTAGTACCTTTGAGCAATATGGCTTGATTTTCCTAGCCAAAGACTTTAATTCAAAGCTCTTTTATAAATAGTACTGTCAACTGGTTTATTTCCTTCCTCTGTTACAAACAATAACATATTAGTTATGTTATGGAAATATCAATGTTCTAAACTTTCTTTATTCACCCTTTTTGGAATACTAGATCCTTTAGAGGAATCATTTATTTTGGTGTTTCTTCTTAAGAAAAAAAAAGTCCACACTTACTGATTGCTGTGAGGATAGAAAAGCCAACTCTATCGTTTGTTCATACTATCTGTTTAATATAGAAGCAGTAATCCCGGAAAAAAATACTTTTAACATTTGCTTACAAACATTGTTTAGAAAACAGTTTGCGTTTAAAGTATCAAATATTAGAGAATCTACTTGGTTAATATTTTTGAGATCTGCTACTTTGTCACATTTTTTTTTTTTTCAACCAGAGACTTTGGCTTTCTCATCAGTTCTTCATTAAAAGTCCCTGGATTGCCTTAAAGTGCAATCCCTTAGACAAATTTGGTTGCCTTTAAAAAAAACACCAGCAACAGAAAACCCAGTAGGAAAACAAGCATTATTCTAGAAAGCAGCAACCCTGGAAAGACAGTTTTGTTAGTGGAAACACATTAGTCTTTCACAAACTAAGCAATGATGATATTTACAGAGCAGTTTGTAAAAGGTCAAACGCTCATCTTCTGCCAACAAATGCAAGGAAAAGCAGGTACTCCGGCAGGTTTTTCAAGCAGGGATCTGTGGACACGTTTTCAGGAGTCTGAGACTTTCAGGATATTTAAGATAATTTTAATAGTTTTGTTTCAATAGCAGAGTAAAGATGTAAAAACTCAACCTTTTAGCAGTTCTAAAGACGGAACTTTTCTTTGCAGTGATAATTCTCAAATGTAAGCCATTTTAATAGAATAAGATTCTAATTTTTAGGTCAGCATTTCTCAAAGTGGACTCCACTGACGTGTTGTGGGGTTTCTGAAGATGATTCTATCCTTCCCAAGGGTGTCCAGGCATTATTCAAGTTTGAGAACCGGTGCTCTGCGGCGTGAACCGTTCCGTGCTGCAGAAAGGGCCGGCAAAGGCAGAGGGCGCCACCGTGAGGCCCCCATTTCAACGCTTGTCATTTCAATTGTGGTGGGTTAGAGATCACAGGGAAGCAATGCTATCTGCTGAAGAGACATCAGACAGTGTAGTAAAAAGGGTAATCCATTTATTTTCAGAGAAGTTTTCCACTCAGAGATCATACACGCTGCAGATCACAGAAACACATGCAAGCATGAAATTTAATTTTTAGTAACTCTTTCCTGGGGCTTCTATAGAAAGCAACAGTGAAAGGAAAATGATAATCATGACAAGGCAATTACAGAGAGGTTTGGGGAAAACGAAAAACTTTGAAAACATGTAGTTTAAAATTGCTTTAATTAAAACATAATGCAAGCTGCATTATTTTAGCTCAAAAAACCAAAGTCAACATCACAGAGACAACACTTTTAAACTTTGAAATAGTTGAGAATGATAGATGCACGTTTTTTCCCAGAAGTGATTTTTTTCCCCTAGTGATTCAGAATCTATAAATGTGATAAATATTGACTTACTGGGCTCCCAACAGATGGAATGAAACATGTAGTAAAACAAAAGCAATACACTTGTGTTTTGGCATGAAATGAGTGAGAGATTAAGCTGAGGCTTCCCTGTATTATTAAGAGGAAACAAAGTGGATAATATTAATGTTTATGCACAACTGCATGCCATTTGCAGCAAATAAATATGGCAAACTCGAAAAAGAAGAAAAGAAATAAAAAGACCCAACCATTCTTTTTTTCCCAGGGCAATTATTCCCTTTCCTTTAATTTTCAAAAAAAATTAAAGGAAAATATTTTTTAATTACTGAAAAACAATAATTAAAAAGTTTCTATTCTTCTTAAGTTTTCTGACCACTCCTTTTGATTGCATGTTTTCAAGTATACACTGAGTGCACATTTATTTCAAAAGAAAATTATGATTTGGCTTGTCTAACAGTGCTAAGAAGGAATACTAATACAGTAAAATACTGACTTGAATTCCTCAATACTTACTTAAACACCTCCAAGACAGGATGGCATTTTTCCTGAAGGTAAAAGGTACAAAGCAATGAAAATTCAAATTGTAGAAGAACTATTTCATAACTATGACATGATATTGTCATACTAACACATAGGTGATTTTCCTCTATAAAAAAAAATCTTTGGAAAGAATTTTTAGCTGAAATATGGGCCAAAATGGCAAGTTTTCCTTGAAAGCACCAGATGAAATAATATTTTATAAATACATATATATATATGTATATATAAAATGTAAAAATCCAATTATCAATGTTTTGGTTTTGGTTGTTACCTTTTGTTGCAATGATATAATGCTCTCTAGGGCCAGTGTAAAGAAGCGAAGATCAAAGAACTAAATTCTTACATGTCAGGTTTTCCAAACCATCATCACTGCAACAAAATAATTTGTCAAATTGTCAAAATTTACAGGCATCCCAGACACAGGAAATTTTGACCGAGTTTGTGCCTTCACACAGTGCTAATCTCACTCCCGGAGCTGTAAACATGATGGCCGAAGTGACAGCCTGGCTACAAATCCGTCTGGCAGCTTCATTAGACATCTCTCGCCTGACTGATTAAACTGCATTTAAGACCCACTTTTATTTTTTCAAGCCTTTTGTTTAAATTAAAAGGTCGTGTTTTCAAGCAAATGATCCGCTGTTCCCTTCCATCCAGGACCATAATACAGTTACATTATTACTAGTGTTACCCAAAGGAGAGTGAGTCAGATGCCCTGCACACCAGCCAGGGGCTCCTCCCCTGGGGAAGCCGGGACACTGGGGAGGGGGACTGTTTATTTATTTGCAGAAGAACCTAGTGAGGAGGCCTGGCTGGGGAACATTGAAGGCGTCATCAAAGTCCTAATGGCCTCCTAATGGGAAAATTTGGGGTTCAATATTAAGGACATACCAGCAATTTCAACAGTCATCCTTTAAAATTGTAGCAGTAACTTTATCTTGAAGTGGATGCCTTTTCACAAATCTTGATATTTTATCACTGTCCATGCTTAAAAAAACAACTAAAAAGTCAGCTTTCTAAGAACCCAGATCGCTGCATCAAGAAAATATAATGGAAACACATGCTACACTGTAAATAATATTTGCTAACTTTTGCTGTAATGTATCAGGAGGTTCATATTATAAATAAAACAGAGGGCAGCTCCACGCTCCTGAGCCCCTATTGCAGGCATTCAAGCCAAACAAGGAAAAATGCAGGAAACTTCACTGATTCTTTCCTGTGGTTTTTCTGTTGGTGTGTGTGGCAAATACAGAAGAGGCGTCTGAGAAATAAACCATTCCTGAGCTGTCTTAACTTCATGGGCAACCACTAAAGACTGTTTCCCATACATTTCACAGCAGGCACAAGAGCAAGAATATGGGCCAGGCGCAGCGGCTCACACCTGTAATCCCAGCACTTTGGGAGGCCGAGGTGGGTGGATCACGAGGTCAAGAGTTCGAGACCAGCCTGGCCAACATGGTGAAACCCCCGTCTCTACTAAGAAGACAAAAATTAGCCGGTGTGGTGGCGCATGCTTGTAATCCCAGCTACTCGGGAGGCTGAGGCAGGAGAATTGCTTGAACCCTGGAGGTGGAGGTTGCAGTGAGCCGAGATCACGCCGCTGCACTCCAGCCTGGGTGACAGAGCAAGACTCCGTCTCGGAAAAAAAGAAAAAAAAAAAAAAAAACAAGAATCTAAAAACTAAAGACTGTGGTTCCAGGGAAATCTGCCTAAATACAAGAGAGGGAGAAACTATTTGCTTGCAGCCTTGTTTGTGCCTTTGCCTCGCAGGGTTTGTCCTGTTTATAGTGTTTGTCTTTACTTCGTAATGTATTTACCATGCCTCAGTGTGAGACCAATGCCTTTGTCATGTGTTGATAAAACAAGCGAAGTCAGGATGCATTGACACAGGTAGTGGGATTGATCCTGGAAACTAAAGTCTTATTTCCTAGTGCTGATATTTCTCATTTGTTTGTTATAGAATTTTAAGCTTTTATCTGTTATTAAATTCTATGCAAAATTGATTTTTGGATTAGATTTCAACTCCTTTTTTTTTTTTTACATTTTCAATTGTAATTAAATCCTCCATAATCATCAAGGGTTGAGTAGAACTGGTGTTGGCAAACTCCTACTGAGCATCAGTAACTCAGTGTGAACAAGGTTAGTGAACCATATTAAAGGAATAGTATTGCCTTTTCATTTTCATTTCAATGAGATTCAACTTATAATAAATATATTTGCATACTGATACTGCAAATAAAATCCAAAAATTACAAACACACACACACACACACACACACACACACACAACAATAACAACAACACATAGACATTTTCACATACTTGGAATGTAAACAATTTCCCAATCTTCAAGAACATTGCTAGACTGTCTATACCAAAAAGCCCAAGTTCTTGAACTGCATTCATGTAAGCCTATTCGAGGGAGACTGCTCCCAAAGATGTGTAGGAAGTTTATACATGGGCACTGATGAGAAAAGAGAATCGACATTTTGAACTTTAGTAACTTTTCCAATGTTCGTTTCATTTCTTTAATTTGATGTTGAACAGTAAGACAAGATAAAAAGCCTGCTAATAGAAAATGAAATTTGGTTCAAGTTATCAAGTTGTTAAATCTGAATAGTATAAATAAATTTAAATACACTATTTTAAAAAATGATTCTGGCACCTGAAATTTAAATTAATAATGAAAATATATTCTTTGAAAGATACAGAATTTCAAAATATAGTGATCTCATTGCAAATTTCATTAATTGAAAAATTAGCATTTCCCAGCAAGCTCTTAAAACAAAAAATCTCTGTAGAAGGTATTCTAACATATAAGCTAACTTAGGATATCTTGAGATGTTACATGAGCATGTCCCTATTAGTTTTAAGCAGCACAAACTAAACCTTAAAATTGATTTTAAATTGCTTAAATAAAGAAATATGTAAGGTGTTCCTGTACCTAGTAAGTATTTATTATGTTGGTTGTTGTTATTGAGTTATTTGAGTAGTTTTTGATAACTGTCTGACCACTAATGATCAAAGTAATTGATATTCTGCAACTTCTATTCCTGATCCAATACTTCAATAAGCCAGTCATTACCTATCTAAAGCAAACAAATAAATAAATGAAAGCAAATAACTTTAATTTTTCAGATATGAAAAGCTTAATTAAAATTAAGTTAATGTCAACAGTTTTAGATGCAAAAATATTCCCCAAAATGATTGTCAAATTGATGGGGAGAAGGGGAGATATTTTGCTAGCCTTTCCTATGTTTTTACTCTGAAAAAAAGAACCTATTTTTCCATTTGAAAATCTCTACCAAGTGGGTCAAACCCAAATAACTAACAATTTGTTCCATTCATTAATCATGTAAGCTCTAAAGATGTGCTTTTGAAAAAAGTATATTAATATTGATGGACACATTTGGCAAAGCAAGATCAGCTATATACAAAAGCCATTTTAAACAGCCTCTTTAATAAGGTGGGAGACGAAAAATACCAGTGCACAAGAGTATGTGTTTAATTAGGAGGTATGCTGTATTTAGGAACATTCTAATGAATAATAAATGATGTTTTATTTCCTGTGTCTTAGACACAAAGCCAAATAATCAAGAATCAAAGCAACTCCAAGTATTAGGTAACAATCAGTAAACTTGGGCAAGATTCTTTTTCCCTCTCAAGTTTAATTGGCTCATTGTTCCCAGGAACTATAAACCATGGGGTTGGTGGCAGTGCCGAAGTTTACTTCTATAAAGGAAGATTAACATATTCTGGAACTTTACACTAATCCTTGTTTTGAGTTAACTCAAGCAGATTGGATTAGTAATTCTTACCTACCACCCACTAGAAGGAACCCCAGCCTCTTTTCTTTGACAACCAGTGGTATTGTACACCTTCTGTGCATTATCTCCCACTGAAAACATTCTCCAGGAAGAAACTGTGTTAAAGGAGAAAGAAATTGTTTTACACGAGGGGGCAAGAACCAGGCTTCTCAAAGCTGAAGCAGGTTGTTTGTCTATTATCAGCTTGGTGCACATTTGGTTAATTCAGGCAGTGGTGGGTATTCTGAGAAGTTCATTAAACATTTCCTCATCAGTGAATTGGCTTTTCTCTTCTCCTCGTTTGGGGAGGGCTGCTGCCCAGAGGCAAGAGAAAGGCCTCCTCCCTTCAAGCCCTCCTAGAACCATTTCTGGCTCCTTTCTTTTCCTTGGATTCTCTCAACTCTCAGATATGAACCAGAAGTAAACTGAACAATTCTCTAGGGAAATGATTATTTAGCCCTGTTCTTATTAATACAATTACCTTATATTCCTATTGATGTGAAGTCGTTATAGAAAGAATACAAACAAACAAAAAAATCAAGTTCTGCTGAGATGCCTTTGGCCTGTAGGTTCAGATCCCCACAGGCCTATGTCTGTTGGCACGTGCCTGAAGAATTTTGATTTTGCATTTTTGAATAAATGGCTTAACATCCCTTTTTATTCCTATCTTTAACTTTCTAACAATCTTAAACTGTGACCACTATTCATGATCTACCTCCATTCTGTAAAGAACAAAACCATAGAAATCCACTGCTGTCCTCGTTTTCGTGGTAGCTTTTGCTACAGAGCAGCCAGCTGGCCCTTTTGTAATGCTAGGACATAGTCAATCACTGTTTTAATATTAAACATTATTAGAAGCAGGTAAAATATTTCATTTTTTGTTCTATGAGTGAAAAGTCTAAATATGAATTATTGTTTTACTTCAAATAACCAATACAATGTATTTGAAGCAGAATTGCCAAGAAGTTGATTTTAAAAATTAAAATGATGTTTAAAATTACTTTACCCCATTCCTTTACATGAATTCCAGCCAAGTGAAAACAACTGCCTACTAAATATTAAATAGGGAATAATGATCTATGATTTTGAGGAATTTGAAAGAGACAAAGAGAGAGATAATTACTTAGCATCCACTTGGAGCCAACAACTAGCCTAAGCAATTTATATACAATTTTGTGTAAAATAGACATTAGTTTTCCCATTACACAGATGCAGAATCTGAGAGGTTAGATAGCATCCCCAGAACAATATGGTGAGCATGAGGATTTGAACCCAGGTTGATGGGACTCCAATACTCATATTGTTTTAGTACCAAATATCTTGTTTCACATAGTATCATTTTGAGAGCTATAAGTTCATAAGATAAGAACAATAATTAGCATACAAATGAACTTGACTAACATTCTGGCCACCCAGCAGATGACACTGGCCAAAGGAATGAGAGGAAGGAGAGGCAGGACTGAGAGGTGAGCTTTGAGCAAGACCCTCACCTAAAAGGGCAGGCCTAGGTAGGACTTGAAACAGCCTTAACAGCCAAGGTCACCTATGGTAATGAATACCTAGAAATGTTATAAAGAGATCTCCCAATGTGGACATGAGGGCTTCAAGAAGGAACATCACCTGCTTCTAAATTGTGCTTCCTCATCTTTTCCTTCCCCCAACCTTCCCAACACTGGTCAATCTCAGCCAGGAAACCAGCCCGGCCATCCTCCTGGCCTTTAAAGGAAAGTCATAAAGAAGTCAGAGCCCAAAGCCCAGACCCCCTCCACACTACTCTGTTTTGCCTCTTACTACTGCCTCGATCCTGTTTTCACCGGCTCAGAAATCTTGATCCAATGACACCCTTTCCATCCCTCCAGGCACTCTGCGGTCTTCTACCGTAATGATAAATTATATAGTTACCGTCGCTGTTGGGTGAATACACACTTACACACACACACATTACTGTCAGCCAAACTCTAGCCTTCCTTAAAGAAATGCCTTCCAAACAACCCTGAGCAGGACATAGACGTTTCTGTGCAAGGTAAAAGGAGTGAATAGATTCTAATCTTTCCTCAGGCATCATGCACAGTGAAAGGAGTGGGAGAAAGCAAGTGTTACCTTTATTTTTATTTTCTTTTTCATTACCTCCTATGTGTTAGCCAGGGATGACAGATAGGTTTCCACTGGGCAGTCATCCCCAGCAAGTGGCAAGGTCCGTGGAAGCCTCCTGTGGCAGAGGGTAAGCCTCTGCTCATCCTCAATTGCACAGTGCCACAGCGACCTCCCCCCTGCCCCCCGCCCCACAGCGCGCCAGCAGTCTGCAGGAGGAAGGAGCACTGGCTTAGTTCTGCTGGCAAAGACAGGCTAGGTTTCAGAGTGTCCTTTCCATACTACATTTCAAAACTTCAGCTTTGTTTAAAAAACTTTGTTATTTGTCTTAGTCCTTTCTTAGTCCAAGAAAGGACTAAGATGTTTCCCCAATATTTTTTTTTGGTCCCTGTTCATGGAGAGAATTATCTGACATTGCAACCAAACAAATTTTCTTTCTTTTTACTATCCTGTAAATGCTGAAGTCTATAGAATATTCCTTTAATATGCATCAGATTTCCCAATCTATTAGTCAAGATTTGTTGGGTGCTAGCAAAAGAGATCTAAGTCAAGCTAGTGTAAGCCTTAAAAGGTATTTGATCTGCTCTCTTAAGTGAAAAGTCCAAATTCTCTTTTAAGTAATTTCAGGCACAGCTAAATCCAGGAGCAAATGTCATTTAAATTCTGTCTCTCAGATTTACCTTCGACTATATGTGAGCCCCATTCATTCTGCTTTGCAAATGTCCTTCCTTAAAGGGCCTGGGGAAGATGGCTCACAGAAGTTCCCAAACACACACACATACATGTTCACACACTAAATAGGGAAGAAATACTAGAATTGCCAAATGACATGCCATATTTCATTCATTCTAGAACTTCTTCCTTCTTTTCTTCCTATTTCTCCTTCTTTCTTTTCTTTTTTCCTTCCTTCCGTCCTTTCTTCTTTTCTTTAATTTTTTCAGCATTTAACATCTCTGCAATCAGAATATACCTTAAACTTGCTGTCACCAGATGGCAGTTGAGACACTACTCAAACATGTTCTCTACCCGAACACACTGTCTTTACCTGAACATGTTCCTCTGAACTTGCAGAATGGATGTCAGTGGCTTAGGAAAAAGCCCCAGAGACTGTAATACTCTTTTCAGAAATACTTCATCACTGATAATCTTGATGAGAATATTGGGTGGAAAAACATGCGTAACAACAACTGCAAGTCCAAAAATAATTCAGAATTGAACACTGCCTGTAAAGAAGTATTAGAAGTACCATTAGTTTTGCTTACATTTTATTTTTACTTATACACAAGGTAAGATATTACAGAAATTGGTGTCACTATAAGTCTAAAAGAGCACTTTCAGTAAATAAAAAATAAAATTTCGTAATGATGCAGCTTAGCACAAATGAAGCAAGTGATGTCTACAAATCCATATCCATTTTCTGTTCACTAGAACAGAATTGTAGACAAGTCCCAATTCTGAGCTGATGGAAGTATTGTTTTATGTCATTACAACACTATTTATGATCTTCATTTTATCTACACATGAAATTGTGGGTAAGGAGATAACAGAGTTTCCTAAGGATGGTATAGCAGAAAACATGCAGACCTAAGAGAAAGAACCCAAGATTCTTGAGTTCCAAGCCTAACTCTAGCTGGAAATCATAGGGAATTCACTTAACCTATCTGGGCTTTACCTAACCTTATCTGTAACAGAAATTGAATAATCACTAAGATCTCATCTGGTTATAATATTTTTAAAACTAACAATATAATATACTTACTATAAAAACCTAGTGTTCTTATTTTAGAACTCCATGAATTATTTTAGAATGCGTTAAGTATAACTGTATCACACACGAAAGTGTAATAATTCATGTTATCCCAAAACATTAAAAGAAACGTGTGTTAAAGCTAGCAACACCCACGGTTTTTCCTAAATACATCAAAATAGCACAAAATATCAGGCTAAACATTATTCAACATTTCTTTTTTATCTGTCCATGCTAAACACACTGAAATATCCAGTGTGTTAATGAGTTTAACATTATTGGGCCACGTCAGGAAACGCTGACTCCTGACTCTAGGTTATTTGTTCAGTAGGTTGATTTTTGTCTGAACAGAAAAGAGTCAATCAATTTCTTAATTTCTTCCCAAAGAAGCAAGAGAAGGAAGTGGTTACCCAGGAAGCAGACCAGACCAAAGGTGTCCCACAGCTAAAAATTGGAGTTCAAAGGAAAAGCAGCTTGATGTTCAAAATTACGCAAAAATAGAAGCTGAAGTTTCTGTTAGAGCACAATGCAGACTAAGTATTCAGCCTATAAAAGTCTCCCAACCCAAGAAACAAAAGAAGAAAATACGCGATAAACAGCAATAACAGCAGCTCTAACGAGCCTGGGTGTCAGCTCCTGTATGGAATATCAAGGCAATCATTCTTAATTTCGTTCTAGTTTTCTCTTACTCATTTCTTCTTATCACATCTGCAGAGAAACCCCATGCTGTTTGTACCTCTGATTTCTGCATAACATATAAATAGTAAGAAGCAGAAAAGGGAAGAAAACCAAAAACCTTCACTAAGCTCCGGGAGTCCAGTATTTGCTAAATGTGTAACAGAGCCTCCTTAGCAGTTTCTTTTGGTGAGGAAATGGACACAGTAAAAAAGTTGTCCAGGGCTGCAAAAGGAGTAAGTACCTAGAACAAGAATAAGTCTCAGATTCCTGAGCCATTGATTAAATGCAAAATTGAGCTTTCATTTCAACAATGACTGCATCAGGACTTTCACTAGCACAAGATAATTTTGGTATAAACATAAGAAAAGTTTTTCTAATATGAATATGTAAGATGGTAGAGTGTGCTACAGAGGGAGAAAAAGCAACCTCTGCCTTTTCAGAAGTATCAGCTAATATATTCATTCCATCGAACCACTGCTGATGTGGTACCCTTTTAATACTTTTAGACATGGAAGTACTTTATTCCCACTCATCTCCCTGACTGCTTCTTTCTAGTTTCCTTCAATAACTCTTACTTCCTCTTACTGTTCTGACATTCCCCTGTGTCCCAAAGTACTTTGTCTATGTTACTTCCAAACTGTTCCCCAAACTAAACATAACACTCTAAGAGTGGTCTGACCAAGAAAAAAGAGAATAGTTCCAGGTGGGTCCCTTTTTATCTGCACTAAAGTATTAATGCAACCAGTACTTCCTTTGTTGTTCATTTTATTGCTAATCTTTACTTCATTTTGATGTCAATACGAATACCTGAAACACTCACATGCTATTATGTCACAATTTCCCCAGACTATACTTGATGTTATTTTTTGGACCCAAGTACAGGACTTTACATTTTTCTTATTAAATTCCTTCTTGTTAGATTTGGCCCATTTAGATATTCTAAAATTCTGATTCTGCTATCCAGCAGATAGCTTTTCCAATGAGCTGCAGGCCATTTGCAAATGTGATTAGCATCCCAGCTACATCATCATCCAAGTTATTGATAAAAATGGTAAGAGCAGACAAGAGAGCCTGGCAACACAGCAGTCTAAACCTTCCTCCAGGGTAACATTCATGTTAGTGCCTGTGTCAGTCGAGGTCCAACCAGGAAAACAGAAACCACCCTGAGCATTTAAAACAGAGACAATTTAATACAGGGGAGCTGTTTCACAGAAAACGGAAGACCTGAGAAGCCAAACAGGGAATGATAAGGCAACCCAGAAAGCAGCCAGAGCGGGAAGCCACTGTCACTCATAGGCTGGCATAACCAAGTGAGCAATGTTAGATGAACCCATCAGCAAAAGGTTAGAGCCAAGCAGGAGATGCAGCCATGCTAGCCTTCCCCCTGTTCGGCTTTGTTTGATCAGTTACTAATGGATTGTTTAATCAGTTACTAATGGATTGTTCTTGAATCCAAGATGATTTCTCCATCTTGTTTGTAAGAAAATAAGGAAAGAATTTCTTAGGTGTCTTGGTAAAGTCCAATTCTGTAATATTGGCCCTATTTAACTTAATCTAGCACACTGATAGTCCCACTAAATGAAGAGATAAGACTACTCTATAATAACTCAGTTTTAGTGATTCTTTGCTTTCTCATTTAAATCTACACAAATTATTATTCTATATGCATGTTAGCAAACTATAGCCTATAGGCCGAATCTAGCTCATCATTGATAAAGTTCATTGAACACAGACATATTCATTTCTACATTGTCTATGGCTGCTTTCACACTGTAAAGGCAGAGTTGAATCATTGTGACAGAGACCATATGGCCTACAAGGCCCAAAATATCTACTATCTGATCCTTTACAGAAAAAGCCAGCCCTTGGTTTATACTTCGCAGACTCCATCTGCTTCTATCTTTTAAACAACAGACTATTTCTCATCTCTACTCTTTTTGCTCCTCTCTTGTTTTCTATTCTACCTCTATCATGGTCAATCATGGTTGTTATGGACTGAATATTTGTGTCCCTCCAAAATTCATATGTTAAAATCCTAACCCCCAATGTAATGGTATTGGGAGCTGAGGCTTTTGAGGGGTGATTAGGTTATGAAGGCAGAGCCCTCATAAATGAGATTAGTGCCTTTATAAGAGGGGACATGAGAGAGTTTGCTTCTTCTCTGTCTCCCTCCCCTCTGTGAGGATACAAGAAGATGAATATCTGCAATCAGAAAAGAGGCTTTTACCAAGAACCTCATCATGCTGACACTCTCATCTTGGACTTTAAGCCTCTACAACTGTGAGAAAAAGAGATGGTGTTGTTTAAGCCATTCAGTTTATGATAATTTGTTATAGCTGCCCAAACTGACTAAGGCAGTGGTTGATTAATATTGTTTTCTCTTTTTCCCTGGGAGACCTGAAAATGTTCCCACAATGGCCTGCAAAGGCCTACACAAACAGGTCCCTCATTACTTCTCTAACCTCATTACCAACCCCTTACACTTCATCACTCCTGTTAGATTCCAGCTTGTTTGGGTTGGTCCATTGAGACGTTTGTAGGTTCTGATTCTCTTTCCTGCTAACTCCTAGGACATAGCAGGCGCAACCCACCTCAGGGTCTTTGCACTTAGTGTTTTCTTTGCCTGGCGAGCTCTTGTCCCAGATATCTACATTAATGGCTCCCATACTCCTTTGCTGAAGTGGCACTTCTCAGTGAGCTTTTTCCTGACTTTCCTATTCAAAATTGCCATCACCATCGTTTTCCCTGTACCATTCACTCAAAACCTTCTCTGCTTTACTCTTCTCCAAAGCACTTGTCACCTTCTGACACAATTATTTGCTTATTTTCTGCTCTTTCTCCAAATCCCACTAGAATGTAAACTCCAGGGGGACAGGGTTTTCGTCTTGTTCGTTAATGAATGTATCTCCAGCACGTAGAACAATGTGAGGCAAATAATAGGCATGCAATATATATATATATATATATATATATATATATATATATATATATATATATTTTTTTTTTTTTTTTTTTTTTTTTAATGAATGAAGGTCAAGACACTAACTCATTTAGAACAACTGGCTACTCTCTTGTCATCTCTTCAATCATCTCAGGTTCGCTTGACTGTCATCTTCTGCAAGCAGGGAGAGCAGGTAAAGAATTATGCCTGCAATTGGATCAGCAAAGAGAGAACTTCCATATGGCAAGAAAAAGAGTGAATCGTTAAGGTTCTATTGGAATTTGCATACAAGTAAATCACCAAGGAGTCTTCAGTCAACCTTTTCAAAACTGACATTAAAGCACTTTGAAAGATCCATGTCTGGAGACTCTAGGTAACAACTCTATTTTTCAATTGCCATTCTACTTGTCCGTCCCCTGCCCCAACCCATGGCTCTCCATTAATAAAGTTGCTATAACTTAACCCTACGTTAGTATAACCAGCATATCTGAGGAGCTCTGAAAATTTTGTTATAGTCCATTGCACCACAGAAAGCCTTTCCAGCACCTAAGAAAGAAGTGACGTTTATTCACATCTATTCCTCTCTCTTCTCAATTCATGAAGAGGTCTTGGCACGACAAGAATCATAAAACCCCAAACTCTTCACATGCAGTAAGTCTTGTCAGGGGTCTGATGAAATGTGACTGGTCTAAATAAATTTGATTGGGCAAACTATTTTTATTTCACTGTCAGCCAATATCAGGGGCTTCAGGGCTGTTTTATTGATCAAGTTGACTTTCTAACATTTTGAAATCTGCATAACTACTCAATATTGCATTTTTTTTTCAGTGTGAAGTTTTTTCCTGGACTTCTTGAATCTAAACCTTTAGCACGATTGAGATTTTTGCACATCCTTAAAGTTAGCATTTTATTTGTTTATTTGTCTTAAATAAGCCTTTACTTTTAGAATATCACTTCTTTATTCTAACACTTGCCTGTCCTTACTGTTGTTAAGTTTGTAGATCTTTCTCATTTTTGAATTTTAAAATTATATCTCTTTTTATATTACTATATTGAAACATTTTACAAGTATTCAGATAGTTAAAACATTAAGATCTGTAAGATAATGTCATTGTTATTCTAAAATTAAACATGAAAGTATTCTGCCAAAGAGCCTTTGTTCTGAGTCTCTGGGAAGATGAGAAGCTCACAAAAGTGAACTATTAAATGATCTAAGCTATTTCCAACCATTCTTTAGTTTCAAACCCACTGCTGATTATTTTTAAATATTTTTATAGTTCATAAAAAATAATTAAATGTAAGGTTTCATTGTACTTCTAGTGCTAACCTAAAACTGTTTCAAATGACCTTTATTTTATTATTTCACAACGGCCTTTTGTTCTGGGTTTTTCCATCTGTTTGCTAAGCATTTTTCAATGGAAGTCTCAATTAGAAGAAAAAAGGGAGGGGGGGACAATTATTTAATTCAAAAATTAATTCGGAGATCAGGCAACTGACTTAGGCTCATGCCAGCAACTTAAGGCTTTTCAGCTTTGGCCACATGATCCAAAGGAACTGAGCAACAACTGTCTAGCTGCTTTAATCCTCCTTAATTTGAGTGCAAAGAAACTCACATGTGTTTCTAAGAACATTGTTGGAGTACAAGAAGTCCATTTCTGGGGGACTCCATCTAATGCCCTTGTTTTGCTGATCTCACTGTATTGTAAATTAATTTTTAAACCGCACATAAGCAGAGAGTGAGGTGGGGTTGGGAGTGGGGAGTCGCTAAAAGCAAGGCTGTGTCCCGTGTTGTTAAAACAACTACTGAAGGAGCCTTCAAAGACTTTCTTCATACCATGACATGAGTTTTCTTTATGTTGCGATAAAGCTGGGCCCAGTCATGAGAAAGACAAAAGTACGCACTGCTCCCCCTAACTTATCTCCGAGAAGCTGGTGAAAGGCGCCGGAGAGCACAGCCTGGCAGGCTGCTTCTCTTCCTTTGTGTGGAACCCTCTGGGTTCACTGGCATTTAGGGGAACTTAATTAAAATCCATGGATAATTTTCCAGGAAGTAGATTAAACTTTAATGGTGAATGCGTTCTGTTAAGAGACTTTAATTCTCTCTGACTTGTTTAACTTGGGAGGGGAAAAGCCTAAAGATTGAAAACTGGTGTGTTTTCTATGCATTTTAAGTCTGCAGAGATGATGGGCAACTGAATTCTCAAAACTTTTTATCTGGGGTTTCCTCATCAAAATGGAAAGTCAGAAAACCAGATGGGGCTGGACCTTGCTGGACAAAATTGCGGAGCAGGTGTTTCTGTCTCCAGTGCCCCCTGTTTCTGCTTTCTTCAGCCTTCTTCCCCCTTGGTTCCCATCTCCAGCTCTTGAAAGAACCTCCCTCCCTGTGCAAAAATCCTCCCTCCTCCTTCATCCACACACAGCCAAACTTACTCTCTAGAAAGAGTTGGATCAAACCATTCAAACCAAGGAGTAAACAATAATTAATGTATACTGTCTCTTGCTTTCTGCCAGTCACCAGTCTAAGCACTATACATGGATTGTCATTTGATTCTCACAGGAAACTTGTAAGGTAGGCATTATTCTTACGCATATTTTAAGGACCAGGATTGAGATTTGCCAGAATTCACACAAGGATTCCAACCCAGGAAGTCTCATCAAAAACTTGTTCTCTTCATCATACAACTCTATAATTATGCCTTAGTGTATGGATAGTAGATGGCTGTTAGCACTTAATGGTTTGCTTCTCCCAGAGTGGTTGCATTTGACTAGGGAACACAGCCTTAAACAAAAGCGCAAAGCTGTAATTGTGTATGTTTCTAATCTGTGGAGCCTAACTGAGGCCCCCAAAACCCAGTCCTGGAAGCAGTTGCCATTGGCCTTCATGTACACTAATGAGTCAATGTACATGAAGATGTACATTTGGAGATGGAATTAAATAATATTCATAAACCTATAACACAGAGTTGGTAAGAGTTAAGATATTCAGGGAATCCCAGTCCTCTTGGTTATATGAATCTTCAGTCACGTAATCCAACTTCTTACCCAAGCAGGATGTTTCTTTCCGAATCCTTGAAAGATAGTCTTTAAGCCTCTTACTTCCAATGCCAGAGAGCTCATTGTACGCCTCAGCTGACTGATCTTCACTAATTGTTAAAATGTTCTTATTCGTACTGAATGCAAACCTGCCTTCCCTGTAAGTCTCACCTGCATGGAGGGTAAGACAAACAGGAGAGCTGCTTGCCTCCGCGGTCCTCAGACCTTCCCAAATAAAATGATACCCTCAAGGGCACTATCATGAATGAGAGGGAACACAAGTTGACTCAGGATTAAAAACCCCAAGAGGCCAGCCCCACCAGCAGCAGCTCTGAGGATGAAATTTTTACCAAATTTTACCATTTTCCACAGCAATTACATAGTTAGGGAGCCTAATTCTGGGGGCTAGTCGTTTAATCTCCCCCAAACCACCTGACATCCAGTCTCCCTTCCATTCCTCAATCCACAGCCTAAATCATTTGACCTTGACAGCTTCTCCCCCTGTTATCTACCCCTCCCCGATCCTGGCTTCCAACGACTCAAAAAAACAGAGCAAAGTGGGATTCATGTGTCGAGTGCTGTGGTGTGTATATTTTGATAATGGTGACCTGATTTCAAAGGCCCAAATGATTTGAGGCTTTCAATATGTGATTATTTTCAAAACTCATGGCTGTATTTTAAAAAAAAAAGTTAGCCACTCTGATGAAAACAAACAGCAAATCAATAAGAAACTGCCTTTAACAAGCAGATTGTGAGGTCAGGAGTTCGAGACCAGCCTGGCCAATATGGTGAAACCCTGTCTGTACTAAAAATACAAAAATGTGCCTAACGTAAAACTTAGCCGGGCATGGTAGCACACACCCCTCGTCCCAGCTACTCAGGAGGCTGAGGCAGAAGAATAGCTTGAACCTGGGAGACGGAGGTTGCAGTGAGCCAAGATCGTGCCACTGCACTCCAGCCTGGGCAACAGAGTGAGAATCTGTCCCAAAAAAAAGAAAAAAGAGAAAGAAACTGTCTTTAAGATATGGATAAGGAAAAGGAACATTCTATGAATGAGCTATCTGCCCAAAAAAGCAAGTTTAGTGTGCTTCAAGTTTGATAAGCTGATTTCTGGAAACTAGGTAGGTTTATTAAGGGAGGACGGTTTTGTTCCTCCTGAAACTGTTATTATGAAAGGCTGAGAGGACAAGAGGGACTCACCACTTGGCCTCCAAACTCAGACCCAGGGTTTTACCTAGTCCAAGAGGTAGCCCTGGCACTGGGCCAGGTATTCAGCCTTATGTACAAACTCAGCTGATGAAGAAGTGCCACTCAAGTAATTAAAACACGATAGGAGAAGAGACAGGAAGGGCTGGATTCTCTCCAGTGTTGATGACAGCCAAGTTCTGGGCCGTTGCCTAAAATGGCTATCCCAAGGAAAAAATCAGTAAAAAGTTCCAACATTTTGTGATTATATTTTGGGTATGCTGAGGAGAGATTAAATCAGAAGGTTTCATACTTTTTTTTATTATTATTATTTCAATTTTGATTCTTGATATTTTACCCATTTTTTAAATGATTGGATAGCAGAAGGAATCAGCACATAGACCTTAAGTTATCCAAGCTAAAGGTCATAGTGTGTTAGAAAAAGCAATGACTAGGAGTTAGAAGGCAGTTTTCAAGTCTCAACTTCAACACAATTAGCTGTGATCTTGAGTAAGTCACTTAAGCCTATGAACTTCTATGAGAGAAGGACTTCAAGACCTCTTACATGTCTTCTAATTTAGTTTTGCCATGCCACGTAACAGCTTGCACCAAAAAAAGATTTATCTATCTAGGTCAGGCGCGGTGACTCACGTCTGTAATCCCAGCATTTTGGGAGGCCGAGGCAGGCGGATCACCTGAGCTCAGGAGTTTGAGACCAACCTGAGCAACATGGTAAAACCCCGTCTCTACTAAAAATACAAAAATAGCCGGGCGTTGTGGTGCGCACCTATAATCCCGGCTACTCAGGAGGCTGAGGCAGGAGAATCGCTTGAACCTGTGAGGCAGAGGTTGCAGCAAGCCAAGATTGCGCCACTGCACTCCAAGCCTGGGGGACAGAGCAAAACTCTGTTAAAAAAAAAAAAAAAAGTGTTTTATCTATTTATATATCCATACCTATATCTATTTGACTCTCTGTAAAGTGGTACAGTGTAGTCTCAGTTTCACTGTGTTTCCAGGCACAGCCAGCAAAGGACTTTAAAACTAAAGTGTCAGTGTTGGAGAGAAGGCAGAAATGTATGAATGACCTACTGAATGGTAGGTCTTAAAATAACTGAAGAGGCTGGAAGAGGGACTTAAATTGTAGTGTTGGGGAAAGCTGAAATCGAGTAGGGGCTATGTTTAATTAAGGCAGCGCCCAGCACAATACATGGTGTCCAGTAGGTGCCCAATAAATGAAAACACTTATAAATTAAGACTTGCAGGTAATAGATAGAACATGCTCCAGTGCAGGGTTAAGTTGCAGGGGGAAACTTCTATAGTCCAAATCCTATCCAATGACTCTGGAAACACAGGGCAAGATAACCACAAAGGACGTTTTTATATTCATACTTTTGACCTAACTCATATAAGTCAGAAAAGTCAGGAAAAGCAAGAGTGAACACATATAAATAGTTCCAGACTTGCTTTATGGAGACCTCCCAAATAGAATAGTGTGGCTAGGATGAAAGGTAGTTCAGCAGCACAGGCCAGCCTGGAAGAGGAAGCAGTCAGTCTTGCTCTTTTCCTAGCACGTGTACGCTGGCCAGAGAGGGCAAACACTCAGTAGATGTCATGAGCAGGACCCAACCTGGAGACCGTGATAAAGCAGTCAAAGTTTTCCTTCTGCAGCCAAGTCTCCTCTTTCTGCCATTTCCCCCTGAATTAGACTTGTTGCTGGCAACCCTTTGATTCAGAGATCTGGCAGTGGGAGTTCTGGGGAGTAATCCTTTAGAGTTATTTTTAAAGATGTTCATTAAGACAATGCTACATTTAGCTGGTTATATTTAACTACATATTATGCTGTAGATTCACAGTTATCCCTCCACACACCCATAATGGTCAAAAATATAGTGAATACCAAAGGTTTGGCTTCCAATTCTCTATACCTCTTATCCTGTAAAATGGGAGGACTTCCATAGCCCTTTTGGCATGGAATGTAGTTAATTCCATTTGTGAATAGAGACACCAAATCTGCTCCAAATTTTGGCTCAATTATCACCTGGGTTACAAGTTGCCTACCTCTATGCTTTTTCATTTGAGCAGTATTTTTCTATGCTGTAACCAAGCTTCTTAACCCAGTTATTAGCTGTTGTGCAAGGTAACTGCAGGACAACAAAGAGTTACAGTGTTATTATCCAAATGCATTCCAGCAACCCAAGAACATCATGTCCTCCTGATTGCTGAGAAACAAAAGCAAAATTCCCCCAAATATTTGAATCTCCCAAATAAAAGAGCAAGATTGAGGAGGAAGACCAGACTGGAAAACAAAAGAGAGATGGAACCTCCAGGGGGAGGTGGCAGATGGTCCACCAGGTGGACTTTGACAGTCCACAGAACTGGCCAAACTGACTGGTGGACCAGGCAATTTTTAGCGATGATTGCAGTGTGAGCCAGAGTGCACCAGCCATATGGCACAGTGCCAGTCATCACTCCTAGTGACATTCCAACCAGAGAAGCAATACATTCATTGCTGGAAGGGGGTTGAGAGGCACCGGGGAGAAAGTGAAGAAGAATAGGCAGGCAAGCGGGATGGAATAGAACATACCCACAACCCCAATCTAACAGGTTCCAACATGTCTGAACAGGTGACTAGTAAGGTGGCTTAACCTTTGTTGTCTGCACACCCGGGAACATTGCCCTCTGAGCAAGATTTTATTTACTCAAAGAAGTAATTAAATCTGGTGGCATAGTGCTAATCAGGATAGCATTCAGCACTCGGAGCTGGAAAATTCTTTCTCTCCCCTTTGTAAATGCCCAAACCCTGGGCATCTTATTATTCAAGTTTCTAATTAAAAAGAAACAGGAACGGTTCAATAACCTGGAGCAATCCATCATGCTCACAACCTAATAAAAGAATGCAGGGTCGCAAAGACACTCTCCCCTCTACTGGGTACTGTAAGACTCCACAGCGAGAAAGCAAGGAGTTGCTTGGTTCTTTACCTCTCTGCTGACTTAACTGTCATATTGCATAGTTGCTGCTAAACTGCACGAAAGGTATTTGTAATCTCATGACGGTGACTGGAAAGGGTTGAAGGACACAAATTAAGTCTCAGAGCAGTACAGATGACTAAGAATGGAAGGGCAGTCAGTTGACTCTTCCCACAATTCCCCGAACAAGGCAATTATTCATGAAGGAAATTTCAAATTATTTTCATTAGACTTGTGTTTTACCAATCTAACCAAAGTGATTAATTAGGGATTAAAATATTTACTCTGCACATGCTGCCTTGGCTCAGCACTAGCATATTTAAGCATTGTGCTAAAAGGGTCAGCTGTTTCCAGTATTGTTTGGAATTCATTTCCTATTTTCCATGTAAAAGGGCACTGACATGCATGTCTATACCATACTTAGGGTCTCTCCAGGCACCAAACTGGAGAAGCAGGAAGAGGCTCCAGAGTTCCCACCCTTTGGCCTCAAATTTCTTCCTTGTTAGAACCACTTTGTGTCAATGGTCATAGTTTTTCTGTGTCTATGTCTTTGGAACAGGATATTCAGAATGCCTGGGGGCAAACAACAACACCCCTGAGTAATGGCACATATAGGTCATGTTGTACAGTGAGATACACCATGGCACGCATGTGGGAGGGAGACTACAAGAATGGGGAGGGGGTTCTGAGATTTTAAAGGGGCTTTTAGTACTATAGGATTCCATAGAGCAAGTTATAAGAATGATTTTCAGTGTTGAGATAGTGGCAGCAAGATTGGTTATTCAAACAGGCCCATGACTCACTTGTTCCAGGGGTGCCCAACAGGACTGGAGCATTTATATGAGTTTCAATTTACTGCCACTTCAATGAGACTCCAAATGGGACACCAGTACTGGAGTTATGCCTTGTTTACTCATAAGTTTCCAACCTTTTAAGAGATTGCTAAGACTCTGTACGGAAGGGGGTGGGAGAACTGCTTTCTTATACTGCTACTGGACACCTTCACTAAAGGGGTGAGACCCACAGGGGTCTGCACCTCTGAAGGTTTGCAAAGGGTAGTTAAAATGATGTGGATGATGCTTAGGAATTTTTCATTTTGCATCCTGCCAACAGTGCTAATCATATTTCTTCAGTTCTCTCCTAGCCTTCAGAGATAGAGAAAAAATTATATTTATAATTATATATGCATAGGAATAAGCCAATTAATTATTCTGGAAGCAGAGATGGTGAATACAAGATGGTAAATAAAACCATGAGCCTTGTAGGATATAGTTGAAGAGGAGAATAGTAAGTCCAAGACTTTGTCTGCAGGGACAAGCAGGGCTCAGGATGAGATGGGAGAAGCACTGCCGTGTATCAGGAAAACTACCAAGGTAGGGTGCACTGATGCCAAGGCTGAAAAATGTCCAATAGAGAAGGATGACTCCACAGTATCCCAGGCAGGAGAGAAGTCCTGGATAGGTCAGAAGAAGGTATTCATTGACAGAGAGATCAGGAGTTTCAGTGGAGCATTGAGGCCATGAGCCAGGTTGGCTGGAGCCCAAGGAGACAGCTGGTCTAAGAGGTGGATATGGCAGCAGGTACAGCGACACAGCTCTGTAGTTTATCTAGGAATAATAATAATAACCATGAAAATAATGCATGGGGTGCTTTCCATGAGCCAGGTACTATGTAAGCAATATCTCACTTTCTTTAATCCTCACAACTATCCTATGTCCATTTTATACACAGCTATTAAGAGCCAGAACCGGAATTCAAACCAGATCTGCCATGGAGCAAAGCTTATGCTCTTAATGAGTACAAAACAGTCTTAAGAGGAGAGAAATGGAAGGGGGACAAAAGGGGTTGGTGGGATCACTGGTGGGGAGCATTGTGCTACTAGTGAAGCCTTAAGGGAAATAAATCCAGGGGCATCTTTCACTCCAGAGCAATAGCATGGTCTACAACAGGGGTCCCCAACCTCCCGATACCAGTCTGTGGCCTGTTAGGGACCAGGCCACATAGCAGGAGGTGAGTGGTGGGCGAGCGAGCGAAGCTTCATCTGTATTTACAGCCACTCCCCATCGCTCACATTAGTGCCTGAGCTCTGCCTCCCGTCAGATCAGTGGTGGCATTAGGTTCTCATAGGAGCGCAAACCCTATTGTGAACTGCACATGTGAGGGAGCTGGCTTGCATGCTCTTTATGAGAATCTAATGCCTGATGATCTGTCACTGTCTCCCATCATCCCCAGATGGTACCATCTAGTTGCAGAAAAACAAGCTCAGGGCTTCCACTGATTCTCTATTATGGTGAGTTGTAAAATTATTTCATTATATATTACAATGTAATAATAATAGAAATAAGGTGCACAATAAATATAATATGCTTGAATCATCCTCAAATCATCCCTCCCTCCCCTGGTCCATGCAAA
The DNA here is from genome assembly GCF_000001405.40 of Homo sapiens. NCBI lineage: Eukaryota > Metazoa > Chordata > Mammalia > Primates > Hominidae > Homo > Homo sapiens. The sequence goes on from NC_000014.9 coordinate 57,088,959, forward strand.
AATTGTCTTCCATGAAACCGGTCCCTGGTGTCCAAAAGATTGGGGACCTCTGGTTAGAGACTCTAGGGAACACACTTAGGTTGGGAACCAGCAGATTTGGATTCTAATTTCCACTCAGGTCTTCAAAAGTCTTTTTACTTTAGGAAAGCCGCTCAACCTTTGTGCCTTACATTTTTCATCCATTAAACAAAAGAAATACTGCTTACCTTATCCAATTTATGAGACTATAGTAAGGATGAAATACTGCAAATTAATTCATTAAAATGGTTCACAATATTTGGCAAATGATATGGGGCCAGTACTTTGCCAAACACTTCACGTGCATTCTTTCTTCTAGCATTCATGATAACCCTATGCCTAGGTACTACCATTGCCATGAGATAAAAGAGAGAAGAAGAAATATTTCATAAAGTTCAAAGAACCACAAGCATGTAAGTTTTTATGATTATGGTTTTATAAGAAGCAGTGGCATCCAGCTTGAAGAGGAGATGGTAAAAAAAAAAATCTCTGAACCTTCTAGAAAAAGAAAAAGATAGAGGCTGAGGTAAGCCGTGCATAGGTATGTAATTAGGAATCATGTAAAATAACTGAAGGCTCAGTTACAGGGGAAATTTTATAGAGAAGCAATGTTGGTTACCTGAAATTATGAATAACCGAATTTGGGATCATCTTGGCTCCATTTCTGAGAGAGAATGTATCAGATATAAAACAAATTGATCTTGGCTAACAGCTTTGAAACATTATCTGCCCCTAGAAGTTGGACATGTTTCAGGGTATTTTAAGTCTTAAGGGAAGTTATACTTTCCTTTACCTTCTGTCTAACTTTTATAGCCATTGCAACCTCACCAAGATGAAAAAGATGCATAACAGGATTTGCATTCCTTACTGGAATATGACTGCTGCAAGCAAACAGTTCAGAACTTACTTGTTAGCAATATTATTAGAAGTCTCAATCGTTTTCCTCACAGGGCAAAATGCCCTGAGGTGAAAGAAGGCACCTGCCACTTTCTAATGTTATTTAATCTTTTTAGTCTGTCTGAGCTGTAAACTGTCAATCACAGTTAATGTTTAGTCACCTTGAATGCTGTTTAATCAGTAGAATGCTTTGTATATCTATAAATACCTGATGACACAGGAATTAAGTCCTCACAGTAATTACCCCTCTACATCATTGGACATCATTACTCACAGGCAAGGCCAAAACCATTTTTAATCTCTCATTGTTGTTCAGTAAGAAATGTTTCATTACTGCCACGTAACTGGAATGGTTATTTCACATGGAGAAAACAGGTAACTGAAGTCTGCACATTGGGCTGTTTATAATGTTTGAATGGCCCCATCTGTCTTTAAATGCTGCTGATGACAGGATAATTATGATGACTGAACTGATTGCCAAGTGTATGTAGCAAGAAACAAGAGCAGCTCCGGTTCAGGATTTGATGTGATTCAACTTATGAAGGCCATTGAAAGAGGACTTTTTTAATGTAAGGAAAAAAAAGAGCGTAGGTCATGCAGCAGTATTTTAATTGTTTATGTCTTTGTGGCAATGAATATTCCTTCCATCTTTCCTTTCTATTTTTTTCTTCCTTTCTCACTCTGTTTTCTTTTATCCTTTTTGTACATTTTCCAGTTTATGTATACTGAGTACACACTATTTTTACAAAGAAAAATCAAATACATTTTTAAAAGCAATAAAATTATAACCATTGTTATTACATAAAATAAAGACACACTCAGTTAACATATTGCTATGTTAAATCTGCCGACACTAGCTTCAAATGCCTGCTTGCTACAGTTCTTGGAATGCTGGTCTGAGGACCCCAATCTCCAAATGGCTCTGTCAGCAGGATTACTGGGATGGATTCGACTTTGAGGGCTGTGAAAATGCTGTTTGGTAATGGTGCAGACTATTTTCTGTCACATTGCAAAGCCACCATTAGTCTTCCTTTTCTTTCCTTCTTCCCTCCCTCCCTCCCTCCCTCCCTCCCTCCCTCCCTCCCTCCCTCTCTTCCTCCCTCTCTCCCTCCCTCTCTTCCTCCCTCTCTCCCTCCCTCTCTTTCTCCTTCCTTCCTTCCCTTTCTCCTCCCTTCCTTCCTTTAATGTACCGTCTGCTTTTTTTTTTTTTTAAACAAAAAACACAGGTCTTTATAATTTCCATCACAAAAGCCAGGTCTTTGCAGGCCAGGGGAGCGAGTTCTGCCTGCAAGGAGAAGGTGCCTACTTGCTTTGATGAGCAAGTTCTTTCTGCGGGACCACGATGATTGAGTCCCCACGCAGAACCCTTTGGAGATGTAGCACTCATTGTTGACTGGCTTGGACTTTTCCTTGCCTTCCCGTTCTTGGGGACTTAGGCCCACATCTTTTTCACATCCTTCAGCACCGTGTTGCAGTGCCTGTGGAAGACCCAGAAGCCCAGGCGCTTCCTGGCAGTTAAAGAGCGCTAGAGTATTGTGCTTGACCCACTGTATGAGCATGGAGCATGGCCCGCGTTGAACTCCTCCTGCCCCTGTAGCACCTCCAGAGCCATCTCTCTCTTTGGGGCTGGCTGAAGAGGCTGAGGTGGTGGCTGTGCTCTCAGGTCATGCCCTTCTCCTCCGTGTTGCTTCTCCTATGGGGCAGTGATATGCGTTCTGCTTTTTTAAGGAGAACTTTAAAACTTGGATTTTTCTGTCTGGCTTAAAAGGGGTGGAGAAAACTCATTCACTCATTCATTCATTCATTTCACAAATATTTCTTGAGCACTCCTGTGTATGCCAAGCCCTGCTCTGGGTGCTGAAATACAGCAGGGAAAACAAAAATCCCTGCCTGCACTAAGATGAAACATAGGGGAGATAAAAGAAACAAGACAATTTACCCAAACAAATCCTGTGTATGATGGTGATAACTGCTATGGAGAAAGAATGGAAAGAAAGGGAGACAAGTGAGTGTGTGCTGAGGGGTTGCAATTTAATTGGATGGTCAGGGAAACCTTGCTGATGAGGTAAGATTTGAGTCGAGGTGGTCAGGGACCCACGTCAGATGTCAGGGACCATTGGAGGGGGAGAAAATAGGAAGAAAACAATGCGCTGCAGAATGTGAAAGGAGGAACAGCAGAGAGACTGGCGTGGCAGGGGCATTCAAATGGACAGTGGTAGAAAATGAGGTCAAAGAGCTAACTAACCATGGCTGCTTGGCATAGGGCTCCTGTGTTTTTACAGAGTGGGAGGCAAAACTATAAAAGTTCTGAGGGGGCCGGGTGCGGTGGCTCACGCCTGCAATCCCAGCACTTTGGGAGGCCGAGGCAGGCGGATCACGAGGTCAGGAGATCGAGACCATCCTGGCTAACACGGTGAAACGCCATCTCTACTAAAAATACAAAAATTAGCCGGGTGTGGTGACGGGCGCCTGTAGTCCCAGCTACTCGTGAGGCTGAGGCAGGAGAATGGCGTGAACCTGGGACACGGAGCTTGCAGTGAGCCGAGATGGCACCACTGCACTCTATCCAGCCTGGGTAACAGAGGGAGACTCCGTCTCAAAAAAAAAAAAAAAAAAAAAAGGTTCTGAGGGAGGAGTAACGTGATCTGATTTCACCGTAAGTCATTTTGGTGACTACGTTAAGGACAGACTGGAAAGCCAAGGGCAGAAGCAGGGAGACCAGTAAAAGGCTATTGCAGTGTTCCAGGTGCAGATATTAGACCAGTGTGATCACTGTGGAGATGGTAAAAAGGGGACAGATATTGAATATAGTGGGAAGGCAGAGCCAATAGGATTTATCGGCAGATCAGATGTGGGGTTCGAAAATGGTTTTTAGCCTGAGCAACTGGAAGGGTGAGGCTGACAAAAAATATCGATAGTATTTAAAGCCATGAGACTGGGTGAAGTCATAAGGGAAAGAGCATAGAAAAAGAAGAGACTCAAGGACTGAGCCCTGGGCACCCAGCACTGAGGCGGTAGACAGCTAAAGAGTAGAAGACTTTGGGAATACTTCCTGCTGTAACAAACAAAACCAAAAAGGAATAATGATTCAAATGCCATAGTTTATTTCCAACTCACATAAATTCAAAATGGGTGTTCCTGATTGGTAGGTGACTCTTCTTCCATTTTGTGATTCCTCCATCTTCAATCCGTGGTTTTCAAGGTCATCGTGAACATTTGCATTGTGTGAGGAGACAGGGAAATAGTATGGAAGAAGATTTTAGATTTTAGGGGCCGTATCTGGAAGTGGTACCTCTATGGCCTCCCTAAACTACAAGGGAGTTTCAGAAATGCAGTCTAAATAAGTGTCCATAAAAAAGTAGAAAGCAGGCTTGGTAAATAGCTTTCCAGGCTCTGTCACAAGGAGGATCCAGCAAAGGGTACTAAGAAGACTGGCTAATGAGGTGTTGGAAAAGTCAGTAGAGTGTAAGGTCTAGAAAGCCAAGTGAAGAGAAGATTTCAAGGAGGATGGAATGGTTAAGTGTGTCCAATGCAGCTGAAAGATCAAGTAAGATGAAGGCTGAGAAATGACCACTGGATTTTATTAATTAATGTGTTTGGTGACTTTGGCAAGGGCAGATTCAGTGAAGTGATGGGGCAGTGACTTGTTGGAATGAATTCAAGAGAGAAATAAATAAAGGAAACTAGACAGAGTGAGCATGGATAACTCTTTCCAGAATCTATTGAATGGAGATCAACACAAAAGCTTGTCTGCTACCTTCCCTGTCATGGTGTGGCAGGAAATAAAATTCACCCCAAGTGGTTCAAATAAAGAAACCTTAAGAAAAGTATTACTTATAGAGGTATGGGGTGGTTTACAGGATTAACAACAGATGGTGAGGTACTCAGACACTTGCTACAGTGGAAAGCTGTTATCACCTCAAAACTGAAAGGTCAAAGAGAAGAAATAAGGTTACAAGAACACAATGAGAGATAAAACAGTAGAAAAGGGACACACAGTGGGAGTTGTGTTCACAGAGAGAGCCAAATGTAGCCTGATATACAGCATGGAAAGAAGGAGAGAGCCAGGAAGAACTACCCCGAACTATGACTCTCATCCTCTGAGCTCCAAAGATTAGCTAAGTCTAACTAGAAGTCCATGAGCAAGGGAGCTTGGGAGATATGATCCTCCCACGGCACAAAGCAAGGCAGAAAAGAGTGGAGAATGGATCAGTATGTGAGGAGGGGAAGAACAGAAAATAATCAGCTCAGAGGGATTGTTTGATTTGAATTTTACAAGTTAAAAGACATATCTTTTGCTTGATTGAGTGCTCCTGGGACAGTTACCATATCTTCACTGTCAACTATAACATGACATGAAGAAAATATGATTACCCCAAATAATACCAAACAGATTCTGTATAGCATACCATACTTCTGGACATTAGCACACTGGATTAGTCAGAGACAACATCAATAGAATATATAGATAAATAGATATATGAGAGGGCATTTATTAGGGGAGTTGGCTCACATGACTATAGCGGCTAAAAGTCCCTCAACACGTCATCCACGAACTGGAGAACCAAGGAGGCCAATAGTGTGGCTCAGGCCAAGTCCAAAGGCCTCATATCTAGGGAAGCCAACGGTGTAACTCTCAGTCTGAGAGGCCAAAGGCTTGAGAACATGGGCGGCCTCTGGTGCAATTCTCTGGCACCAGAGAATTGGAGAATCTGGAGTTCTGATATCCGAGGTCAGGAGACAAAGGGTGTCCCAGCTCCAGGGGAGAGAGAGAGAATTTATCTTTCCCCATCCTTTTTGTTCTATCCAGGTCCTCAGCTGATTGGATGGTGGCACCCACATTAAGGGCAGGTCTTTCCCATTCAGTCCACCAATTCATACCCCAGTCTCCTCCAGAAACACCCTCATAGATACACACACAGAAATAATGCTATACCAGCACTCTTAGCCAATTTTCTGTTGCTATAACAGAATACCACAGACTGAGTAATTTATAAATAAAAGAAGTTTAGCTCTGGAGGCTGAGAAGTCCAAGAGCATGGCAGTGATGTCTGCTTGGCATTAGGTGAAAGCCTTCTTGCTGCAACCAAACATGGTGGAAGGGTGGAAGGGTGAAAGGGTAAGGAGGACAAACATGTGAAAGAACACACTTTTACAACAAAACAATAACTAACCCTCTCCCACAATAAAAGCATTGATCCATTCACAAGGGTGGTGCCACCTTGACCTAATCACTCCTTAAAAACCCAATCTCTTAGTGTAAATTAGCTCAACCATTGTGGAAAACAGTGTGATGATTCCTCAAAGACCTAAAGACAGAAATACCATTCAACACAGCAATCTCATCACTGGGTATATACCCAAAGGAATATAAATTGTTCTATTATAAAGACATGTACACATGCATGTCAATTGAAACACGACTCACAATAGCAAAGATCTGAAATCAACCTAAAAGCCTATCGATGACAGACTGGATAAAGAAGTGTGGTAAATATACCATGTAATACTATGCAGCCATAATAAAGAATGAGATCATATCATTTGCAGGGACATGGATGGAGCTGGAGGCCATTGTCCTTAGCAAACAAATGCAGGAACAGAAAACCAAATACTCCATGTTCTCACTCACAAGTGGGAGGCAAATGATGAGAACACATGGACACATAGAGGGAAACAACAGAGACTGGGGCCTACTGGAGAGTGAAGGGTGGGAGGAGAGGGAGGGTCAAGAAAAACAACTAATGGGTACAAGGCTTAATATCTGGGTGATTAAATAATCTGTACAACAAACCCCCATGACACAAGGTTACCTATATAACAAGGCTGCACATGTATCTCTAAACTTAAAATAAAAGTTAAAAAAAAGAACAAAACCCACCTCCCAATACTGTCACAGTGGCAATTAAATTTCAACATGAGTTTTGGCAGTGACACTCAAGCCATAGTACCAGCTACCTAGGTATCCCTTAATCCAGTCAAGTTGACATGTAAAATTAACCATCATATACATCATGCTTACTTAATGGGAAACAAATATTGGACTAGCCCTCCAAAAACTGATTGATAAGAGCAACTCTTCCACTACAAGGGTATATAAGTCCCACAATATCCTAAGGCAGCAAACTGTGGGCATAGCTACAATCAAGAGGGTTTACTTAGTATGCAAGACTATCTGTATTTCACTAGGAAAGAAGTAAATTTATACTGGCAATCCACAGGCAAAACATGATTTTTGATATAAAGCCAGGTGATTGATGTTACACAATTAAGTCACATGTGTGTACAAGCACATATGCACCATTCACAGAAGAGAATTAAAGAGGGGTTCCAACGTATCCCAAATCAGCATAACCATTATATCCTCCACCCCTGCCCCCAGTTCCTTTTCTTCTGATGTTGTATAATACAAACACATCCAGGAATCATCTCTCTTTTGGGGAAGGGATGACAGCTTTACGCAATATTCATGTTTTCAATAATATCCCATGCAGAGCACACTGGAGGTTTCTTTTATAACTTTCCTAATCATCTTCCACCCAATACAATTAGCATTATCTAAATTAGTTATCAGTTTACCAAATTTTCTCCTCCTTTAAAAGAAAAGTCATATTGCAAAATTATAGGTATAGCCATAGACAGAACCAATATTGTATGCTTGCAGACATTTGAAGAGAGATAATGTTCTTAATCCTAATTAGAATTCTTTCCCTTTCCTATATGAACTTCTCAGAATCAGGGGTGACCTTATTTTCATTTGGATAGAGGCACGGTAAAGCAACTGACTTTCATTTGTTTTGCAATACATCACCTTCTATACAAATGTGTTTATTTAAGCTCTAGGTCTTTTACTATCTTTATGCATTACTTCATCTCTGAAAAAGATTCATTTGAAATAGATTGCATTCTATTTCCCTTATTCTGCGACATGACCATTAGTACAGTTTAACCATTCATTGCTTAAGCCATGAGTTCAAGCTCAGCGTTATAGTGTTTGTATCAGAGGATCCCACAAAGACTAAAAAAATTGCTGGTTGTCCACAAAATTTTGTTCTCCCATTCTACAGTACTGGAGTTTAAACCAAGCACACAGGCGCCCAGCTAAAGACTATATTGTCAGCCTCCCTTGCATGCGGGTGTGGCTATGTGACTAAATTCAGGCCAATAAGAGGTGTGCAACTCCTGAGACCTCCAACTTTAAAGACAAGCCACTTGCCCCAGTATGCCTCTCCCATTCCTATAAGCTGGAACATGGTCGTAACCACAAGCCAGCTTTGATTGTGCAAACAAAGACCCTAAAGGATGGCAGAACAACGGTATGGGTTCCTGAATGACCTTATGGAATAGAAACTATCTTACCACTGGGGAGTGCTCTCTCCAGAACACTCTTTTTTAAGCTGCTGTATTTAAGACTTCTTTGTTCAAGCAGCTTAACTTTTACCCAATCAGTTGTTAGATGGGCTGAACTCTTCAAAGATGTCAGAAAAGACGAGATTAGATCAAAGTATAACCAGTTTCAAGCTGGAATATAATTTTTTCTTAATTTTTCTGTTTGCATAAGCAAAACATAGACTTATCCAGAATATTTTCCTCCCTAACCTTGATGAGATCTAATTTACACTTTTTACTCTCAACCTTCCAACACCTTGTCTTTTTTCAAACAAACAAACATACAAACAAATGAGAAATTTGGATCTTGGTTGTTGTTTTTCTCAATTTTCCAGTGGGTGCATCTGGATATCCATCTGTTTCATTGCTACAGTGAAAGTAGTGTCTGTTGTTGTAATTATGAGTTGATTCAAAACAAAAAAAAGTCTTCTCCAAAGGAAGTTGAGTCCTGAAAACACTGTGATATATAAACATGCATGAGATTTGTTTGTATTTCTTCTAGAAAGTATTCTGCATCTTACGAATACTAGAAAGAGTTTACAACCTGACATTTTCGGTGATAACAAGACATTTTAAAATTAACAGAACAAACCAGAATGAATGTTTTCTCATGCCCAGAGTTTGTAGCAATGGATACAACTTTATTTTTCTAAATACTCAAATGATTTGCTATAAATAGGCTTTAAATTGTCTCTCTTTCAGATTTGGGGTCAGGAAAGTGCATAGGTACAAAAACACACAAAAATGGATCCTTGTAATAGAAATATACAAGACACACACAGAGGACTCGTATATGCTACTGATCTTTAGTGTCTCCATTCATGAGATCCAGCCTCAGGGTCTTGCAACTGGATATTTTAAAAAGCAGAAATTCCATCACTGTGGCAAGCAAATCTAGAATCTAACCCCAGACATGAGATCTTGGCTTTAAAGCTTACTATTTACCTTTTCTATGGCTCCCAGTTTCAAGGGTATAGCAGCTGAAAGAGTTGGGAGATACTGCTCCAAATACATGGTCCAAGAAGTTCCTCAAAAGATGGCTTCATGACTTTGAATCTTTTCTTTCTAATTTTTATTTAGAAAATTTTTTAGAACACAACTCTGAAATGAATCAAAGTAAGTTTGTTGTATTGAACAAAGGTCACATTTTACAAATGATTTTTTTTTTTCTCAGATGAGGACTAAAGCTAGATTGAGGAAGAACCAACGTTAGTGTCAACGTTCTTGCACAAACTTTCTCTGCATGTGTTTTTAGTTCTTTGCTAGATGTGTTTCAAGTTAATAATAAGGCCTTGGGTCAGCAGCAGCATCCAAATGTTTTCAATGATTGAAACATAACTGAAAATTTGCTTAGAGATTCAAATTGTTCTTTAGGCTTCTAGGTTTTGAGCGACTTGGCAAAAATTTGCAAAAGGAAACACTTATACACTGTTGGTGGGAGTATAAATTGGTTCAACTATTGCAGAAAGCAGTAGCAATTCCTCACAGAGCTAAAAACAGAACTACCATTCGACCCAGCAATCCCATTACTGGGCATGTACCTAAAGGAATATAAATCATTCTATCATAAAAATATATGCACGTGTATGTTAATTGCAGCACTATTTACAATAGCAGAAACATGGAATCAACCTAAATGCCCATTAATGGCAGATTGGATAAATAAAATGCAGTACATATACACCATGGAATACTACGCAGCCATAAAAAAGAGCGAGATCATGTCCTTGGCAGGAACATGGATGGAGCTGGAGGCCATTATCCTTAGCAAACTAACGCAGGAACAAAAAACCAAATGCTGCCTGTTTTCACTTACAAGTGGGAGCTAAATGATGAGAACACATGGACACAAGGAGGGGAACAACAGACACTAAGGTCTGCTTGAGTATGGAGGGTGGGAAGAGGAAGAGGATTAGAAAAATAACTATTGGGTACTGGGCTTAGTACCTGGGTGATGAAATAATCTGTACAACAAACTCCTGTGACATGAGTTTACCTGTATAACAAATCTGCACATGTACTCCTGAACCTAACATAAAAGTTAAAAAATAAAAAAGTTTACCAGTGACCACTTGATTTTACAACAGGAAATTGTGCTGACAGGAAATCTGAGGGCATAATAGTATAAATAGTAAAGTATTGAAAGAAATCAATAGTAATAAAAGTCCTAACTTTAACAGAATGAAGGGGGAAGTTTGCTAATCTTGCTGTTTAAAAAAAATCTCTTTAAGGATAATTTAGAAGGTGAAATGGAATGAACTGGCCTTTTTAGAAGAATAACATAGTATTGTGTTATCCTCACAGACACTCTTGCTTAATATGTCATCAAATAGAGGAGAAATTGTAAAACATTTATGAATGAGAAAACTTGTATATGAAATTGCCCTCTGTCTACACCATCTGGCTTTAAAAACCACAATATAGAAAGTTTTGTGAGGTGGCTGGCAAGGTTCACAACTCCTCACCAGCAAGGGAACAAAACTGGATGGAGAATGAGTTTGATGAATTGACAGAAGTAGGCTTCAGAAGGTAGATAATAACAAACTCCTCCGAGCTAAAGGAGCATCTTCTAACCCAATGCAAGGAAGTTAAGATTCTTGATAAAAGGTTAGAGGAATTGCTAACTAGAATAACCAGTTTAGAGAAGAACATAAATGACCTGATGAAGCCGAAAAACACAGCACAAGAACTTCGTGATACACAAGTATCAATAGCCAAATCGATCAAGTGGAAGAAAGGATATCAGAAATTGAAGATCAACTTAATGAAACAAAGCATGAAGACAAGATTAAAGAAAAATGAATGAAAAGGAATGAACAAAGCCTCCAAGAAATATGGGATTATGTGAAAAGACCAAACCTATGTTGGATTAGTATGCCTGAAAGTGACAGGGAGAATGCAACCAAATTGGAAAACACACTTCAGGATATTATCCAGGAGAAGTTCTCCAACCAAGCAAGGCAAACCAACATTCAAATTCAGGAAATACAGAGAACAACACAAAGATACTCCTTGAGAAAAGTAATCCCAACACACGTAATCGTCAGATTCACCAAGGCTGAAATAAGGGAAAAAATGTTAAGGGCAGCCAGAGAGAAAGGTCGGGTTACCCACAAAGGGAAGCCCATCAGACTAACAGTGGATCTCTCTGCAGAAACCCTACAAGCCAGAAGAGAGTGGGGGCAAATATTCAACATTCTTAAAGAAAAGAATTTTCTTTTTTTTTTATTATTATACTTTAAGTTCTAGGGTACATGTGCACAACGTGCAGGTTTGTTACATATGTATACATGTGCCATGTTGGTGTGCTGCTCCCATTAACTCATCATTTACATCAGGTATATCTCCTAATGCTATCCCTCCCCCTTTCCCCCACCCCACAACAGGCCCTGGTGTGTGATGTTCCCCACCCTGCGTCCAAGTGTTCTCATTGTTCAATTCCCACCTATAAGTGAGAACATGCGGTGTTTGGTTTTCTGTCCTCGCAATAGTTTGCTCAGAATGATGGTTTGTTTCCAGTTTCATCCAAGTCCCTACAAAAGACATGAACTCATCATTTTTTATGGCTGCATAGTATTCCATGGTGTATAGGTGCCACAGTTTCTTAATCCAGTCTATCATTGATGGACATTTGGGTTGGTTCCAAGTCTCTGCTATTGTGAATAGTGCTGCAATAAACATACGTGTGCATGTGTCTTTATAGCAGCATGATTTATAATTCTTTGGGTATACACCCAGTAATGGGATGGCTGGGTCAAATGGTATTTCTAGTTCTAGATCCTTGAAGAATTGCCACACTGACTTCCACAATGGTTGAACTAGTTTACAGTCCCACCAACAGTGTAAAAGTGTTCCTATTTCTCCAAATCCTCTCCAGCACCTGTTTTTTCCTGACTTTTTAATGATTGCCATTCTAACTGGTGTGAGATGGTATCTCATTGTGCTTTTAATTTGCATTTCTCTGATGGCCAGTGATGATGAGCATTTTTTCAAGTGTCCGTTGGCTGCATAAATGTCTTCCTTTGAGAAGTGTCTGTTCATATTCTTTGCCCACTATTTGATGGGATTGTCTGACTTTTTCTTGTAAATATGTTTAAGTTCTTTGTAGATTCTGGATATTAGCCCTTTGTCATTTAAGTAGATTGCAAAAATTTTCTCCCATTCTGTAGGTTGCCTGTTAACTCTGATGGTAGTTTCTTTTGCTGTGCAGAAGCTCTTTAGTTTAATGAGATCCCATTTCTCAATTTTAGCTTTTGTTGCCATTGCTTTTGGTGTTTTAGACATGAAGTCCTTGCCCAGGCCTATGTCCTGAATGGTATTGCCTAGGTTTTCTTCTAGGGTTTTTATGGTTTTAGGTCTGACATCTAAGTCTTTAATCCATCTTGAATTAATTTTTGTATAAGGTGTAAGGAAAGGATCTAGTTTCAGTTTTGTATATATGGCTAGCCAGTTTTCCCAGCAGCATTTATTAAATAGGGAATCCTTTCCCCATTTCTTGTTTTTGTCAGGTTTGTCAAAGATCTGATGGTTGTAGATGTGTGGTATTATTTCTGAGGGCTCTGTTCTGTTCCATTGGTCTATATCTCTGTTTTGGAACCAGTACCATGCTGTTTTGGTTACTGTAGCCTTGTAGTATAGTTTGAAGTCAGGTAGCGTGATACCTCCAGCTTTGTTCTTTTGCCTTAGGATTGTCTTGGCGATGCGGGCTCTTTTTTGGTTCCATATGAACTTTAAAGTAGTTTTTTCCAATTCTGTGAACAAAGTCATTGGTAGCTTGATGGGGATGGCATTGAATCTATAAATTACCTTGGGCAGTATGGCCATTTTCACAATATTGATTCTTCTTATCTATGAGTATTGAATGTTCTTCCATTTGTCTGTGTCCTCTTTTATTTCGCTGAGCAGTGTTTTGTAGTTCTCCTTGAAGAGGTCCTTCACATCCCTTGTAAGTTGGATTCCTATGTATTTTATTCTCTTTGAAGCAACTGTGAATGGGAGTTCACTCATGATTTGGCTCTCTGTTTGTCTGTTATTGGTATATAGGAATACTTCTGATTTTTGCACGTTGATTTTGTATTCTGAGATTTTGCTGAAGTTCCTTATCAGCTTAAGAAGATTATGGGCTGAGACGATGGGGTTTTCTAAATATACAATCATGTCATCTGCAAACAGGGACAATTTGACTCCCTCTTTTCCTAATTGAACACCCTTTATTTCTTTCCCCTGCCTGATTGCCCTGCCAGAACTTCCAACGCTATGTTTAATAGGAGTGGTGAGAGAGGGCATCCCTGTCTTGTGCCAGTTTTCAAAGGGAATTCTTCCAGTTTTTGCCCATTCAGTATGATATTGGCTGTGGGTTTGTCATAAATAGCTCTTATAATTTTGAGATACGTCCCATCAATACCTAATTTATTGAGAGTTTTTAGCATGAAGCATTGTTGAATTTTGTCAAAGGCCTTTTCTGCATCTATTGAGATAATCATGTGCTTTTTGTCTTTGGTTCTGTTTATATTATGGATTACGTTTATTGATTTGCGTATGTTGAATGAGCCTTGCATCCCAGGGATGAAGCCCACTTGATCATGGTGGATAAGCTTTTTGATGTGCTGCTGGATTCGGATTGCCAGTGTTTTATTGAGGATTTTTGCATCGATGTTCATCAGGGATATTGGTCTAAAATTCTCTTTTTTTGTTGTGTGTCTGCCAGGCTTTGGTATCAGGATGATGCTGGCCTCATAAAATGAGTTAGCGGGGATTCCCTCTTTTTCTATTGATTGGAATAGTTTCAGAAGGAATGGTACCAGCTCCTCCTTGTCCTCTGGTAGAATTCGGCTGTGAATCTGTCTGGTCCTGGACTTTTTTTGGTTGGTAGGCTCTTAATTATTACCTCAATTTCAGAGCCTGCTATTGGTCTATTCAGGGATTCAACTTCTTCCTGGTTTAGTCTTGGGAGTGTGTATGTGTCCAGGAATTTATCCATTTCTTCTAGATTTTCTAGTTTATTTGCGTAGAGGTGTTTATAGTATTCTCTGATGGTAGTTTGTATCTCTGTGGGATCAGTGGTGATAACCCCTTTATCATTTTTTATTGCATCTATTTGATTCTTCTCTCTTTTCTTCTTTATTAGTCTTGCTAGCAGTCTATCAATTTTGTTGATCTTTTCAAAAAAGCAGCTCCTGGATTCATTGATTTTTTGGAAGGGTTTTTTGTGTCTCTATCGCCTTCAGTTCTGCTCTGATCTTAGTTATTTCTTGCCTTCTGCTAGCTTTTGAATGTGTTTGCTCTTGCTTCTCTAGTTCTTTTAATTGTGATGTTAGGGTGTCAATTTTGGATCTTTCCTGCTTTCTCTTGTGGGCATTTAGTGCTATAAATTTCCCTCTACACACTGCTTTAAATGTCTCCCAGAAATTCTGGTATGTTGTGTCTTTGTTCTCATTGGTTTCAAACAACATCTTTATTTCTGCCTTCATTTCATTATGTACCCAGTAGTCATTCAGGAGCAGGTTGTTCAGTTTCCATGTAGTTGAACAGTTTTGAGTGAGTTTCTGAATCCTGAGTTCTAGTTTGATTGCACTGTGGTCTGAGAGATAGTTTGTTATAATTTCTGTTCTTTTACATTTGCTGAGGAGTGCTTTACTTCCAACTATGTGGTCAATTTTGCAATAAGTGTGATGTGGTGCTGAAAAGAATGTATATTCTGTTGATTTGGGGTGGAGAGTTCTGTAGATGTCTGTTATGTCTGCTTGGTGCAGAGCTGAGTTGAATTCCTGGATATCCTTGTTAACTTTCTGTCTTGTTGATCTGTCTAATGTTGACAGTGGGGTGTTAAAGTCTCCCATTATTATTGTGTGGGAGTCTAAGTCTCTTTGTAGGTCTCTAAGGACTTGCTTTATGAATCTGGGTGCTCCTGTATTGGGTGCATATATATTTAGGATAGTTAGCTCTTCTTGTTGAATTGACCCCTTTACCATTATGTAATGGTCTTCTTTGTCTCTTCTGATCTTTGTTGGTTTAAAGTCTGTTTCATCAGAAACTAGGATTGCAACCCCTGCCTTTTTTTGTTTTCCATTTGCTTGGTAGATCTTCCTCCATCCCTTTATTTTAAGCCGATGTGTGTCTCTGCATGTGAGATGGGTCTCCTGAATACAGCACACTGATGGGTTTTGACTCTATCCAATTTGCCAGTCTGTGTCTTTTAATTGGAGCATTTAGCCCATTTACTTTTACGATTAATATTGTTATGTGTGAATTTGATCCTGTCATTATGATGTTAGTTGGTTATTTTGCTCGTTAGTTGATGCAGTTTCTTCCTAGCATCGAATGGTCTTTACAATTTGGCATGTTTTTTCAGTGGCTGGTACTGGCTGTTCCTTTCCGTGTTTAGTGCTTCCTTCAGGAGCTATTGTAAGGTAGGCCTGGTTGTGACAAAATCTCTCAGCATTTGCTTGTCTGTAAAGGATTTTATTTCTCCTTCACTTATGAAGCTTAGTTTGGCTGGATATGAAATTCTGGGTTGAAAATTCTTTTCTTTAAGAATGTTGAGTATTGGCCCCCACTCTCTTCTGGCTTGTAGAATTTCTTCCAAGAGATCCACTGTTAGTCTGATGGGCTTCCCTTTGTGGGTAACCCGACCTTTCTCTCTGGCTCCCCTTAACATTTTTTCCTTCATTTCAACTTTGGTGAATCTGACAATTATGTGTCTTGGAGTTGCTCTTCTCGAGGAGTATCTTTGTGGCATTCTCTGTATTTCCTGAATTTGAATGTTGGCCTGCCTTGCTAGGTTGGGGAAGTTCTCCTGGATAATATCCTGCAGAGTGTTTTCCAACTTGATTCCATTCTCCCCGTCACTTTCAGGTACACCAATCAGACGTAGATTTGGTCTTTTCACATAGTCCCATATTTCTTGGAGGCTTTGTTCATTTCTTTTTACTCTTTTTTCTCTAAACTTCTCACTTCATTTCATTCATTTGATCTTCAGTCACTGATACCCTTTCTTCCAGTTGATCGAATCGGCTACTGGAGCTTGTGCATGCATCATGTAGTTCTCGTGCCATGGTTTTCAGCTCCTTCAGGTCACTTAAGGTCTTCTCTATGCTGTTTATTCTAGGTAGCCATTGATCTAATCTTTTTTTCAAGGTTTTTAGCTTGTTTGCGATGGGTTTGAACATCCTCTTTAGCTTGGAGAAGTTTGTTATTACCGATCTTCTGAAGCTTTCTTCTCTCAACTTGTCAAAGTCATTCTCCATCCAGCTTTGTTCCATTGCTGGTGAGGAGCTGCATTCTTTTGGAGGAGAAGAGGCGCTCTGATTTTTAGAATTTTCAGCTTTTTTGCTCTGGTTTCTTCCCATCTTTGTGGTTTTATCTACCTTTGGTCTTCCTTGATGGTGATGTACAGATGGGGTTTTGGTGTGGATGTCCTTTCTGTTTGTTAGTTTTCCTTCTACCAGTCAGGACCCTCAGCTTCAGGTCTGTTGGAGTTTGCTGGAGGTCCACTCCAGACCCTGTTTGCCTGGGTGTCACCAGCAGAGCCTGCAGAACCACAAATATTGCAGAGCAGCAAATGTTACTGCCTGATCATTCCTCTGGAAGCTTCGTCTCAGAGGTGCCCCCGGCTGTATGAGGTGTCAGTCGGCCCCTCCTGGGAAGTGCCTCCCAATTAGGCTACTTGGGGGTCAGGGACCCAGTTGAGGAGGCAGTCTGTCCATTCTCAGATCTCAAACTCCATACTGGGAGAATGACTACTCTCTTCAAACCTGTTAAACAGTGATGTTTAAGTCTGCAGAAGTTTCTGCTGCCTTTTGTTCAGCTATGCCCTGCCCCCAGAGGTGGAGTCTACAGAGGCAGGTAGGCCTCCTTGAGCTGTGGTGGGCTCCACCCACTTTGAGCTTCCCTGCCGCTTTGTTTACCTACTCAAGCCTCAGCATTGGCAGATGCCCATACCCTAGCCTCACTGCCCCCTTGCAGTTCGATCTCAGACTGCTGTGCTAGCAGTGAACAAGGCTCCATGGGCATGGGACCCTCTGGGCCAGGCATGGGATACAATCTGCTGGTGTGCTGTTTGCTAAGACCATTGGAAAAGCACAGTATTAGGGTGGGAGTGACCCAATTTTCCAGGTGCCGTCTATCACAGCTTCCCTTGGCTAGGAAAGGGAATTCCCCGATCCCTTGCACTTCCCGGGTGGGGTGGTGCCTCGCCTTGCTTCAGCTCATGGTCCGTGGGCTGCACCCACTGTCCTGCATCAACTGTCTGACAAGCCCCAGTGAAATGAGCCCAGTATCTCAGTTGGAAATGCAGAAATCACCCATCTTCTGTGTCACTCATGCTGGGAGCTATAGACTGGAGCTGTTCCTATTTGGCCACCTTGGAACCTCCAAGAAAAGAATTTTCAATCCAGAATTTCATGTGCAGACAAGCTACATAAGTGAAGGAGAAATAAAATCCTTTACAGACAAGCAAATGATGAGAGATTTTGTCACCACCAGGCCTGCCTTACTAGAGCTCCTGAAGGAAGCACTAAAAATGGAAAGGAAAAACTGGTACCAGACACTGCAAAAAGATACCAAATTGAAACACCGTCGACACGCTGAAGAAACTGCATCAAGTAACGGGCAAAATAACCAGTTAACATCATGACAGGATCAAATTCACACATAACAATATTAACCTTAAATGTAAATGGGCTAAATACCCCAATTAAAAGACACAGACTGGCAAATTGGATAAAGAGTCAAGACCCATCGGTGTGCTGTATTCAGGAGACCCATCTCACGAAGAAAGACACACATAGGCTGAAAATAAAGAGATGAAGGAACACTTACCAAGCAAATGGAAAGCAAAAAAAAAAAAAAAAAAAAAAAAAAAAGCAGGGGTTGCAATCCTAGTCTCTGATAAAACAGACTTTTAGCCAACAAAGATCAAAAAAGACAAAGAAGGGCATTACATAATGGTTAAGGAACCAAGGCAACAAGAAAAGCCATCTTAAATATATATGCACCCAATACAGGAGCACCCAGATTCATAAAGCAAGTTCTTAGAGACCTACAAAGAGACGTAGACTGTCACACAATAATAGTGGGAGATTTTAACACCCCACTGTCAATATTAGACAGATCAACAAGACAGAAAATTAACAAGGATATTCAGGACTTGAACTCAGCCCTGCACCAAGCGGACCTAATAGACATCTACAGAACTCTCCACCCCAAATCAACAGAATTTACAGTCTTCTCAGCACCACATGGCACTTATTCTAAAATTGACCACATAATTAGAAGTAAAACACTCCTCAGCAAATGCAAAAGAATGGAAATCATAACAAACACTCCATCAGGTGACAGTGCAATCAAGTTAGAACTCAGGATTAAGAAGCTCACTCAAAACCACAGAACTACATGGAAACTGAACAACCTGCTCCTGAATGACTACTGGGTACATAACGAAATTAAGGCAGAAATAAATAAGTTCTTTGAAACCAGTGAGAACAAAAACACAACATAGCAGCATCTCTGGGACACAGCAAAAGCAGTGTTTAGAGGGAAATTTATAGCAGTAAATGCCCACAGGAAAGAGCGAGAAAGATCTAAAATCAACACCCTAACACACAATTAAAAGAACTAGAAAGGCAAGAGCAAAGAAATTCAAATGCTAGCAGAAGACAAGCAATAACTAAGATCAGAGCAGAACTGAAGGAGATAGAGAAACGAAAAATCCTTCAAAAAAATCAATGAAACCAGAAGCTGGTTTATTGAAAAAATTAGCAAAATAGATAGATCACTAGCCAGACAAATAAAGAAGAAAAGAGAGAAGAAGCAAATAGACACAATAAAAAAAGATAAAGGGGATATCACTACTTTCCCACAGAAATATAAACTACTGTCAGAGAATACTATAAACACCTCTATGCAAATCAACTAGAAAATCTAGAAGAAATGGATAAATTCCTGGACACATACACCCTCCCAAAACTAAACCAGGAAGAACTTGAATCCCTGAATGGACCAATAACAAGTTCTGAAATGGAGGCAGTAATTAATAGCCTACCAACCGAAAAAAGCCCAGGACCAGATGGATTCACAGCTGAATTCTACCAGAGGTACAAAGAGGAGCTGGTACCATTCCTTCTGAAACTATTCCAAACAATAGAAAAAGAGGAACTCTTCCCTAACTCATTTTATAAGGCCAGCATCATCCTGATACCAAAACCTGGAAGAGACACAACAAAAAAAGAAAATTTCAGGCCAATATCTCTGATGAACATGGATGCGAAAAATCCTCAATAGAATATTGGCAAACTGAATCCAGGAGCACGTCAAAAAGCACACCCACCACAATCAAGTCGGCTTCATCTCTGGGATCCAAGACTGGTTCAACATACGCAAATCAATAAACATAATCCACCACATAAACAGAACCAAAGACAAAAACCACATGATTATCTCAATAGATGCAGAAAAGGCCTTCGATAAAATTCAACACCCTTATGCTAAAAACACTCAATAAGCTAGATATTGATGGAACATATCTCAAAATTATAAGAGCTATTTATGACAAAACCACAGCCAATATCATACTAAATGGGCAAAAGCTGGAAGCATCCCCTTTGGAAACTAGCAGAAGACAATGATGCCCTGTCTCACCACTCCTATTCAACATAGTATTGGAAGTTCTGGCCAGGGCAATCAGGCAAGAGAAAGAAATAAAGGTATTCAAATAGGAAGAGAGGAAGTCAAATTATCTGTGTTTGCAGATGACATGATTGTATAATTAGGAAACCCCATCGTCTCAGCCCAAAATCTCCTTAAGCTGATAAGCAACTTCAGCAAAATCTCAGAATACAAAATCAACGTGCAAAAATCAGAAGTATTCCTATATACCAATAACAGACAAACAGAGAGCCAAATCATGAGTGAACTCCCATTCACAGTTGCTTCAAAGAGAATAAAATACCTAGGAATCCAACTTACAAGGGATGTGAAGGACCTCTTCAAGGAGAACTACAGACCACTGCTCAAGGAAATAAGAGAGGACACAAACAAATGGAAAAACATTTCATGCTCATGGATAGGAAGAATCAGTATCAAGAAAATGGCTATAATGCCCAAAGTAATTTATAGATTCGATGCTATTCCCATCAAGCTACCATTGACTTTCATCACAGAATTAGAAAAAACTACTTAAAATTTCATATGGAATGAAAAAAGAACCCGCATAGCCAACACAATCCTAAGCAAAATGAACAAAGCTGCAGGCATCACACGACCTGACTTCAAACTATACCACAAGGATACGGTAACCAAAACAGCATGGTACTCGTACCAAAACGAATATATAGACCAATGGAACAGAACAGAGGCCTCAGAAATAACACCACACATCTACAACCAACTGATCTTTGACAAACCTGACACAAACAAGCAATAGGGAAAGGATTCTCTATTCAACAAGCGGTGTTGGGAAAACTGGCTAGCCATATGCAGAAAACTGAAACAGGACCCATTCCTTACACCTTATACAAAAATTAACTAAAGATGAATTAAAGACTTAAATGTAAGATCTAAAACCATAAAAACCCTAGAAGAAAACCTAGGCAATACCATTCAGTACATAGGCATGGGCAAAGGCTTCATGACTAAAACACCAAAAGCAATGGCAACAAAAGCCGAAATTGACAAATGGGATCTAATTAAACTAAAGAGCTTCTGCACAGCAAAAGAAACTATCATCATATGAATAGGCAACCTACAGAATGGGAGAAAATTTTTGCAATCTATCCATCTGACAAAGGGTTAATATCCAGAATCTACAAAGAACTTAAACAAATTTACAAGAAAAAAAGCAAACAACCCCATCAAAAGGTGGGTGAAGGATATGAACAGACACTTTTCAAAAGAAGACATTTATGCAGGCAGCAAACATATGAAAGTACACTCATCATCACTGGTCATTAGAGAAATGCAAATCAAAACCACAATGAAATACCATCTCACGCCAGTTAGAATGGTGATCATTAAAAAGTCAGGAAACAACAGATGCTGAAGAGGACATGGAGAAATAGGAATGCTTTTACACTGTTGCTGGCAGTGTAAATTAGTTCAACCATTGTGGAAGACAGTGTGGCGATTCCTCAAGGATCTACAACCAGAAATACCATTTGACCCAGCAATCCCATTACTGCGTATATACCCAAAGGATTATAAATCATTCTACTATAAAGACACATACACATGTATGTTTATTGCAGCACTGTTCACAATAGCAAAGACTTGGAACCAACCCAAATACTCATCAATAATAGACTGGATAAAGAAAATGTGGCACATATATACCATGGAATACTATGCAGCCATCAAAAAGGATGAGTTCATGTCCTTTGCAGGGACATGAATGAAGCTGGAAAGCATCATTCTCAGCAAACTAACACAGGAACAGGAAACCAAACACCGCGTGTTCTCACTCATAAGCAGGAGTTGAACAATGAGAATACATGGACACAGGGAGCGGAATATCACACACCAGGGCCTGTTGGTGGGTGGTGGGCTAGGGGAGGGATACTATTAGGAGAAATACCTAATGTAGGTGACAGGTTGATGGGTGCAGCAAACCACCATGGCACATGTATACCTATGTAACAAACCTGCAGGTTCTGCACGTGTCCCAGAACTTAAAGTATAAAAAACAAAACAAAAAAAAGTTTTGTTTTAAAGACACTATATCTGCATGATTTCATCTCTAAAAAGATTCTTTTACATTTTGGAGGGTAAGTTACTGAGGAGGCCCATGTATAATACACTAACTAAAACATACTTTTATACCAACCAACAATCGTTGTCAGCACTTAGCAAACAATAACTCATAAAAAATCATCCTTGTCAGTACAATAAATGCATAAACTTTTCTTGTTTAGAATTAATTCTTTTTCCCTTACAGATTCCTTCAGGCTCCTCTAATCACCACACCACCCCCACATGCCCTCCAGAAAAAAAATTATAGTGCTAGGCCAATTACCATAAACTACTGGATAACTAAAAAAATGTAAGTGTGGAAAGTGTAGTCTGTTACAGTAAGTTACTAAAGAAAATCAGTCCATTGGTATATAAAACATAGAGTGAAGAAAGGTTTCAAAAGTTATAATTTGTTATAAGGGAAACATATATAATTTACTTTTTATGAATGAATCATTTATATGAAACTAATCAGTGGTGAAAAATGTTAATTTTTTTTTTTTTAATGGAGTCTCACTCTGTCACCCAGGCTGGAGTGCAGTGGCATGATCTTGGCTCACTACAACCTCTGTCTCCTGGGTTCAAGCAATTATCCTGTCTCAGCCTCCCAAGTAGCTGGGACTGCAGGGGTATGCCACCATGCCCAGCTAATTTTTGTATTTTTAGTGGAGACAGGGTTTCACCATGCTGGCTGGGCTGGTCTCAAACTCCTGACCTCAGGTAATCTGCCCACCCCGGCCTCCCAAAGTGCTGGGATTACAGGCGTGAGCCACCACGTCCAGCCAATGTTGAATTTTTTTTTAATGAAAGATTAAGGTTTTAAAGTAAGTGTTTATAAATGGCTTCCCATTGGGATAATCTGAATATTTAATGTATTAATCATAGTCCAGGCCCTTTCAGATATTAACGATAAGTTCCACTTAGATAGAGACAATTCCCTAACTGTTGATTTGGGGTGAGACAGCAATTCCTTTTTGTTTTGTAATGATTTGACTTTGAACGAATATTTTTCAAAACACTTTTATAATACCTTAGTATGATGTTTCTCTATCTTTTTTACATTATCAGCCTTACAGAGAGCCTTTTTAGACCCTTTTTTTCTATTTACTTCACTCTAAGAAATTTTAACAACACAGATATATTGTATATTTGTTTATGTGTTGTATGTATATCTGTGCTTTCCACATAAAAAAGTATAAAACTTACTTACTAAAAGAGT
Organism: Homo sapiens; assembly: GCF_000001405.40. Lineage (NCBI taxonomy): Eukaryota > Metazoa > Chordata > Mammalia > Primates > Hominidae > Homo > Homo sapiens. The sequence continues at coordinate 57,112,204 of NC_000014.9, forward strand.
AAATATAGGAGGAGGAGCCAAGATGGCCGAATAGGAACAGCTCTGGTCTACAGCTCCCAGCGTGAGCGACGCAGAAGATGGGTGATTTCTGCATTTCCATCTGAGGTACCGGGTTTCTCTCACTAGGGAGTGCCAGACAGTGGGCGCAGGCCAGTGTGTGCGCGCACTGTGCGGGAGCCGAAGCAGGGCGAGGCACTGCCTCACTCGAGAAGCGCAAGGGGTCAGGGAGTTCCCTTTCTGAGTCAAAGAAAGGGGTGACGGACGGCACCTGGAAAATCGGGTCACTCCCACCCGAATACTGCGCTTTTCCGACGGGCTTGAAAAACGGTGCACCACGAGATTATATCCCACACCTGGCTCGGAGGGTCCTACGCCCACGGAGTCTCGCTGATTGCTAGCACAGCAGTCTGAGATCAAACTGCAAGGCGGCAGCGAGGCTCGGGGAGGGCCGCCCGCCATTGCCCAGGCTTGCTTAGGTAAACAAAGCAGCTGGGAAGCTCGAACTGGGTGGAGCCCACCACAGCTCAAGGAGGCCTGCCTGCCTCTGTAGGCTCCACCTCTGGGGGCAGGGCACAGACAAACAAAAAGACAGCAGTAACCTCTGCAGACTTAAATGTCCCTGTCTGACAGCTTTGAAGAGAGCAGTGGTTCTCCCAGCACGCAGCTGGAGATCTGAGAACGGGCAGACTGCCTCCTCAAGTGGGTCCCTGACCCCTGACCCCCGAGCAGCCTAACTGGGAGGCACCCCCCAGCAGGGGCACACTGACACCTCACATGGCAGGGTATTCCAACAGTCCTGCAGCTGAGGGTCCTGTCTGTTAGAAGGAAAACTAACAAACAGAAAGGACATCCACACCAAAAACCCATCTCTACATCACCATCATCAAAGACCAAAAGTAGATAAAACCACAAAGATGGGGAAAAAACAGAACAGAAAAACTGGAAACTCTAAAAAGCAGAGCACCTCTCCTCTTCCAAAGGAACGCAGTTCCTCACCAGCAACGGAACAAAGCTGGATGGAGAATGACTTTGACGAGCTGAGAGAAGAAGGCTTCAGACGATCAAATTACTCTGAGCTACGGGAGGACATTCAAACCAAAGGCAAAGAAGTTGAAAACTTCGAAAAAAATTTAGAAGAATGTATAACTAGAATAACCAGTACAGAGAAGTGCTTAAAGGAGCTGATGGAGCTGAAAACCGAGGCTCAAGAACTACGTGAAGAATGCAGAAGCCTCAGGAGCCGATGCGATCAACTGGAAGAAAGGGTATCAGCGATGGAAGATGAAATGAATGAAATGAAGCGAGAAGGGAAGTTTAGAGAAAAAAGAATAAAAAGAAATGAGCAAAGCCTCCAAGAAATATGGGACTATGTGAAAAGACCAAATCTACGTCTGATTGGGGTACCTGAAAGCGATGGGGAGAATGGAACCAAGTTGGAAAACACTCTGCAGGATATTATCCAGGAGAACTTCCCCAATCTAGCAAGGCAGGCCAACGTTCAGATTCAGGAAATACAGAGAACGCCACAAAGATACTCCTCGAGAAGAGCAACTCCAAGACACATAATTGTCAGATTCACCAAAGTTGAAATGAAGGAAAAAATGTTAAGGGCAGCCAGAGAGAAAGGTCGGGTTACCCTCAAAGGGAAGCCCATCAGACTAACAGCGGATCTCTCGGCAGAAACCCTACAAGCCAGAAGAGAGTGGGGGCCAATATTCAACATTCTTAAAGAAAGGAATTTTCAACCCAGAATTTCATATCCAGCCAAACTAAGCTTCATAAGTGAAGGAGAAATAAAATACTTTACAGATAAGCAAATGCTGAGAGATTTTGTCACAACCAGGCTTGCCCTAAAAGAGCTGCTGAAGGAAGCACTAAACATGGAAAGGAACAACTGGTACCAGCCGCTGCAAAATCATGTCAAAATGTAAAGACCATCCAGACTAGGAAGAAACTGCATCAACTAATGAGCAAAATAACCAGCTAACATCATAATGACAGGATCAAATTCACACATAACAATATTAACTTTAAATGTAAATGGACTAAATGCTCCAATTAAAAGACACAGACTGGCAAATTGGATAGAGTCAAGACCCATCAGTGTGCTGTATTCAGGAAACCCATCTCACGTGCAGAGACACACATAGGCTCAAAATAAAAGGATGGAGGAAGATCTACCAAGCCAATGGAAAACAAAAAAAGGCAGGGGTTGCAATCCTAGTCTCTGATAAAACAGACTTTAAACCAACAAAGATCAAAAGAGACAAAGAAGGCCATTACATAATGGTAAAGGGATCAATTCAACAAGAAGAGCTAACTATCCTAAATATATATGCACCCAGTACAGGAGCACCAAGATTCATAAAGCAAGTCCTGAGTGACCTACAAAGAGACTTAGACTCCCACACATTAATAATGGGAGACTTTAACACCCCACTGTCAACATTAGACAGATCAACGAGACAGAAAGTCAACAAGGATACCCAGGAATTGAACTCAGCTCTGCACCAAGCAGACCTAATAGACATCTACAGAACTCTCCACCCCAAATCAACAGAACATACATTTTTTTCAGCACCACACCACACCTATTCCAAAATTGACCACATACTTGGAAGTAAAGCTCTCCTCAGCAAATGTAAAAGAACAGAAATTATAACAAACTATCTCTCAGACCACAGTGCAATCAAACTAGGATTAAGAATCTCACTCAAAACCGCTCAACTACATGGAAATTGAACAACCTGCTCCTGAATGACCACTGGGTACATAATGAAATGAAGGCAGAAATAAACATGTTCTTTGAAACCAACGAGAACAAAGACACAACATACCAGACTCTCTGGGACACATTCAAAGCAGTGTGTAGAGGGAAATTTATAGCACTAAATGCCCACAAGAGAAAGCAGGAAAGATCCAAAATTGACACCCTAACATCACAATTAAAAGAACTAGAAAAGCAAGAGCAAACACATTCAAAAGCTAGCAGAAGGCAAGAAATAACTAAAATCAGAGCAGAACTGAAGGAAATAGAGACACAAAAAACCCTTCAAAAAATTAATGAATCCAGGAGCTGGTTTTTTGAAAGGATCAACAAAATTGATAGACTGCTAGCAAGACTAATAAAGAAAAAAAGAGAGAAGAATCAAATAGATGCAATAAAAAATGACAAAGGGGATATCACCACCGATCCCACAGAAATACAAACTACCATCAGAGAATACTACAAACACCTCTACGCAAATAAACTAGAAAATCTAGAAGAAATGGATAAATTCCTCGACACATACACTCTCCCAAGACTAAACCAGGAAGAAGTTGAATCCCTGAATAGACCAATAACAGGATCTGAAATTGTGGCAATAATCAATAGCTTACCAACCAAAAAGAGTCCAGGACCAGATGGATTCACAGCCGAATTCTACCAGAGGTACAAGGAGGAACTGGTACCATTCCTTCTGAAACTATTCCAATCAATAGAAAAAGAAGGAATCCTCCCTAACTCATTTTATGAGGCCAGCATCATTCTGATACCAAAGCCAGGCAGAGACACAACAAAAAAAGAGAATTTTAGACCAATATCCTTGATGAACATTGATGCAAAAATCCTCAATAAAATACTGGCAAACCGAATCCAGCAGCACATCAAAAAGCTTATCCACCATGATCAAGTGGGCTTCACCCCTGGGATGCAAGGCTGGTTCAATATATGCAAATCAATAAATGTAATCCAGCATATAAACAGAGCCAAAGACAAAAACTACATGATTATCTCAATAGATACAGAAAAGCCCTTTGACAAAATTCAACAACTCTTCATGCTAAAAACTCTCAATAAATTAGGTATTGATGGGACGTGTTTCAAAATAATAAGAGCTATCTATGACAAACCCACAGCCAATATCATACTGAATGGGCAAAAACTGGAAGCATTCCCTTTGAAAACTGGCACAAGACAGGGATGCCCTCTCTCACCACTCCTATTCAACATAGTGTTGGAAGTTCTGGCCAGGGCAATTAGGCAGGAGAAGGAAATAAAGGGTATTCAATTAGGAAAAGAGGAAGTCAAATTGTCCCTGTTTGCAGACGACATGATTGTATATCTAGAAAACCCCATTGTCTCAGCCCAAAATCTCCTTAAGCTGATAAGCAACTTCAGCAAAGTCTCAGGTACAAAATCAATTTACAAAAATCACAAGCATTCTTATACACAAACAACAGACAAACAGAGAGCCAAATCATGAGTGAACTCCCATTCACAATTGCTTCAAAGAGAATAAAATACCTAGGAATCCAACTTACAAGGGATGTGAAGGACCTCTTCAAGGAGAACTACAAACCACTGCTCAAGGAAATAAAAGAGGATACAAACAAATGGAAGAACCTTCCATGCTCATGGGTAGGAAGAATCAATATCGTGAAAATGGCCATACTGCCCAAGGTAATTTACAGATTCAATGCCATCCCCATCAAGCTACCAATGCCTTTCTTCACAGAATTGGAAAAATGTTCATATGGAACCAAAAAAGAGCCCGCATCGCCAAGTCAATCCTAAGCCAAAAGAACAAAGCTGGAGGCATCACACTACCTGACTTCAAACTATACTACAAGGCTACAGTAACCAAAACAGCATGGTACTGGTACCAAAACAGAGATATAGATCAATGGAACAGAACAGAGCCCTCAGAAATAACACCGCATATCTACAACTATCTGATCTTTGACAAACCTGAGAAAAACAAGCAATGGGGAAAGGATTCCCTGTTTAATAAATGGTGCTGGGAAAACTGGCTAGCCATATGGAGAAAGCTGAAACTGGATCCCTTCCTTACACCTTATACAAAAATCAATTCAAGATGGATTAAAGACTTAAACGTTATACCTAAAACCATAAAAACCCTAGAAGAAAACCTAGGCTTTACCATTCAGGACACAGGCATGGGCAAGGACTTCATGTCTAAAACACCAAAAGCAATGGCAACAAAAGACAAAATTGACAAATGGGATCTAATTAAACTAAAGAGCTTCTGCACAGCAAAAGAAACTACCATCAGAATGAACAGGCAACCTACAAAATGGGAGAAAATTTTCACAACCTACTCATCTGACAAAGGGCTAATATCCAGAATCTACAATGAACTCAAACAAATTTACAAGAAAAAAACAAACAACCCCATCAAAAAGTGGGCAAAGGACATGAACAGACACTTCTCAAAAGAAGACATTTATGCAGCCAAAAGACACATGAAAAATTGCTCACCATCACTGGCCATCAGAGAAATGCAAATCAAAACCACAATGAGATACCATCTCACACCAGTTAGAATGGCAATCATTAAAAAGTCAGGAAACAACAGGTGCTGGAGAGGATGTGGAGAAATAGGAACATTTTTACACTGTTGGTGGGACTGTAAACTAGTTCAACCATTGTGAAAGTCAGTGTGGTGATTCCTCAGGGATCTAGAACTGGAAGTACTATTTTACCCAGTCATCCCATTACTTGGTATATACCCAAAGGACTATAAATCATGCTGCTATAAAGACTCATGCACACGTATGTTTATTGCGGCATTATTCACAAAAGCAAAGACTTGGAACCAACCCAAATGTCCAACAATGATAGACTGGATTAAGAAAATGTGGCACATATACACCATGGAATACTATGCAGCCATAAAGAAGGATGAGTTCATGTCTTTTGTAGGGACATGGATGAAATTGGAAGTCATCATTCTCAGTAAACTATCGCAAGAACAAAAAACCAAACACCGCATATTCTCACTCATAGGTGGGAATTGAACAATGAAATCACGTGGACACAGGAAGGGGAATATCACACTCTGGGGACTGTTGTGGGGTGGGGGGAGGGGGGAGGGATAGCATTGGGAGATATACCTAATGCTAGGTGACGAGTTAGTGGGTGCAGCGCACCAGCATGGCACATGTATACATATGTAACTAAACTGCACAATGTGCACATGTATCCTAAAACTTTAATAAAAAAAAAATTAAAAAGAGTAAGTATAAAAAGAGTAAGTATAAAACTTACTATATGTATATGTATAACCTATATATGAATGTTAGCAATTTATTAACATATAATAATAATAGCAATGCAATGCATTTTTAAAATTACTTAAAACTGATTTTTCTAGCAAAAATAAAGCGATTGAAAAAATTAAATTAATTTTAAAAGTTGATTTAGTAAATTTAACTTCTACCTTTTACTTGATAGGAGGAAAAAAACATTTAAATTAACTAGTTTACAAAAGAAATTGATATACCCAAGAATGAATCAATGTGATACCTAAGCTTGATGTTGTTTAACTAAAAATCCAGTGTTCAGTGTGATGTTAGTAAGTTTAATACTAATGTCTCTGCTTGAACATATCAATTCTGTTTCTTTACTTTGCTAATATATTACTTACTGAACCAAAACCACTTATAACTATATAAGATGTTAGAAAACAAAGAAGTACTTTTGTCATTTCAGATCACATTATTGAAAAAAGAAATTTAGTTATTTTGATCCCCACACTCAGCTATTTCACTTTTTTCAAATTTGTATTTGCATTCCTCATTATATTTTGATTCAATGAGTTCTATTTGAATTTCCTCCACAGCTGAATGAGATTGCTTCCAGCTGGATCTAACATCCATGGCTTCACTTCCAAAGAAAATAAATCTAAAAATCTATTTTTTATTTCATCTTTAAAGAGCACAAATTGGCCGGGCACGGTGGCTCACGCCTGTAATCCCAACACTTTGGGAAGCTGAGGCGGGAGGATCACGAGGTCAGGAGATCAAGACCATCTCGGCTAACACGGTGAAACCTCGTCTCTACTAAAAACACAAAAAATTAGCATAGCATGGTGGCACGCGCCTGTAGCCCCAGCTACTCGGGAGGCTGAGGCAAAAGAATCGCTTGAACCCAGGAGGCGGAGGTTGCAGTGAGCTGAGATCGCGCCACTGCACTCCAATCTGGGCAACAGAGAGAGAGTCCATCTCAAAAAACAAACAAACAAAGAAACAAAAAGTCTACACGTCTTGTTAGTTTCCTTTAGAAAGCCGTCTGACTTCTGTATGTAGAAGAAGCCTGACATATTGTTCTTTATCAAAAAAAAAGTCTCTGAAGATGATATTCGCCATGTGACTTCTTTTTATTGTTTAAATTACTATATTGAGACAGTGATAAACACTGAGCTAATAAATATTTTGAAGCCAGTTGATGTCTCTGTGATGCACAATGCAGTTTATTGCAAAAGCTTCAGGACGTACTTTTTTTAGGTTGTCTATAAACCTTTATGTTTTCCAATCATGGAATTAGCTCCACCAGAAGCACAAGACACCTAAGTCTCCAACGGTACTTGTGTTTCATTCATCACACCAAAGATAGATGCTCTAATATAGTTAATTTCTAAAGATTTTACAAACAGCATCTCATCTTGCAATGTACACTCACCATTGAAATAAACATATGTCATTAGAAGTGCCTTACAGCCATTAACTGTGATTTTGCCAATCTGAAAAAGAAATTCTTGTTTTTAATTTGCCAATTCGCTGCTTTTCAGTGTTAACATCTTTGAATTGAATCATTGCTCAATGGTGTTGTGTTTCAAGCACTGGAAGGATTTTGCTGCATCATTTTTGAAATGTCAATCTCTATGTTCATAGGGCACCCTCAGCTACTGTTTGAATACTACCAACTTTTGCAATGATTTCTGCACAATTTTCTAAGCCTAAATCATTCCATTGTCATTTGTTGGCTTAAACAAGGAAATTGTCATTTGTCTTTAAATAAGGAAGTAACAGTGTTACATTGCTCAAAATTCTGTTTATCTAAGAAACTTTTGCCTACACTCAGGTTGCAAAATATTTTCCTATAATTCTTGAAATTTTTAGAAGTTCTAACTTTTACAATCAGGTTTACTCTTTATCTTGAATTGATTTTTGTGTATGGTGTGATGTAGAATCAAGGTTCTTATTTTTCCCCCATATGAATATCCAGTTATTTCAGCACCATTTGTTGAAAAGACTTTCTTTCTCCCATTGGACTGCTTTAGTGCCTTTATCAAAAATCAAATGACCACAAATGTGAGGCTTTCTCTTCTGTTCTATTGCCTATTTATCTGTCCAAATGCCAAAACCATACTGTCTTGATCACTGTGGCTTTGTAATAAGTCGTGAAAACAGATGACAAAGTCCTACAAATTTGTTCTTCCTTTTCAATATCTTATTAGATATTCTAGGGTTTTTACATTTTCACACAAATTTTAGAATCAAAATCTCTTCATATACTCTTAAAACCTGAAGTTTAAATGGCTCAATATAGCCATGCGTCCAAGTAGAGTTCCATGTGTCCTAGCATAGTTTTATGTAGTCATGTCCCTGTGCAGATTGAGATACTAATTTCTTGGGATCACATATTCCATCATGGAAATCAATTTTTCTTCCCATTTGTACAGCTACTTTAAAATCATGTATTATATTGCCTCTAGCAGTGAGCCATTTGTTCTCAGCTAGCAGTTCTGCACTCTTAGGACTGGATTAACTAATCAGGTCCTATCATATCATAAACACAACCAGCCACAACAAAATAGCTCATTATTTTGACTAAAACCAAGTGAATTCAAATATCAAAATTTTCACTGCTGTATAAAAAGATGGTGGCTTATTTCAAATAAATGCTATTGAACAAGTTCAAACAGTATTTGTAATATCTAAAACATTCCAAATACATTGATTCAGCTATTCTCTGAACTAAACCATCAGAACAAAGTTTTGTTTACATTGCTGAATTGAGTTTTCAATTAAGATTTTCATAAAGAACAGCTTATCATGATTTAAATATTCTTTCCGCAAGGTATCATAGAGTGATACTTTGCAAAGCCAAGTTATTTTACTCATCTCATGGTAATTAATAACAAAGGGGTAGCAGGGCTTCTCTTTTTAAATTCTAGTCAATTCTACCCTTTCCCAAAGAGTTTTTTCTATCTTGAGAAGATGGTTTTTGAAAAAAAAAATAACTAGAGGAAGGGAAAAGGGGGTGAAAAAGTCTTTCTTATACAATTAAATCTTTCTTTAGCAGAGACTGGCGTATTCTTAACATATTCATAGAAGTATCCCCTCTAGTTATGTTGCAAAGGCATGCAAAGAATAATTGTGGCTAAGTGCACTACATGACAATCAATATTGTATTTTCCAAGCTTGTACTCACTATTCTTTATAGTAGTCATGTATTATGTGAAAGATCAAAAGATTTACATATCATATGGAGTGCTTTAGGGAATAACTTGCTGAGTACTTTAAATGCACAATGTTCCACAGCCTTTTAGATACGAATTTCACTTCTCTCTTCTTTGTGATAAAGAAATAACAAGATAGAGCTAGATGTTTTTTCTTAGTATAATAAAATGTCTATTTTAAAATATAAGATAAAAGTTTGATATTTTTATCTGTAGTTCTAAACACAAGTTTTTGATCCAAAATAATAAATTGTAGCTTTCCTTTAATATGTGTGTTGAAAAAATATATATATACAACTCGCCTCCAATGGATTCTCAAGAAATCCATGACAAAAACATGCGGCGACTTTCATTGAAGTTACTAAATGATAGGACTGATTCATCTACCTGAAGACACTGACAGTGTAGCCTTTCTGGAGACTTAGAACAGGACTCCATGGCCTTTATTCCACAAAGCTGTAATATAAAATATGGTGGGAGGGGCTTGACTTTGTGTAATTGTGTACACTAACTATTCTGTTATATTACATTTCAGTCACAGTGTTTTACTGCCACAGACCAAATTCTGATAGAGGGGCATGGATAAGAGATGAGAACTTATCATCATAAAAGCTTTCTTCCTGAGAAGCTCTTGTCTTCCTACTGTGGAAAAAAAAATGCTGGGGAAAACCGGAGAGTACCTTTATTTGGAGCATTTCACTTTACTTCAGAACAAACTGAATGAAAACTCTTTTTTAATGAAGCATAACAGTGTAGAGAATTCTGCTTAAATATTTGCTCAGATAATATTTTCTTACTCTGGAGCTATGAATCTGGCAACAGAGACAGATTAATAATAGCAATTAGCCCTGTGGTTGTTTGAAGAGAGACTTCGTGTATCCAGATGTAGCAATCAAATCAGCTCTGATAACTTATAGCACAGACACAGACCATATACAGATTGCCAGGGAGCTGCCATCCATGAGCCACGTTTAAGGGTATGTATGACACTGGCCCCTTCTATTTCTAAGAGTGTCACTATAGCAAATGCTACAGAAATTACAGTCAAAACACACGTGAAACATGCCATCTGATTCAGTTTCAGCCTCAGAAACATTTCAAAACACTTGAAGAATAACTACAGCTTGAATTTGTTTTTTTTTAGATTCAGGGGGTGCATGTGCAGGTTTGTTACATGGATACATTGCATGATGCTGAGGTTCGGGCTTCTATTGATCTCATTACCCAAATAGTGAACATAGTACCCAAGAGGTAGTTTTTCCCCACTTTGTTTGGAATCCCCGGTGTCTATTGTTCTCATCTTTGTGTCTGTGCATAGCCAGTGTTTAGCTTCCACTTATAAGTGAGAACATGTGGTATATTTTTTCTGTGTTAGTTCACTTAGGATAATGGCCTCCAGCTGCATCCATGTTGCTGCAAAGGACATGATTTTGTTCCTTTTAAGGCTAACTGCAGCTTTAAACCCATATTTACAATTAACATCATGATAAGGAACATGTGTGGATAATAATCCTGAACTAAAGAAACCAAAAGAATAAAATAGTAATCTTTTGGGAGAAGATAAAATATATATAGACAACTAAAACAATAGTTTGGGGAGGCTTTTTTTGTTTTCTTGTTTTTTTGTTTTATTTGTGTCTTAGTTCATTTTCGTTATCTCATTTTTGTTGTTGTAACAGAATACCTGAGACTGGGTAATTTATAATAAATAGAAATTTACCAGCTCATTGTTTTGGAAACTGGAAAATCTGAGATCAAGGAGCCAAAATTTGGTGAGGGCCTTCTTGCTGTGTCATCCAGTGGTAGAAGGTGAAAGGGTGGGAGGGAGGGAGAGAGGGCCAAACTCCTCCCTCAATAATGGCATCAATCCCACCCATAGGGTTGAGCCACCTTCATACTGTTACAATGGCAATTAAATTTTAACATGAGTTTTGGAGGGGGCAAACATTCAAACCATAGCAGTTTGTTTACTTATTTTAATGATAAGGAAGAGGAGAGGAAGAGAACAATACCACGAAATGTGATACTGGGTTTCCCCATCAGATTATTGGGACCATTTTACATACAGAGTTGGTGACATGCAACATAAGGGGCACTAGCTTGACTGCTGGTGACCTTGAACACACATACAATCTTTGCCAAGGACAATCTGGCAATACATACCAAAAACCTTTAAAGTGGACTTAGAAATTCTGCTACTATAAATTTACACTAACAAAATAAATCGAAAAAAGCATGGATATTTATAAAAATGTTTATTTTGGCTTTGTCCATACCAGCTGAAAATTAAAACAACTTGCATATTCAATATAGGGGATAAGCTATAAATATAAATATGATATATTCATAATATCAGGTGAAAAGCATATTGCGGAGCAATATTTTTATTTTCTTTTATTTTCTAAAATATGTGCATTATACATGTCCAGGCATAGAAAAAGAATGGAGATTATCTCAGGTAAATGTTTTATAAATAAACTTTTGCCTTCTTTCTTATTCCTTTTATTGACATTTTTATTATAAGCCCAAGTTTATTTCATTTTAAAAACAAAAGCTACAAAACTATTTCCATTTTGAACAAAGAAAAAAAGTAATACATTTTATTTTTGAGTGCTTAGTACCCAATTCTATTTTTACCACATTAATTCATACTTAAGTGATATTATTATATTGAAAAAATAAAATCCAGAAACTTTGTCCAAAGGTAGCCATGTTGGTCAGAGTTCAGTTACAGAGAACAGAATCTACTCTGGTTCATTGAGGTAGAAAAGGACTTATTGCACTGTACAGAATGGCCTATAGAATAGAATTGCTAAGAAAACAGATTCTAGATGGAATTCCTAGGGACAGAACCAAAGCAGCAGAGCTCTTATTTCTTCTTAACTCAGTTGTATATTAATGTGTTTTGCAAACACATCTGACTGGTGGAACCAAATTACATTTCAGTCTCTAGCTTACAGAGAGTCTAGGAAATGTATAGTTTTCAGATGTTGAGTTTCTGTGTTGCAGGAAAACATACAAGAAGGAGGTTGAAGATTGAGTGGCCCAATTCAAAGTATATGCTTCTGCAAGTGAGGAGAATGTTACTTAACGTTTTAAGAGATTCTTATTATTATTTTGCCAACTGACTATTGTAAACCCTTTCTGCAGAGTTTCTATTCACATGCCAAGGCTAACAGAGGGAAAGAAACATGGTGGATCACATATGTCTAAAAACCAAACAGGTCAAAAAGAAGAGTTGATAAATTCACTAATTATCCTTCTCTTTATATTTCAGCTTGTTTACATAAATCTTTAATTTTTAATGAGTTTTTAAAAGTAATTTAAACTCCTTAATACAATATGCATATTTCATAAAATTTGAACATTCTTTTCAAATTCAAACACAATTTCATTTGTTAATAGCCTTTAATCAAAGTGAGTATGCTTAGCTAAATAATTATCTTTCTTTTTAAAATTTTTTTTTAAATTTTTATTTTTTGGAGACAGAGTTTTACTCTGTCACCCTAGTTGGAGTGCAATGGCACAATCTCAGCTCACTGTAACCTCCACCTCCCAGGTTCAAGCGATTCTCCTTCCTCAGCCACTCAAGTAGCTGGGATTACAGGTGTATGCCACCACACCTGGCTAATTTTTGTGTTATTAGTAGAGACAGGGTTTCACCATGTTGGCCAGGCTGGTCTCCAACTCCTGACCTCAGGTGATCCACCTGCCTTGGCCTCCCAAAGTGCTGGGATTACAGGCATGAGCCACTGTGTCTGGCCAAATAATTATCTTTCTAAATTGAGTAGCACTAGATGGTTACTTTACGGATTTTTCTGACCTGCAGGGTAATTTCAGACGACAGCACACATAATCTTTGTGTTTTTCCATATGTTTTTTAACATATGGGTGTGGGTTTCTGTTCTTAATCTTTCACTGGCAGTAATAATGACTTACTGTCCGATCCACTTCTCTGCTAGAAGAAATTACTCAGCCTTCAGGAGTCAACCTAAATAGCACTTTCTCAGGAAGGCTTTCCAAATTCCTTGTCAGAATCTTATTATTTTCACTCTCATTCTTTATACTGTCACCACTAGAAGACTTAACACAGTATATTGTAGTGAGTATAACACCTGACTCCACTCCTGCCTCTGCACTCTCATATGGAGAGGAAATTGAGAACAGGTCTTGGTCATGTGACCATCCCAGGAGAATGGGGTTGTGGGTATGTTCGTTAGCCGACTGAGAATGGAGGAAGAGGAATCCTCCAGAGGAAAATTAGGATGCTCTTATCAGAAGGGAAGGAAAGCCAGTGAATGTCTACATTGCACAATAAAGAAAATATCCTAACTGGATCTCAAAGGCATTATACTGAATGAAAAAAAAAAAAAAAGCCTGAAAGCTTTCATACTGTGTGATTCCATTTATATAAATTTTTGAAATTTATTCTCAAAATGACAAAATTATAGAGATGGACAATAGACTAGTGGCTGTCAGAGGTTAGGGATGGAGGTGGAAAAGAAAGGTGGATATGATGAAGAGCCAGCACAAAGGGGATCTTTGATGATGATGTAGTTCTATATCTATATGGCGGTGGTTTCACAAATCTGTATGTACAGATCAAAGTTCTGAAGAAAAGAAAATGCAATCTAAGAAAGTCATCTGTAAGGAGCCAAATGTTGTTCTTGTATGAAAGCTACCAGTAGATATTCTCAAACTACAAAAAAAACCTCAGAAATGCAGCATTCATATACCCTTGTTAGAAAAAAAACTACTTGACAATTAAATCTGTCATATTATGAGATTAATCAAAATGTATAACTTAGACTGGAGAAGCTGTTGTAAAAGGACTGAAGTGAGCATAATATTTATTTGCATGTATTAAATGAATTAATATGATGCATTTTCAAAGATCAGAATCTCAATATTATAAACATGGGCTTTGTACCAATAATAACAAAAATTGGGAGGTGACAGGAGATGACAGCACATGTAAGAGTGCTAATAGCCTCTTATTTCACAGCAAAAGCTTAATTGATAATATCTGAAACTAAAACATACATAGCTCCAATTCAAAGTTTGTTACAACCATTTCTGAAAATATTAAACCTTTTTTTTGTTTGTTTTTGGAGACAGAGTCTTGCTCTGTTGCCTATGCTGGAGCATAGTGGTACAATCTCAGCTCACTGCAACCCTCCCAGGTTCAAGCCATTCTCCTGCCTCAGCCTTCAGAGTAGCTGAGACTACAGGTGTGCACCACCACGCCAGGCTGATTTTTGTATTTTTAGTGGAGATGAGGTTTCACCATGTTGGCCAGGCTGGTCTTGAACTCCTGACCTCAAGTGATCCATCTGCCTCAGCATCCCAAAGTGCTGGGATTACAGGCATGCGCCACTGCACCCAGCTGCAAAATATTAAATCTTAAAGTGAAAAAACAGGTTCAATAATTCCTAAAGTCTCTTTTTTCTTCCATTAAATAAAGGGAAAATTACATGTAGTTTGTTTTTATTTTATTAAAAATAAATTCTAGATATAGTCCCAGTTATCTGAAAGCATTTCACTCTCTCTCTCTCTTCCTCTCTCTGTATGTTGTGTGTATAGACAGAAAGATATCTGAAAATATTTATCCAATGTAATCTTGACACTACTATTCTTGGGTGATTAAATTTAGGGTGATTTTTATAAATTCAGCATTTTTTTCTTATTTAAAAATATTAATAGCAAGTATGCCACTAAGTCAACAATTGGTATTTCTAGGCAGTGAATTTATAATTTTTTCTTTTTGGTACTTTAGTATTTTTTAATTTTCAAAAATAAATTAAATACTATTTTAGTTTTTAAAAAGATGAGAAGGAAGTGAACAGCAATGAAAGATTTACAATATCTAAAATTTAACATTGAAATTAAGGCTAAGGAACAATGACTGAGAAGGACAAGAAGATGAAGAAGCTCTGGGACCCATTTTTAGTTTTTTTTCTCTGCACTGCTCCAAATCACTTAACATTTTTCATTTCTCAGTAGTCAGACCTTCATGCTGACAGACTGACCATGTAACTATCATCTCAATGATCTGGATTTTCAACAAGCAATGTGGTGCTGGAGAGTTTTTCAACCTTACTGATTTGAGGCGTGTCTGTGAGTGCTTCGGTTCACACGGTATTGCTCCATGCCCTGGAGAAGGACTGGGCAGATCTCCCATCCAAATGGAAGTCCCTCCAGGATTGGGAGATGAGCAAGAAGATGTGGAAAAGCTGAAAATATCATGGAGATCTTACTACAGAAAAATGATTTGAGAGTAGGATTCAGAGCAAGAAAATTTACCTCAGACATCACCTAAGGGGAGTAGGCTTCAAAGCCCCTTGGTGTAAAATGCTCTGATTTCTTTTTTTTATTATTATACTTTAAGTTCCAGGGTACAGGTGCACAACGTGCAGGTTTGTTACATATGTATACATGTGCCATGTTGGTGTGCTGCACCCGTTAACTCGTCATTTACGTTAGGTGTATCTCCTAATGCTATCCCTCCCCTCTCACCACAACCCACGACAGAAAATGTGGCACAAAAACACCATGGAATACTATGCAGCCATAAAAAAGGATGAGTTCATGTGCTTTGTAGGGACATGGATGAAGCTGGAAACCATCATTCTGAGTAAACTATCACAAGGACAGAAAACCAAACACCACATGTTCTCACTTATAGGTGGGAAGTGAACAATGAGAACACTTGGACGCAGGGTGGGGAACAAAATTCTCTGATTTCTAAGAAAGTCCATGGCTTGAAACCCAACATCACATTACAATGAGCCTCCTGCTAAATGCTGTTGCTACTAAAACACAACCCACTGTTGGATTTCTTGCAAGTACCGTTGGCTGCTTGCATCTGCCAGTCCCGCAACTGCAGATTCAACCAACAGTGGATCAAAAATATTGGGGAAAAATGATTTAAAAATACAACAAAAAATAATACAAATTTAAAAAGAATACAGTATAACAACTATTTACGTAGCACTTACATTGTATTGGGTATTATAAGTAATCTAGAAGCCTGACCAATATGGTGAAACCCTGTCTCTACCAAAAAATACAAAAAATTAGCCAGGCATGGTGGTGCATACTTGTAATCCCAGCTGCTTGGGAGGCTGAGGCATGAGAATCGCTTGAACCTGGGAAGCAGAGGTTGCAGTGAGCCAAGATCACGTCACTGCACTCTGGCCTGGGTGACAGAGCAAAACCCTGTTTCAAAGAAAAAAGTCATCTAGAGTAATTTAAAGTACATGGGAGGATGTGCAGTAGGTTATACGCAAACACTACACCATTTTATATCAGAGACTTGAGCATCCACAGGTTTTAGTGTCCACTGGGGTCCTAGAACCAATCCCCCATACAGAGGGATGAGTGTACTTCCAAAGATCCTACCTTACCATTGGTTTACATTCACTGACAGATTTGTGAGGGTTCTTCCACCAAATGAAGGTAGAGAGAATCACAGGCACACTTTCCATGATCTGTATCCAGAGAAGCAGCTGGAGTTGGAGAGCAGAGCCATCCTTTCTGGGAATCAAGCTACGACTTATCAGAGCATCTGCTAATTGGAACAGCTAACATTTATTATTATTATTATTATTATTATTATTATTATTATGAGACAGAGTCTCACTCTGTTGCCAGGCTGGAGTGCAGTGACACGATCTCAGCTCACTGCAACCTCCGTCTCCTGGGATCAAGCGATTCTCCTGCCTCAGCCTCCCTAGTAGCTGGGACTACAGGCTTGCGCCAACACGGCCAGCTAATTTGTGTATTTTTAGTAGAGACGGGGTTTCAACATGTTGGCCAGATGGTCTTGAACTCCTGACCTCAAGTGATCCACCCGCCTTGGCCTCCCAAAGTGCTGAGATTACAGGCGTGAGCCACTGCGCCCAGCCTATTATTATTATATTTTTAAAATTAGAGACAGGGTTGCACTTTATGGCCCAGGCTGGAGTGCAGCAGTGCCATCATAGGTCACTGCAGCCTTGAACTCCTGGGCAAAAGTTCTCCTCCTGCCTCAGCCTCCTGAGTGGCTGGGACTACAGGCACACACCACCAGGACCAGCTAATTTATTATTATGTTTATTTTGTAGAGATGAGGTCTTGCTATTTCACTCAGGCTGGTCTCAAACTCCTGGCACCAAATGATCCTCCTTCCTTACCCTCCCAACATGCTAGGATTACAGGCCTGAGCCACCACAACCAGCCCAGCTAACGTTTATCAAGTATTTATCAAGCACTTCCTGTGCATCTGGAAGTGTACTAAGTATTTAACATTCATTATCTTACTTAATCCTCATGATCTCTATTATCTTCATTTTATAGATGAGGAAATCGAAGAATAAGAAGTTAAGGAACTTGGCCAGGGTTACGTGGTCACATAGCTGGGTAGCAAAGGACTCAAACCCAGGTCTGACACTCCGGTACATTGTACATCCTTGTTGAAACCTGCTGCTGGAAGAGGGGCTGGGAAGAAGCCACAAGATCTGACAAACTTCAATAAAGGAAGGCAGGACAACTTCCTTATATATTATAGCCAAAAGTAGTAATACTAAAAGTGAAACATAAATTGAAAATAACAATAAAAATAATGCCTATTATAAAACTACATCTAGCCACCTTCAAACCCTCTGGGCCAGGCACAGTGGCTCACACCTGTAATCTCAGCACTTTGGGAGGCCAAGGTGGGCGAATCACCTGAGGTCAGGAGTTTGAGACCAGCCTGGCCAACATGGCAAAACCCCATCTCTACTAAAAACACAAAAATTGGACAGGTATGGTGGCGCATGCCTGTAGTCCCAGCTACTCGGGGGGCTGAGGCAGGAGAATCACTTGAATCCAGGAGGCGGAGGTTGCAGTGAGCCAAGATCACACCATTACACTCCAGCTTGGGAGACAGAGGGACACTCCATCTCAAAAGCAGCAACTGCAAAACAACAACGACAAAAATCCCTCTGGATTTGCCAGACTACAATGAAAAGAATTAAAGCACTTTATACAAATGCATAAAGCTATACCAAACCAACCAATTTCTCCTGTGAGACAAGAAAATTGACTTTCTTTTTTTTTCTTCGAGACAGGGTCTCATTCTGTCACCCAGGCTGGAGTGCAGTGGCACAATCATGGCTCACTATAGCCTTGAAGTCCTGGGCTCAAGTAATCTATTTAACATTTCTAAAGTCATGGATGTTTGGAATCTATTGGGAAATATTGCATCTTCATAATGAATGTAATGATTTCTATTCTAGAACAGCAGATAATGGATAATGCAAAAACCACTTGTATTTCCTTTAATGTACATTTTGTTATTTTTGTAGCAACAGATTTACCTTCCTATTGACTGTTGCTTATTCAAACTAGTGAATCGGTTTGTTTGCCCTGAGTGCAAACCAATGGAGCAAGTCGGGGAGTGTTCGAACATTCAGAAGTACGAATGTGCCGGGTGACAATAAACACATACTTCCTGCAGAGATTAGTTAGTGCAGAAGACTGGACTTGGTATTCTTTGGAGACACTGAAGAAGTCCCAGCCCTCATGGAATTAATGGTCTAGTCATAGAGACAGACTATGCACATATAAAATACCTTACATTTTTGAGGCAACACGTTAAGAAAAAGAAAAAAAGATAAAATATGAAATATAAGCACAAAAGCTTTAAGTATATGCAAAGAATAGAATGATTAGAACGAAGATATAACTAGTAGGTGAAGATTTTTGAATCAACTTTATATGACACCTTCCTAAGATGAAAAGCTTATGAAAGATAATTCCTAACACCTAGTCTAAGTTGAATAAAGATTGCCACTTGATTTTTTTTGTGTGTTAAATATACCAAGAGACGTACATGGTCCTCCATCAGAGGAGTTACAAAGTGAACTCCGCTTTTTCCTTTAGCAAGCAGAAAAGACTTTCAATAGTTCTTGGTTTCTCTTTGTGAAATAAATATTCCAATGCTTTTCTTAGACATTGAAGACTAAAAATGCCATATGTAAATTGCCTTTCATTCTACACACATTTGAATTTACTTGAGCAGAGGAGCACGGATATAAAAAATCTTAATTTAATATGCGTTTTAGGATAAATAGCTATTAATTCTATTATATTACATCAAATAAGAAGTTGGATGACTTATGGCCAGAGATGGAAATGTCATTATATAATGACACACAAATAAAATGGAAACTTACAATATAAAATAAGTTCCTTTAACTGCAGAAGAAACTGAACATATCATAGTGTTTTTCAATATAGAGTGGCTTTCACTTCATCTTTGCACATAGAAGTTCAGAAATTAACTACTGTAACAGCCAGCTGCTTTTTTTTTTTTTTTTGCTGTGAGCCTGTCTCTCAACCCAGTCATTGCAAATTCTGTTATATTTTCTATTATAAATGTCTTCAAATCCCAAACTTTGTAATCCTGGCATGATTCATAATGACCAGATAGCTGTAAAAGAAATCCCACAGGATACATTTCTGTCTCCTGAATTTCCACTCAGCTCTTTTTTTTAATATCTGTGCAAGATAGAGAGGTGGATCTAACTCATTATTACAGTGCAGCCTCAGCGTAAGGATCTCATATCATGAGAATACTCATCTGATTTCACTGGCTGTTAATGGAAACAGTCACAAGTGAGCAGTGGAGAAGGGTCAACCCAAGGGTGTAAGCTGACCTCCACACCCTTTAAAAAAACATGCACACAC
The DNA here is from genome assembly GCF_000001405.40 of Homo sapiens. Lineage (NCBI taxonomy): Eukaryota > Metazoa > Chordata > Mammalia > Primates > Hominidae > Homo > Homo sapiens. Next base: position 57,132,165 of record NC_000014.9, read on the forward strand.
ACACATACACACACACACACATACACATGCCATCCCTCCCTCACTCCAGCTCCACTTTTGCCCTTTTAACATATTGGATATTTGTGTACTATTTCCTTTGAACAAAGTATTCCACCACTTAAGGATATATATATATAAAAGACAGATATATTTATAAATATTTTAGATATATATAAATATATATATATATTTTAGACAGATATAAATATGTACTTTTAGACATATATAAATATATATTTTAGGCAGATATATATAAATATATATATATTTTAGACAGATATATTTTAGACAGATATATATAAATATATATTTTAGACAGATATATAAATACATATTTTAGACAGATATATAAATACATATATTTTTTAGACAGATATATGTATAAATATATATATTTTTAGGCATATATAAAAATATGTATATTTTAGACAGATATATAAATATATATACTTTAGACAGATATATATATAAATATATATATATTTTAGACAGATATATGTATTTTAGACAGATATAAATATATATATTTTAGACACTATATGTATTTTAGACAGATATATAAAAAATATATATTTTAGAAAAGATATATATATATTTTACACAGATATACATATGTATATATTTTAGACAGATATATATATTTGTGTGTATATATATATATGTGTGTATATTATAGACAGAGTTTCGCTCTTGTTGCCCAGGCTGGAGTGCAATGGTGCGATCTTGGCTCACTGCAACCTCTGCCTCCTGGGTTTAAGCGATTCTCCTGCCTCAGCCTCCCAAGTAGCTGGAATTACAGGCACGAGCCACCACACCCAGCTAATTTGTTGTATTTAGTAGAGACAGGGTTTCACCATGTTGGTCAGCTGATCTCGAACTCCTGACCTTAGGTGATCCACCCACCTCAACGTCCCAAAGTACTGGGATTAAAGGCATGTGCCACTGCACCTGGCCAAGAAAATAGTTTTTAAAACCATTGCTCTGAAAGATGGGGTATAATGACTTAGAAGCATCCTAACTTAAAACCACTGCATTTCAAGTCAAATGTGGCTGGCAATGGTGGCTCACACCTGTAATTCCAGCACTTTGGGAGGCCGAGGTGGGCAGATCACTTGAGTCCAGGAGCTCAAGACCAGCCTGGGCAATATGGCGAAACCTCGTCTCTACTAAAAATACAAAAATTAGCCAGGTGTAGTGGTGTGTGCGTATAGACCTAGCTACACAGGAGGCTGAGGCAGGAGGATCGCTTGAGCCCAGAAGGTTGAGGCTGCAGGGCACCGAGATCAAGCCACTGCATTCCAGCCTGGGCAACAGAGCAAGACCCTGTCTGAAAAAAAAAAAAAAGTTAGGCAGAAAAATACTGTATATGAAATGAGAGCAATATAAATTAGGAATTGGTGGTTTATCAAGTAAAATGCAAAACAAATGAAATTAAAGGGTGGTGTTTAGTGGGTCACAAATCTTAATCTTTATTTCTGAAAAAGAAGAAAGGCAATCAAGGGACTCCACTTACAACTTAATTTGTCTAAATCAAAATTGTTTGAATGAATTTAAGAATATGAAAGCGTAAAATTGTCACCTCATCAAACTTATTTGTACTTTCCAGGATTGTACCCTTGTGCACATGTAAACCTACCACAATGAGCTCAGTCCAGTTTTCTAAGCGTTGTCTCCATCAAGCATCGTGTTTCGTTTTTGAGGCTCACTCTGATTGGATGTTGCCGCAGTACCAGTTCTCTTAGGAGAAGACCCTTGTCAAAGGCAGACACACAGATTAACTTGAAAATACTGAAACCTTTCATTCTAAGCATTGTACAGAAATTGAATTCAGCAGAAGAACTTTGAAACAATCTATTTTTTTACCCAAAATGTTTGTGATATTTAATAAAAATAACTAATAGAGCATTACAGTTCCAAAGGGCTCTATCATTAGCCATTAGCTCATTTGATCCTCCCATCAGATGGACAGACACCATTATATTACAAACTGAAACTAGGAGAAGAAGGAGGTTAATTTGACAGAAACTCAGATTTTCTGACCCCAAATCTCCCAAAGGGAACAAGCTCACCTCTGATTTAAAGTTCCACATACTTTGATTCAAGAACAGTATTATAATTTTGATATCTTATTAACTCTATGGGCAAAACTTCCCCTCTCTCAATGTATTTATTTGACTTGCTTTCCGTGGAGTGAAAGGTGGAAGGGAGAAGGAGACAAAAGAGAGCATTTTGCTGGGAATGTAGATAAATATGACAAGTGTGTTCCTAAGTCCATGAAAATGTTCACCAGTTCCTCCCATTATTTATTAGAAATGGAGTCAGTTGGGTATGTATATATAAGAATAAGGCAAGCTGAAAGCATCAAAATGTTTTCAAAATTCAATATAAGGACTTGGAGGCCTGGTGTGGTTTGGCTTCATGTCTCCACCCAAATTTCATGTTGAATTGTAATCCCCAATGTTGGGGGAAGAATCTGGTGGGAGGTGATTTGATCATGGGGGTGGATTTCCCCTTTTCTCTTCTCATAATAGTGAGTGAGTTCTCACAAGATCTGGTTGTTTGAAAGTGTGTAGCACTTCCTCTTCACTCTCTCTCTCCTGTCAGCCATGTGAATATGTGCCTGCTTCCCCTTCGCTTTCCACCGTGATTGTAAGTTTTCTGAGGCCTCCCCAGAAGCAGAAGCCTGTACAGCCCACAGAACCATAAGCTAATTAAAACCTCTTTTCTTAAAAATTACCCAGTCTCAGGTATGTATGTATAGCAGTGTGAGAATGGACTAATACGGTGCCCAAATGCTATTGCAGAATTATGGCAATTAAGTCCTTAAAAGCCATCTTATTTCATTGACAGTGAGCAATGATGTATCTGAGCCGATTTATGTGACTGAGGAAAAAAACATCTCAATTTATACTTATAATGGATATTTTGACTACATTGGCTCATATTTTCTAATCAGTCACTAACCAGGCAAATTCAATGAATCAAGTTACTAATATGTAGTAATAGCCAATGGTGTGTGACATCATACACAACTAGTTTAAAAACAAAAGAACTTAGAAATTAAAAATTATAATATTCAATTTAGAGCGTAGGAATAAATTTTATTAGTTTACTTTTTAAAATTATTTTGAAAATGTGACACATTACATGGTAATAGAAAAAATTCAAACAGTACAAAAATATACACAGTAAAATCTTGGTCTCCCACCTCCCATCACTGGGCTCCCATTCCTAGAGGTAACTGCCTGTTAGGTGCTTCTTGTTCATTCTTCGAGAATGAATCATATGCATAGATGTATATTTTCTTTTTATTTACACAAATATGATAGCATGCTGTACACATTATTCTACACCTTGCATTTTGCCCTTAATATGTCTTGGAGGTTAGCCCATGTCTATACATATGGAACCAACTCACTCTTTTTAACCAGTTGCATAGTAGTATTTGTATGGCTGCACTATCAATAAAAAAAAAATATGCTCTATGGATGGGCCATAGGTTATTCTTTAGACTTTTGCTGTAGTGAACTTGAAAAAAATACTGTAATGAATATGCTTCAACATGTGTCTTTATACACATATATATTCGTAAGATAAATTCCTAAAATAAATATTTTACTCGTAGCATGTTGTTTATCTGACAATTTCTAACATTACTTAATTATTTCAACTAAAAGCTACTCCAAAAAGATTTACATTCAGAAAGAAAGGAATGAGGAGGAAGTGTTAATCTTATCTTCCTTCACAAGGACAACATAGAAATGAAAGCCTTTTCCAAGAAATGTAGTTGTTTGGTTTTGGGGTTTTTTCATGGGCAATGTTGGAAGGTCACAAAGAAGAATGGGATAATTTCTATCATTTGAGGCCTAGTCACTCATTAAGACCTCTGGGAGAAAGGCTATCAGAACAGTAATCCACAAAGCTTCTTTCTTCCTTAAGGTTTTATCTCTCTCACCACCTCTAATGCATGCTGGCACAAAGTGGCTGAAATGATATATGCTATAATACATATATAGAGAGATTTCTTTTCCAAATCACAAACAGTGGTCTGTGCAGAGAAAAACTTCCTCATCCAGATATGAGACTTCTTATTCCTCAAGGGTCTCCCTGAGCCCTGAAAAAAGATAAGAAGAAATTAGACATATCTGACACTTCTCCATCTTAGGAAGCAATTTTGCAGGCAGAACCAAACTTTCCCAGTAACATTCCACTGCCATTGTAAAACTCTCCCAGCTTAGCTGAAAATTCCCCAGATTTTAAGGTGTTCAAATAAAGGAAGGGTCTGGGTGAGAATAATGTTTGCATGAGATAAAATGTAAAACCCCATCTATTCTTTCTTTTCACATACACAAAAAAATTAAAATTACCTAGCATATTTTTCTAGCCAACTGCCAAAAACCTGAGATGGAGCTTTTTGTCTTGCTCTCGACTACTGATGCTGGCTTCCTTCGAGGCAATTCAGGACAGCATCTGCCTAACCTCATGTTTCACTGAAATACAGGTTCTGAAAAGCAGCCTGAAGATGACATTCTGGGAAGAAGAACGATGTTGCATGCGGCGGGGGAGGGATGGGAGGCAGGAGAAAGGGAGGTGGCTGAGCGGTGTTAATGCAAATGTATTCCCTGGGCTTATTCACTGGCAAACTCAGTGGACACCCAGCCATTTGAATCTGGGCCAGCGAGTTTGGCTCCTCTTCTGCTGGCAGAGCACGAGCCCAGCACAGCATCCTGCTGCTGTTGGCATGTAGACAGCTGTCTTTCTTCATCTCACTCTCCCCACCACCGCGGCACACTCAACAGGTGTTGCCAGGGACACAGTGTGTTTGGCAGCTGTCAACTTTCAATAATCATCTCTGTAGCATATCCCTTTCTGTTCTCTCACCCCAGTTCTTCCCTCGCTCCCCACCCTCTTAAAAACCCCAGCACCATTTGGGCCTTTGCAAAGTGCAGAGTTAGGCAAAGATGCTGATCAAGGCTCAACGTGATCTGGATAGAGAAGCCCTGCCTGGGCCCCAGCCTAAGTGTGGCTGGGATTGCTACAAGATGCAGGCCTTTGGGATTGATCCAATTATTCTTTTTTACTCCCCCTTTTGAGGTAAACTGGTTTTGTTGTTTGGTTTTGCTTTTTATTTTATTTTTTTAATTAAGCCAATATTCCTGAAGGTTTAGTTTGCAGCCAAACACAATCTGTTGGTGATGCAGATTTTCACCTTGTGGAAATTGTATTAACCATCATCGTCATCATCATCCTCATCATCTGTATTTATGACATGCACCCAGGATATTTATATCTGTGTTCTTTTTTTCTTGCAGAGGGGTTAAATTTTTACTATTATTTTGTTTGACAAAGATAAATTGTATATGTTTATGGTGTATGTGATGTTTCAAAATATGTCTATATTGTGGGATGGCTAAATGAAGCTAATTAACTGTGTATTACCTCTGAGGTAAACTGCTAACCCGTTTTTTCCTGACCTTAAATCCTTCAATTTTTCATTAGTAATTTTGAATTCCAGCTCCTCCCCTTATAATCTGTGTGCTCTTAATCACATTCTTTAACTTTTTTCCGTGTGTGTCTTCCCCCCACCCCCCGCCCCTTTTTGTGGAGAACAAGGTTTTGCTACATTAGGGAGGTCTCAAACTCCTAGACTCAAGCCATCCTCCCACCTCTGCCTCCCTAAGTGCTAGGAGGTGTGAGCCACCATGCCTGGCCCATTCTTTAGCTTTTCAAGCCTCAATTTTCTTATCTGAAAAATGAAGACAATATGTGCCATCTATAGCAATGAGATAAAGTAGACAAAATACTTAACACTAAGTGCCCAGTATATGCTGATGATTCCCTTCCTCCCCCATCTCCTCTTGAGCTTCATCCTTAAAAGCCCCAGGCTTTAACTACTGCCCTTGAGCTCTCAAAGACATGAGGCCCTGCTCACGTTCAGCATGTGATGGACGCTTGAAATGGTCCTTGTCTGGGGCTCCTTCCGGTTCTGGTTCTTATCAAAGTCAGAGCCAAAAAATATGCTGGCCCCTGTAGGTCTGCAGGAGATGCCAAATAAATGTTTTCAAAAGGCAGGAATATACAGCTATTTATTACAGTCTTGTTTATAATTCTAAATATTGGAAACCCGTAAATGTTCATCAGTGAAGAAATGGAGGAGGAAATATTTATTTGATGGCACTCTATGCAGCAGGTGAAGTTAGTCAGCTAGACCATTTACTTAGGCACATGTATCCCTTACTATGTATGAGAAACTTCATAAATATTAACTCATTTCAACCTCTCAACAGCTCAGTGTGGTAGAGACCATTATTTTCATATTTGTTGATGAAGAAACTGAGACACAGAGAAGCCGAGCCCTTTGATGTGTACAACATGGGTAGGTCTCACAAACATGTTACCAGAGTAATACATGTGTCACAGAATTAATGTAAATTCCAAAAATCCACAAGAAAATATGTTATTCATGTATACCCATGTATAGTAAAATTATAAAAACAAGGACAGGAAGAATACACACCAAGTTCATGCTGTAGTTGCTTCAAATGAGGGGGAAGGAGGATGGGTCAGGAGAAAGCACGGAGAAGAACTCACTGCATCTGTAGAAGCCCATTTATTTTATTTATTTTTCGTTTGGTTGGTTTTTGTTTGTTTGTTTGAGATGGAGTCTCACTCTGTTACCCAGACTGGAGTGCAGTGGCACAATCTCAGCTCGTTGCAACCTCCACCTCCTGGGTCCAAGTGATTCTCCTGCCTCAGCCTCCTGAGTAGCTGGGATTACAGGCACTCACCACCATGCCCGGCTTATTTTTGTATCTTTAGTAGAGACAGAGTTTCACCATGTTGGCCAGGCTGGTCTCAAACTTCTGATCTCAACTGATTCGCCTGCCTTGGCCTCCCAAAGTGCTGGGATTACAGGCATCAGCCACTGCGCCTGGCTCCATTTATTTTATTTTTAAAAGGACATGTTAAAATGAGATAGTTCTGCATAACACAATACACTGTTTTTAAGTATACTTTTCTCTATACCTCTCTTTTTTTAAATTGTAAAACATAATACCCATACAGGAAAAGATAAACAATATATTTGTAATATTTATAAAACAGTTATTAAACAAACAGCATGTAACCACCATCCAGGTCAAGAAAGAGAATGTGAGTGGGGGCCCTTCCCCAGTCGTAACCTCCTTCTGCGCCACCCAGAAGCAAGCACGCAAGCGCCATCCTGAGTTCTGTGATGCTAATTGTCTCATTTCTCCCTAGAATTCCATCCTTTATGTCTTCATCCTAAACAATATAGTCCAGTTGTCCCAATTTCTGAACTGTAATAAGTAGGATCATATAGTATGTATACTTAAAAAATATTTTGTTGAGACAGGGTCTTTCTCCGTTGCCCAGGCTGGAGTGCAGTGGCACTATCATAGATCACTGCAAGCTTGAACTCCTGGCCTCGAGTGATCCTCCTACTTCAGCCTCCTGAGAAGCTGGGAACATGGGCACCTGCCCCCAGGTCCAGCTAATTTTTAAATTTTTTTGTAGAGATGGCATCTTGCTGTGTTGTCTAGGCTGGTCTTGAACCCCTAGGCTCAAGCAATTCACCCACCTTGACCTCTCAAAGTGCTGGAATTACAAGCATGAGCCACCAAAGGCAGCCCATGTAATATGCATGTGTGTATTCTTTGTGTTGTTTTTTTTGAGACAGGGTCTCACTCTGTCACCCAGGTTGGAGTGCAGTGAGGTGAACACAGCTCACTGCAGTCTCAACTTCCCGAGCTCAATTGATCCTCCCATCTCAGCCTCCTGAGTATCTGGAACTGCAGATGCACACCACCGTCCCCAACTAACTTTGTATTTTTTGCAGAAATGGGGTTTCACCATGTTCCCCAGGTTGGTCTTGAACTCATGGGCTCAAGCGATCCACCCTCAGCCTCCCAAAGTTCTGGGATTACAGGCAGGATACACTGTGCCTAGCCCATATGGTGTGTATGTGTGTATTCTTTTGTGTCTTTCTTTTGCTCAACATTGTATTTGTGAGATTTATCCGCATTGTTCCCTGCTCATTTTCATTGCCAAATAGATTTCACATTTAGTTATCCTTGCCTCTCTTCACTAACATTTAAGTTGATTGCTCTGTAATTTTCAAGCTTAAAAGAAAGGCAGATGTTTCCTCCAACAGATATCCAGGAATGAATATCTTCAGATGGCTCCTCAGCTCAGCTTTCAGAAATGATGAGAACAGCCTTAATTGTTTCGCCATGAAAAGAATTTGTGTTTGGACTTACCATTGATGTATTTTGTTTCTTATTCACTTCCCTTAGTCAACAGCTTGCTTTTCTCCGTTACTTTATTTGCCTGACACGGTTACACGGTGAAGCTGTAGTTCAGAAAGGGATCATCAAGGCTCTCATCTGATCCACGCCCTGTGTCTTACACATAAGGAAACACACGTTGTCTTGTGGCTCACTTTTAAATACATTTTAGTAGCTCTGAGACCTATAGACGGTAACTTGGCGATTGGAATAGGAGTTTTAAATGTTCTGTTGTCTCTGGCAGCTGGTTAATCGTATGTTTAAGAATAAAGTGTTGCCAGCATTTCTCTGCAGCGCAAATCTACTCCATATGAGACGAATACTGAGTGTCACAGAGATGTTGTCAAACGTCTAAATGAATTTTCCCCTCCTCATTATTAATCTCTGTACAGCATTGCATTTAAAAAACCACCCCAGGCCTCAGTAGTGAGGAGGGAAGAGCCCACAAAACAGTGTTATTCTCCCCAGCACATGCTAGTAATCAGGCCAAGCAGCAGAGACATTTCTGCATTGTAAGGACCTCGGTGATGCTGTAAAAGGCATCTTCCCACTCTCCAGTATTTCCATTAATATGTAAAAGCTTAAGCTTGCTAAAAGGATTATTGCACGTCCTATCTGATGGTAAACTGGCATTGCAATGATTACATGTATCTTTTTGTCATTTTCTCGTAAAACATCTTACTCTTCAAGAGTATAATTGGCCTCTTATTAATGTTAAAGATTAATTGGCATAAACGTAACACATTGCTTTAAATGAAAGTCATATTTGCAATCTTTAGGGTCTTGAATTCATGCTTTACAGCATGGCCATCATATATATATATATATAAATATATATAACATACACATATACATATAACATGTATAAATATATATAATATATAATACAGTCAGTCCTCTGTATCCGCAGGTTCCACATCTGCAGATTCAACCAACTCTGGTTCAAAAGTGTTCAGAAAAAGCAATAAAACATAACAATACAACAATGAAATAGTATAAATTTTAAAATACAGTATAACAACTATTTACATCGCATTTACATAGTATTAGACATTGTAAGTAAGCTAGACATGACTTAAAGTATACAGGAAGATGTGAGTAGGTTATATACAAACGCTATGCCATTTTGTGTAAGAGATGAACACCCATGGATTTTGGTATCCTTGGGTGTCCAGGAACTGAGGGACAGCTATATGTCATATGTTCTGGTAACAAGAAGCACAAATTCCACAAGAGGGTCATTAAGTGTGATAGTGGAAATGCCCTAACCTCCACCCTTACTTCTCAAATATTCTAGCTATTGGAGATAAAGTACCATATACCATCCCATGGTTCAGTACATATACCATTTCCCAGAAGACAGTGCCGCAACCATGCAAAGTATCCCCAGTTCAACCCACACCTTAGATGAACCTTCCAAAGACTCATCTACCGTTTAATCGCAGGCTACTTCTGTATTTCTGGGTGATGAAGCACACCATTATTCTTTGGTCATGAGTCTATTTTCATATCTCTTTTGCCAGAAAATGGGTCACTTGGCCTAAGACCATTTGTGGGAGAAATGATATGGATGGATCAGATGGTGATGATAGTGGAGGCCCTGCAGGAAGGCGAGGCAGACCAACATTCAAAGTATGTACTCATTACAATAAGGCTGAATTCCACCCCTCCCAGGTAAAGAGGTCAAATGCAGGTAACCTACCAACAAGTGGCTGGCTGGTTTCTCTGAGGAATAGTGCAGATGGAACACTCAGTGTCTGTCTCCATTGCTGGCAGTTTGGACTCAGCAGTGGCAGCAGCTAGGTGAGCTTTAATGAGACAGACCCATGTTATTGGGCCCAGGTACAACTTCAATCCCTTCTACAATGGCCACTGAATTCATGGGGACACTAAGCAAGCATGAAGATGGCTAGGGGAAAAGGCTAGTCGGCCTCTACTGGATGGGTAGACTCCTCAACTGTTTGTGAAGAGCCTCATCCACGGTAAGGTGCCCTCTGGATGATATTCACAAGGACTCAAAGGTACACACATTTTGTGCCACTCCCACAGGGTTTTCACATGCCTCTTACCCAGACTGACCTATTGCCAGTCTTCCAGTCCTGTTCCTTCTGGAGCACTCACTAGCCAACCAAACTATTTTCCATGGCCTGTGAGCCTATGTACATACCCCGAATATATGTCAGGTTACTCCTCCCCTGACACAGAGTGTAATTAGGAGGCCATAACTAATACTCATCATCCCCTTCTTCTACCACCCATTTCGAATTCCCTTCACCTTTCTGTTAATCTAGGCACACCTCACCCCTCACCAATTCTGCTGCCCTAGGCAGCTTGTCTGGTGAAGTGATCCCGACTCTCATCTTTAAGGCTATAACTACTGTATTTGTCCATTTATTGTTAAAATTAGGCATAGAAGCATCCAGAGCCAGGGCCGGGCAGGGGGCTCATGCCTATAATCCAGCACTTTGGGAGACCAAGGTGGGTATACCGCTTGATCCCAGGAATTCAAGACCAGCCTGGGCAACATCGGCTGACCCCCCCTCCCCACCAACCGTCTCTACAAAAAATATAAAAAAATTAGCTGGGCATGGTGGGGCACGCCTGTGGTCTCGGCTACTTGGGAGGCTGAAGTGGGAGGATCACCTGATCATGCTGAGATCATGCCATTGCACTCCAGCCCGGGTGATGGAGTGAGACCCCACCTCAGAAAAAAAAAAAAAAATCCAGAGCCACACCAGTGGTTATACTGAGCACCAACCACATTCTTCCCTTGCCCCATTGTGTGCAACAGTGCTACCTGCTCCTGCTAATTAGCTATCTCATAGCTTCCTGAAAGTTAGACCTCCCTTGGTATGACTCTGGCCTTACTGCTAATTTCAGTAAGTGCATCTCCCTTGCTTCTGATGTTTAAGCACTGCTAACCAAAACTGCATTGCTTGCAGAGAGCCCAGTTCTGTAGTAGCATCTCCACCATCATCCCGGACCCAAGCTGGGTAAGAGGATAGTCACCACTTTGTATCTCAAGGATGCTGGTGCCCCTTATCTTCCTGCAGAAGGTAACATAAATATGGTAGTGGGAGTTTTCAAACTTATGTAGTGTATCCATTTCAGCATTCTCCCTTGTTTATGTCCTTCGGTTCTTTCCTCTACCACCTACCATGGCAGCTCTGGTTCTTCTTCACTTAGTGTGGCCATCAAGCTTCCAAGAAGCTTCCAGGAGCTCTCATTAGCACCAGCTCTGGGGTTCTTGACAGGCTATTAAATCCTGAATCACAAAAAGATTACTACCATTTCAATAAACTATCTATTTTTCAACTTTGTGTTCTATCCCCTTGATTTAGCACTCTCAGGAACCAATCCCAAGTGTACTCTCCAAGCCATATCTCCTGTATTTAGTCTCCCTTCCTTAGCTGGCCTAGCTCACTGCAACCTCCACCCCCTGGGCCTAAGTGATTCTATGCTGAGATTTGATCTTTATTATTGGTATGGTTATAGGAGGGGAAGTTGGGGGAGGGGTAGGTGGGCAGGTAAGAGAGAGATAAGCTTGGTCTTTAAAGGCACCTGCATGATCTAAGTTTTCATCATGCCCTTCAATAAAGGGGTTCCATTATCTTCTGACAAAAAGGAGGGAGCCCTCCTGTCGATCCAGTGGTTTCAGGGAATTTGGGAGTTGAAGGTTTTCATATACATACACCCAGACCGTCCCGTCCCAAATCATGGAGCTCCACACTGACTTTGACTGGAAGTTTCACTGCTTTTATGATTAAGTCTGGAACCTGGTCCTCCATTCTGTCTGGACTTTGGCTGCAAGACATTAGGGTCCCCTTAAATGCTACCAAGCAGGCCCTCTGGCTTTCATATTTTGCTTTGAATTGGTCATTAATTGCTCAAGCCTGACATTTTCTCTTCAACTAATCAATAACACTCCACAGTAGCCACACAACTCCACTGTCCTCGTAAGATAATTTCTCTCATGCCTTCTAGGCAATAGAGATACTACACCTGACAGTGCATCCCCACCCACTGTCTCCCTTCCCAGTTCACCACTGGCGAAATTTTTTTAAATTGCATTGTGACAGCATATTGGGGCTAACCATACTTCACCTGTTATCAATGACGGTATTCTCATTGCCAGGTGGCTGGCGAATGATTCAGCCCCCAAATCTCATATTAGAATCTGGTTCTTAGGACACGTGTGGAACCAATTGTCTTCCATTGTGTTCCCTGGAAACAGTCTGTGATGAAAAGCTGCATGTGGAAGACCTGTTGGGAGTGCTTTCAGGAGATGCACCTGAGGGAAATTAAGAGGGCAGAGTTGGTGAGGATGACGCTGACTCACAATGCAGTTGTCACTGAGGCCTCAGTTAATTCAACACAGAGCTCTAGAACCAATATGGCACTTCAGAGTTGCACAAAATTAAGGCAAGAGGGACAGGCCTTTGTACATCCACATCTTCCAGTTATCAGCCTCAGACCAATACCTAGTGAACTGTATGAGGCATTTTCCAGGGAAAGACACATCTGTGGGCTGTTAACCAATATTCTCAATTGGGCCTGGAAAGAGGATCTGGGCAGAGCACCAGGGTACCCATTATACCCAGTTCAGAGTTACCGCTTGGTCTCTGCCCTTCCCCAGTCCCATTATCCCTATTTGACAGTAAAGAATTCAATGTCATGGCAGTATTCCCCAGTCTGAGCCTCAGCTTACACAATACAGCTACTACCAAGTTTGTCAAAGATGTGACTGTCCCACTAACCAGTGCATTTATTTTTACCAAAATGAAAAGTGTTCTCTGGACTCTGCTAGGGTATATAGTCAGGTGACAGGCTGTGAGTTTGTACATCATAAATCTATTCTAACATTCTCACACCCTTGAGCTTTCTGACCCCTTCTTGCATGCCAAGGGAGTTCTGATACCTTCACATTATTTCAGAAGCCATCTTGAAATTCAAGTGTTAAAGAATTATCCTGGGCCGGGCGCGGTGGCTCACGCCTGTAATCCCAGCACTTTGGGAGGCCGAGGCAGGCGGATCACGAGATCAGGAGATCGAGACCATCCTGGCTAACACGGTGAAACCCCGTCTTTACTAAAAATACAAAAAATTAGCCGGGCGAGGTGGCGGGCGACTGTAGTCCCAGCTACTCGAGAGGCTGAGGTGGGAGAATGGCGTAAACCCGGGGGGCGGAGCCTGCAGTGAGCGGAGATTGCGCCACTGCACTCCAGCCTGGGCGACAAAGTGAGACTCTGTTTCAAAAAAAAAAAAAAAAAAAAAAGAACTAACCCAGCAAACTCTTAGACTAGCTCCATACGTACTTGACACAATATTGAGCCCAGATCCATGGGTGAGTATCACCATGTGAATGAATGTAGCCTTATATTTCACCTTATATTCACAAGCTCTCAAGGTTTTTTCCACTTGTGTTCCCCTCTCCCCCTTTCCTGCCACTATAAAATAGCCAGATCTTATGATTCCTATGCAGATCTTATAGGAACTAAGCTACTAGGGAGTTATCGAGACTAAGGAGAAAGCACAGTCACTGGAATCGGGAATAAGGTGGGGATGTGTTCATAAGAAAAAGGTAGAGAAGCAGAAGCTGAATTATAGCTAGATTTTACTATTGAGAGAGGAAACACAAACTATGTTACCACCCTGGGATAACCTTCTTTCAATGTTTGCAAAGGCTGCCTTCTAGTGAATGTTCTCATCAACCCTAGTCCTCCTAGTGTCTTCTCAGCAACATTACTGGGCAAAAGTCCATTTAGTGTGAATCGAACACAAAATCAGAGCTGGTCTAGCAACAACAGTGATTTCAGATGCTGGGCTAGAGTACCTTAATTTTCCTTAACTCAGAATTGGATTGGTTCCAGAGCCAAAGGACAGACTAAGTTAGAGGTGGGTAGCTCAGACATGTAGAGGCATAATACAGCGTAGTTTAAAGCCTGGGACAGGAAATAAGGTAGAGCCTCAATTCATTTCTCAGCTTTACTACTTAGCAGTTGAATATCCTTGGGAAATTTACTGAGCTTCTTCAAGTTTCACTTAACTATACTCATTTGTGGACTGGGGATGATAACACTTATTTCAATGGGTTACAGTAAGATCTAAATGAAATATTACCTGTGGAGTACTTAGAATCACACTCACTACAGAACTACAGCTCAATCAGTAGTAGTTGTAGCAGCAGTAGTAGTTGTTGTTCTTACTATTAGTGGTGAGGACAGAAGATGTTGGAAGCAGAGAATCAAGCTATTAATTTATAAAGAGGGCAAAGAGAACTGTAATCTCTGACCTAATAACAGGGAAATTCACAGGCCAATTCCTAGAAAATTAGGGAAAGGTTCTAAATGCCCCAGAGACCTGATAGCTCCCTAGCAGAAGGCAGCATGGAGCAGAGGGGTGAGCACACTACACCAAATGACAGATTTCAAGAATCCCAGAAAAGCAACTTCAACTTCAATTGTTGCCTATATATTTTAAGATATATGCAAAATTGGCAAGGGGTAGATGAAACAGGTAATTTAATACACAATTAGAATGTAAATTGATATAATCCATTGGAAAACAGCTGGGTAATCTATTAAGAGTCTTAAAATGCTCATGACCCAATAAATACATTTCTCATAATCTAGCCTAAGGAAATAATCCCAAATATGAAAAAAAAATCTCTATATGTAAAATTTAATTTCCTCATATTTATAATATATTATTTATAATAGAAAAAATCTAAAGGAAACTAAATATTCAAAATGAGGAAATAGTTAAGTAAATAATAATCAAAGTATATGTAATATTATACATGCCTTTAATGTTATGTGTACCAAGTGCTTATAATATTGAAATATACTTCTCATGTTAAATTAAAATTGGTGCATACATGCCACAACTATGTAAAACAGAAACAAAAACTTTAGTCAGAAAAAATACTGAGAGGAAAATCCACATGTCCTGTAAATCTTCCTAGGCCTACTAGATGCATGGCTAATTGAATTGATGTAGGTGAAGGACTTGATGCCTTAAAACAGAGTGGAAAATGGATCTCTTCTCTTGCCCAGCACTAAATGATAGATGGTGGCAGCATAGAGAACAGTCTGAGAAAGGTTTCTAAGGCCCTGCGGCTGGGCTCTGCTGGAAAGAGGATCAAGATTCACTGATAATGTCTATCATGAGCAAATTAGGGGACAGTAACAGCGATTGTTTGGAATATTTGACATCCTTATATGACTCATCTTTTAGATAATTACAGTGTAAGAAATTTGGGTAACTGCATGAAACTATTGTAGAGGAGATTCCCTCCCCTGAGAAGAAAGTAGAAGTACATGACCTCAGAGGTTCCTTCCAACCCGGAGAGTTGTCAGTCGAAGTATTTCAGAGCCTCACAGGATTAGCAAGGAAGATGTTTTGTGGGGACTGGGAACCAAAATGAAGTTTCAGAGCCCCTCAAAAGTCATAACACAGCTGCTTACTTCATAGATATCATCCACAAACAGAACAGCATGATTATTGATTTATCACTCAGTCCATCATCCCAAAAGAAAAGTAGACAAAAGCCATTTCACACAACAGTTCTGAAGAAGCAATTTGCTTGTAGAGATTATGCCTGGAGTCTCCCTACCAAATCGCAGACATGTATATATATGAGGTTTCCTGGCCTCCTGACTGGGTAGTAATCATCTTGTATACTTGACCCAACCTGAGAATTTCTGAAAGTAAAACATAGAGCCCTCCAGCATCATTCAAATTCTTCACATGTCAATGATATTCTCAGCACTCTAGCCAGCATTGAGTTACTCAATCGAGTATAAATTTTTCCCTCCACATTCAGTCAAAGGCTGTTCTTCAAAGGAAATTGTCGAAAGCTGCCATCATGTTTGGTTTGTAATGCAATGGCAACACTAAACAGCCCAACATGCTCCTCTCACTAGGTCTTCATGTCATGGTGGAATCAACACGTGTTTGGGTTCCAAGCAAAAGCTGGCCTGTGGCAGCTTGCATGGGAAGTGAGGCTCACCCCAGCAGGTAAAACATAACAAACAAATGTGGCTTAAAATAATTAGTACCCACGCAGAGCAATCCCTGCAGAGTGTTTTCCTAGACTAGTTGCTTGAAGCCTTCTTTTAGATAAAGAAATGGGCTGATGGGCAGGGAGAGGAGGCTTGAGATACAAGGCAAGAAAGGAAGCTGGAATTTTCAGACATAAAGCAGCGCTAAGAAAAGCAAAAGTTGGCCTCAAGGCCCCAGGCACCCTGAAAGGCCATAGGAAGTCAAAAGTTCCTCTGAATAATTGAAATGTTTTCACTCCATCTGAATGTCTTTTAGTGGTCCAACCACCTTCAATTTTCATAAAAAATTTTGTTTTATTTGCTAGTATTCTCCAACTGGGGAAGCTTGCTGTGATCCTTCTCTTTTAAAGCCAGCATTTATTTTGACACTAAGGATAAATAAAATATTGGCAAAAGTTTCCCCAGGCCAGGAGCTCTTGGGGGATTTTAACTTTTGCCCGTTGAGTGTATTTGCCAGAAACATTTGGATGGGTGGGATGGGCATGGCAGCCAAAAGTATTTTTGGCTCACAAGAGATTTTAACCAAGAGCTGTCGGGCTCAAACACATTCAAAATCCAAACAGTGGAGTGCAAGCACATCTGGAGAATTGTCATAATCCACGTATCTTAAATTTATAGAAAATACTTATTGGAAGAGCAATGATGCAAGTTTAATTTTAGGTTCCCCAGAAAAGAAGATTTCAAGGCCTTATTTTTGCTTTCTTATTTATAAAATAGGTATCTTTGGAAGAAGGAGTGTTATTCCTTCACACATCTCAACCTGGATCTGTTTATGAGTATGTTGGAAACTGTTTTCTCTGCTTTCAAACATACTTATTAAATAAAAACAGAATTAATCTAGGTCTCCCTTTTCATTTAACAGAGCTTGGGAGCCCCGATATCCATTCAATTAATTAATTGTGGAAGAAGAGTCCAAATAGACATTTCTAAAAGCTCTTCAGCATGATGAGTAGAGGAAGATAAGCATTTCATTAGTGCAATGACCACTTGCATGTAATTCTTTGATGTGCCCTAGATACGCAACTCTAAAGGTAATTACAAGGGCATACTTGGGAGATCGTTTCCAGCTGTCATAAATAGAAATGGCTCTTATGAGTTTTTTATTCTAATAACTTAATTCAAATATATTCCCACTAAATTGACTCCATCTTCACAGAAGAAAATATTTAGAAGCCAATTAGCAACAATTATGTGTCAGATAATTTTTTTGAACTACTCCACTGCCCAGAGGTTAAAATATTCAGAATTTCATGTTCCAAAATTTGCTCTTGTGAAATTCCTTCTATAATAACAGAAACTTTCATAAAACTTAGAAGAGTGGAGAATATTTAAGCCCACTCTCCGTTTCAGTTCATTTGATGCTCGTTTTCACTGTGTTGTCTCCCACAACAAAATTTTGAACACCTGCAATAATGAGCAGCATAATACACTGCCTGAAAGAGCTGCTCTATTTTAGAGAGTTGGAAATTTTAGCAAATTTTTACACAGGCATCCCTCAGTATCTGCAGGGTATTGTTATTTTTCATTGACTTTACCCCAATATTTTTTTTTTTGAGACGGAGTCTCACTCTGTCACCCAGGCTGGAGTGCAGTGGCGTGATCTTGGCTCACTGCAATGTCTGCCTCCCAGGTTCAAGCGATTCTCTTGCCTCAGCCTCCCGAGTAGCTGGGGCTACAGGCATGTCCCACCACGTCCGGCTAATTTTTTGTTTGTTTGTTTTCTTTTTTTTTTTTTTTTTTGGATTTTTAGTAGAGACAGGGTTTCATCATGTTAGCCAGGATGGTTTCGATCTCCTGACCTCGTGATCCGCCCATCTCGGCCTTCCAAAGTGCTGGGATTACAGGCATGAGCCACCGCACCCGGCCTCCCCCAATATTTTTGATCCATGGTTGGTTGAATTCCCAGATGTGGAACCCATGGATACAAAGGACCAACTGCATATTAATTTCCTGGGGCTGCTATAACAAAGTGCCACAAGCTGTGTGACTGACAACAGCCGAAATGTATTGTCTCACAGTTCTGGAGGCTACAAGTCAAAAATCAAAGCGCTGGCAGGGCCATGCTTCCTCTGAGATCTGGGCCGA
This sequence comes from Homo sapiens, assembly GCF_000001405.40. NCBI lineage: Eukaryota > Metazoa > Chordata > Mammalia > Primates > Hominidae > Homo > Homo sapiens. Next base: position 57,150,619 of record NC_000014.9, read on the forward strand.
ATCCTTCCTTGCCCCTCCCTAGCTTCTGGTGGTGGCTGTCAATCATCATTGCTCCTTGACTTGCTGCTGCATTGGTACAGTCTCTCCCTCCATCATTTCATGGCTGCCTTCACATCGTCATCCCTCTGTGAGGAACCTGCAGATATGAAGGGTCAACTGTATATATTAATTCCAAACCTTCTTCCCTGTAATTTCCACCAATTCATCTACGCACTGTCTTCTGGAATCATAGTAAATGAACCTATTGAAATTCCCTTTTCCCAGAATAATCATCCAATATCTTCAACCTTTCCTCATAGTTTCTCTTTTCAAGAAGACCCCATATTCCCATCATTCTTTTTTGGGGGTTCAAACCCCAGCTTCTCCACTCACTTAGCTGGCTAACCTGGCAAGATACCCAGGGCGATTTTAGGTAACAGATTGCTCACTAAGTTTTTCAAGTGGGACCTCTAATACCAACAATGTACAGGGTTGTCATGAGGATTAAATAAGGTATCATAGGTAGGATATGCTCAATGTTTATTTTCCCTTCCCATTTTAAAGTGAGGCACCCCTAGCCAAATGAGATAAGATATAGTGTTCACAGCACCATCCTTCTTTTAACATAATAATGTGTCAATGTTTTAAATGTGAGTTTGTGTTTTCTGTAGCTATGTCACACTGGTGACTATAATGTTGTGTGTTACGAATGGAATTGTGTCCCCTTCCAAGGGTATACCCTTGTCGAAGCTCTAACACCCAATGTGACTGATTTTGAGATAGGACCTATGAGGATGATTAAGTTTAAATGAGGTCATAAGGGTAGGGCCCTAACTTAATAGGATTGGTGCCTTTATAAGGAGAGGAAGAGAGACCAGAGCTTTCTCTCTCTCTGCATGTGCATAATGCACCCAGGAAGAAAGTGTGGCCCTCTGCAAGCCAGGAAGAGAGCGACTACCAGAAACCAAATTTTCTGGCCCCCTGATTGTAGACTTCTAGCCTCCAGAACTGTGAGAAAATAAGTGTCTGCTGTTTAAGTCATCTAGTCTGTGGTATTTGGTTATGGCAGAGTGAGCAGGCTGATTCAGAGTGTGGTACTGTGAAGTATGGGGACTGCTATAACAAAACCCTAAAAATATGGAAGTGGTTTTGGAACTGGGTTATGGGAATATGCCAAAGAGTTTTGAGGTGGTGTTAGAAAAAGGCTAGATTGCCCTGAAGGGATTATCGGTAAAAAAAAAAATAGATAGATAGATAGATAGATAGATAGATAGATAGATAGATAGATGATAGATAGATAGATAGATGCTAAAGGTGATATTACAGGCCTCTGATGAGGCCTCAGAAAGAAAAGAGGAGAGCTATAGGAAAATCCTCTGTTATCTTAGAAAGTACAGCTGACCCCCGAATAACATGTTTTATTTGTTTGTGTCCACTTCTATGCAGATATTCTTCTGCCTCTGCCGCTCCTGAGACAGTAAGACCAACCCCTCCTCTTCCTCCTCCTCCACAGCCTACTCAGTGTGAAGATGATGAGGATGAAAACCTTTATGATGATCCACTTCCACTTCATGAATGAATTCCAGTTAATGATTTTCTTAATAACATTTTCTTTTCTCTACATCACTTTATTGTAAGAATACAAGTATATAATACATTTAACTTATTATTAACTTAAATATGTGTCAATCAACGGTTTATGTTATTGGTAAGGCTTCTGGTCAACAGTAGGCTATTAGTAAAGTTTTGGGAGAGTGAAAAGTTATACAGAGTTTTGACTACATGGTGGGGGGAGGGTCAGTGCCCCAACCCCTGCATTGTTCAAGGTTCATTCAACTTTACATATATCATTGTGAACAGGATGTTGGTACAAATATGGATGTTAAAGGCCATTCTGGTGAGGTCTCAGACCAAAATGAAAAATAGGTTATTGGAAACTGAGAAAAGGTGATTGTTGTTATAAAGCGTTAAAGAACTTGGCTGAAATGTGTTCTAACATAGGGGTCCCCAATCCCTGGGCTGCACACTGGTACCAGTCCGTGGCCTATTAGGAACCAGGCCGCACAGCAGGAGGTGAGTGGCGGGCAAGTAAGCATTGCTACCTGAGCTCTGCCTCTTGCCAGATCAGCACTGGTGTTAGATTCTCATAGGAGCACAGAGCCTATTGTGACCTGTGCATGTGAGGAATCTAGCTTGTACACTCCTTATGAGAATCTAATGAGTGCCTGATGATTTGAGGTGAAACAGTTTCATCCCAAACCCTTCCCATCCCCTCAGTCTGTGGAAAAAGTGTCTTCATGAACCTGGTTTCTGGTGCCAAAAACGTCGGGGACTGTTGTTCTAGGGTTTTTAGGGAGGTAGAACTTGTGGGTGATGAAATTGATATTTAACTAAGATGTCTCAGCAAAGTGTTGAAGGAGCAGCATGGTTTCCCCTTATCACTTACAGTAAAATATGAGAGGGGAGAGATACATTGAAGGAATTGTTAAGCAAAAAGAAATCAGACTTGGAGATTTGGAAAATTCTCAGCATCCCCATATTGAAAAAAAAAAATGGAGAACTTCTGAAGAGAAGATAACTTTTGAAGAGAACATTGTAAGTGAGGCTGAGCAACCCTTTGATAGGAAATTGGTTTGGATGTGAAGCACGGATTTAATCAGTCATCGCAGCAAAAGCCAGAGATGTAGATGGGGTGATACCAGCAGAAACAATGCAAGCTGAGACTAAAGCAGACAGAGAGAAAAAAAGGATGGAATGAAGGAAGGCTGTTGGACTTCTGGAATTCTACAGGATGAGACAATAAAGCTCTTTGGGTTTTGTTTTGAGACAGAGTCTTGCTCTGTCACCCAGGCTGGAATGCAGTGGCGCAATCTCAGCTCACTGTAACCTCTGCCTCCCTCCCAGGTTCAAGCAATTTTCCTGCCTCCGCCTCCCAGGAATTACAAGAGTGTGCCACCACACCAAGCTAATTTTTGTATTTTTAATATAGACAGGATTTCACCATGTTGGCTAGGCTGATCTCGAACTACTGACCTCAAGTGATCCACCTGCCTTGGTCTCCCAAAGTGCCGGGATTACAGGCATGAGCCACCGTGCCTGGCCAATAAAGCCATTTAACAGCAAACATGCTTTATTCTTCAAGAAAAGAGAGAAATGACCCCAAAAGTGATCCAGACATCATCAAGGCTGCCACTGTCACCACAGGCCCATGGGGCAGGAGTGCTTCCTCCATGGTTTCAGAGGGTGAGGCCCCTCCATTTCAGCAGGCCAGACGGCCCTCACAGAAAGCCTCAGGGGTGGGAGCAGAACCACTGCCTGGGGCCATGGGGGTGATGCCACTGTCCCAGTGGCCTGGAAGGCAGAGTATCCAGCCAGAGAGGATTGTTCTCCAGCCCGAATATCTAATGAGATTTGCCTTCCTAAATTTTAGACTTGCTTGGGACCTGTCATCCTTTCCTTCTTTTCAATTTCTCCCTTTTAGAATGCAAATGGCCATCTTCTAACTATTCTACCATTGTATTAAAAAGCACACAACTTACCTGGTTTCACAGGTTTACCTCTGGAGAGAAATAGTGCCTCAGGATTGATCATACCTCAAGTCTCACCCATAACTGATTTAGATGATCTCTGGATAACATTTTGGACTTGGAATTGATGTCAGAATGGGTTAAGACTTTGGGGGCTGTTGGGATAAGGTGGCTGTATTTTGCATGGGAGCAGGACATGAATTTTGTGGGACTAGAAGTGGAATATTGTGAACTAAATTATGTCCCCCCAAAATTCATAGGTTGAAGTCCTATCCCCCAATGTGACTGTATTTTGGGATAGGTTCTACACAAAAGTAATTAAGATTAAATAAAGACATTAGAGTTGGGCCATAATCCAATAGGATTTCTATTCTTATAAAAAGAAGCTCTCTTTTTCTCTTTCTCTCTACATGTGCACAAAGGAAAGGCCATGTGAAGATGCAACAAGAAGTTGGCCATCTGCAAGCCAAGAGAATAGCCCTTGCCAGAAACCAAACTCTCCAACACCTTCATGGTGGACTTCTAGAACTGTGAGAAAATAAATGTCTGTCATTTAAGTCACCCAGTCTGTGATTTTTTATGACAAGCCAAGCAGACTAAATACATTGTGCCTATTGTCAAACAAAATCCCTATGTTTTACTTTATATGCTGCTGTTAAGACATGTCTACGTAACATATTTAATGCAATGTAAGAGTTAAAGAGAGACTTGCTCTTTGTGAATGCAAGTGCTCAACACTACCTTTTTAATGACTCACAAATAATTCTTTCAACCACCTGTAATAGAATCTTACCCAGTGCCTATGTCAGCTCATCAGATTACAGTTGGTAGAATCATACTCTTACTAAAAATGGAACCAAATTTGCTCATCTCCAGGCTTCTGGAACCTATCCATTCTCCTACCTTTTTTCCTCAATAATAATAATAGCACCCATCACTAGGCATGATGCTAAGTGTTCTGATGGATTAATCTCCCTCAACAACCTTATAAGGTAGGGGCTATTCTTATCATCCACATTTTATAGGTGAAACAACTCAGGTTGTTGTAAAGATTAAGTAACTTGGCCAAGGCTGCATGGCTATTAGTGGCACGGTCCAGGTTTGAACTAGCTATTGAACCTTGACTAAGTTATTTGTCCTCTCCATGCTACATTTTTCTTATCAATAAAACAAAGATAATGATAGTACTTACCACATAGGGCTATCACAAGGATTAAATGACATAATACAGGTGAAATGCTTAGAACTCATACACTGTCCTACGCATCACCAAATTCAGGCCAGCCTAGGATAGAACTGTCAGCTCCATGAGGGCAGGGAGCTGTTTCTGTCTTATTCACTTCTACGTCTCTGTTCCTCATGTAGTATCTGACACACAACAGTCATTCAATGGATATTTGTTGAATGAGCTAAAGGCAGGTACCACTTAGTTCAAAGCTGTGGGAAAAAAAGGTCAAGAATAGGAAGATGTTGGAGGAGTCTTTTATCTCCAACTACAATACCTCTAGTTTTTCACATTTCTTGTTTTCATTATACAGCCTGAGGTTTTTCCTGAGAAATTCTCCCTCCCCTGGGAGGAGCAGTAAGTGTCCCAGTTGTGTACTTCTATGGCTTCCCAGACTTCCTTATCAACATACCACACTTGCCTACTTTTGTCTTTCCTGTTGAACTGTAAATACCAGGAGGATGAGGATCCTACTCAGCCTACTCACCAAAGGATCCCCAGTGCTCTGCGCATGAAAGTTGAACAATAAATACTTACAAAAGAAAGAAATGAAGGAGGGATGGAGGAGCAGGAGGGGAAAGGAACCTAAAGAAGGAAGGAGGGAAGGAGGGAAATAACAAAGAGTTTCTGGGAATTTTGTCCAGCAGGTAGGGCACTATGGTGGGAAAAGCAAGGAAGGAAACGACTTAGAAAACCGAGCAATTGACATAGAATTCATCTAGGCTGGTGGACTTGAACTTATTGCAAACAGCCACCTATTCTTTTATACTCACCTCAGTATTATGGGCCTCAGCTCATCATTGACAATATTTGATCTCAATTTTCAACCTGACGATGAGCAACTTACCTTATACTGAATACACCAAAAACACACATGTGGCATGATGACTAATGATGCAACACAGGAGGCAAGCTCTGGCATCCACGAGAAAAGTCCTATAGGACTGCAGAGATGGGAAAGATGGCTATATGGTAGTGGGGTCAGGGAGTCTCCACCAAGGAGAGAGCCCAAGAAGAGGTCATGACAAAGAGTGAGCAAAGATGAGAAGACTGGAACCTTCACTGTCAGCCTCATAGAGGAAGACACCTGAGGACACCTTGGTGATTATGAAAATGAAATAATATTGATAATGGCTAACATTGGGCACTTACTTTGAGCCAAGAATAGTGCTAAGTGTTTATCAACATATTAACTTCCATTAATGTATATTATAACTATATATACACATATAATTTCATGTGTGTATATATCAATAATATATACATTATAGATATATCAGGTATAATATATATCAGTTATATATATTATACACAGTTATTATTATGACCATTTTACAAGAACAAACCATTTCACAGAGGGGTGAGGTAATTTGCCTAGGAGCACTTGGTGGATAAATCCTTCAGCCAGGATATGGAGCCTGATAGTCTGGTAGACAATGAGTACACAGGTTGTCCTGGAAGAGTGCAGACTCTGTAGCCAGATATGTCACAAAATAAAAAACTAGCAGGGCATGGTGGCTCACTTCTATAATCCCAGCTACTTGGGCGGCTGAGGTTGGAGGATTGCTTGAGCCCAAGGGTTTGAGGCTGCAGTGAGCTGTGAATGTGCCACTGCACTCCAGCTCTGGGAGAGAGAGGTGGACCTCATCTCTAAACAAACAAACAAACTAGAAACGTCAAGCCCTCGGGGCTTATATTGAAAAGCTGGGAGAAGCAGGAAAAGCTGCTTCCACAAAATGAGGATAAGAGGTAGTGGGTAAAAGAGATCAACGTTTACTGCATGTCCACCTGACCTTACACCCCATGTTCCTTCTGCTAAACTGACACAGAGATAGAACTACTTACTCAAATTTCCCTCCTTCTCTCCCAGTTAAGGGAATTTTCCAGTTGTGTGTGCATTTGTCTAGAGAGGGTAACACACAATGAAACTGATGTCCAATTGTGGAGGTACCTGGAGGCATTGTCCCATCACCCCATCTAGCAGAACTGGCAATGCCTTGGATGTGTGCAATGAGAATTTTTAAAGACCAGGCTTCTTTTTGCCTTGAATCCCTTTGGCTGGTCATAGCCCTGTTCTACAGCACAGGTCACGCTCTCTTCTCATTTAATAAATTCATGAATGTAACCAGACAGAGGAACCTATCTAGATAGGCTCAACTTTTTGGGTAGGATTCATCTTCAAAACATGTGAAGTTTGTGGAATAGTGACATGGAGTTTTGTTCAGCCTGAACAAGGATCTGAATTGGATGCTGTGACATGCCAGCCCATATCCTCCTTCAGCCCTGAAGAACCTTTTCTCCCAGCTGCTGGGGGTGTTGTTGGCACAGTGCCCTTGGCTGTCAGCCTCTCTGGGAAGATCCTGGCTGAAGAGAGCTTCTCCACAAAGGACACCTCATATCAAATTGATTGATGTGTTGTTCATAGGTCCTGGCCCATCTAAGCACCACTCTGAAGAACCATCTTCACTCCAGAGCTCCTAGGAGGTCACCTGAGCCATTGATGGAGACTGTGTCACAGCCTAACTTCTCCCACTTGCCCAGTCCTCACCCTCCCCTTTCCACCGTTGTTGATCCCCAAAACACTCCTAATAAACATGCCGTGTGTTCATCTCCATTTCAGAGTCTGCTCCTCAGAGGACCTTACTTGTGACAGGATCTGATCGAATTATCTTTATAGAAGATATGTTTTAGCTGCCTCTCCACTCCCCCAGCCTAGGAAGAGTGGGTTTTAGAAGAAATATTTGACAACTGGGGTAGGGAGGGGGGACCTAGTTGCTGGCTTACCCCGTTAGAAATAGATCTCATTTTGCTTTTTCCCCATATCTCTGGTTCTGATGCCTGTTCATTCTATTGCATTGTGAGTTGTTGAAGGACAGGGGCATCTCTTAGACATCTTTGTGGTACCCATGGTGGCTAGCAGAGATCAGAAGTGCTCAACATCAGACTCAGTACCCATGTGTCCTCTCCCCTCACTAAATTCCAAAGGCATTCATGTCATTCCTGCCACTTTCCATCGGTTCCTCATAAACAAGGTAGAGGCTAAGGTGATTTGGTAGTAAATCATGTCAGAATAATTTATATATGCCTTTAATAACTAGACCTAGACTTTCTGTGCTACTGTTTAGATGTCTTGGGACAGAGATCAGGTGTACTGAGCTGAATGATGTCCCTAAACAGATATGTCCACATCCAAATCCCTGGCACCTGTGAATCTTACCTTACTAAGATTGAAAAAGAGATCTTTGCAGGTGTAATTAAGCTAAAGATCTTGAGAGGAGATCATACTAGATTACCAAAGTGGGCCCTAAATCCAATAAGTATTCCTGTAAGAAATGGAAGAGAAAACACAGAAAGGCAGAAGAGGAGGCAGTGAGTGACCACGTCAACAGAGATGGGAGTGATACAGCTGTAAGCCACAGAATGCCTGGAGCCACGGAAGCTGGGAGAGGCAAGGAACAGAATCTCACCTAGAGCTTTTAAAGAAAGCACGGCCCTGCTGCCCCCTTGATTTCAGACATCTAGCCTCCAGAATTGAGAAACAATGTTTCTGTTAGAAAGAATAAGTTTCTATACCATCCAATTTGTGGTCATTTACACAGAAGCTCTAGGAAACATTAGGTCTGGAGAGTTAGAGAATCCAGAGTGAGTTCCACCTATACTACGAGATTCATATGTTGGGACTTGAATTTCTACTCTGACACCCCCCAGACACTACCCTGTGCCTCTCCCATTGCAGAACAGACCTCTGCAATGTTCATAGGTGTATGAACATTGTATGTATGTTCATAGGTGTATGAACATTGTATGTATGTTCATAGGTAGGATACTGAGATTGCCCAGAAGTCTGCAGTAGTGACTCTGGGCCTTGTGCTCAGCACTGGCCATTCCAGGGCCTGGAGAAGGCCATAGCCCCAAACACACCAGAGGAAGGAGATGGAGCCTCGTTTGAGCAACTTTCCAAACATTTAACAAAGATGTCCTTGAATTCATGATCCAGCTGCTCAAAAAACTCTCAAGCAAATGCAGTATTATTAGATAACACAGGATTTGCTGGAGTAGAAAGGAATTTTTAGCAATCATAAAATAACTTTCATTTTAGATGAGAAAACGAAGGCGGCAATGTTTTAATGTGACCTATGGTCGTAGTCAGAGGCGGAGTCTGAAGTCGAATTCAGGACATTCTTCTACTATGCCATACTAATGTACATTCTTAGAACATCTCTCTTTTTGGTTGTTCTAACATTTTTAAATTATCAAAGAGAATTGCTTATCTATGTATTTTAAATGAGGTATATAAAAGTCAAGTATTAGTCCTAATTTTAAAAATAGCTGTGTTTTGGACAGATATTTAGAATTCCAAACCAGCTTGCATCCTGGTGACATTCAGCTAGATGGAAATAGAAGCAAACAAACAAAAGGAAAGCTTAGAGAACTGACCTCCCAGCTGCACGGAAAAATGGCTTTGAGGCAGTTCACCCCAGCTAGGAAGAGCTGCGGTGAAACAGCGTGTCTACACCATACACATACATATTCAGACGCTTTGTCAAAAAAGCCCAGTGCTAGAGCATTTCAATTAACAAAGTGGGATGGTTTACCTGATAAAATGCTCCCTGTGTGAGTGTAATTACATATTTATACCCCACAGAGATTTTTTAATTTCTGTTTGGTTTGTTTGCCTTGAATGTGTTTGTCACTGGGAGTGTTCTTGATGTGCAATTTTAAAGCAGTGTTGGCCAACTGTGTGGCTTGTTTTCATTTTAGATTCATTACAGTTTGAAGATGATGCTTTTCCCCCTGTATACACACAATATTGATACTTCCACAAGAAGACAATACATCAAGGGACAGGAAAAGCATTAAAGGAAATCTGTCAAGTACCTGTTTTTTGGTTCTCCCCTAGTTGCTTTCTCTTGTTTGACTCAACTGGAGGCTACTAATTGAATCTGAAATGCTTGAAAACATGTTTTCTTTTTTTGCAAGTCTGCTTGTTTCTCATCTTCTGCACATAAAACTTTTCCTTCGCTTCACCTCCCCCTCATCAATATAGCAAATAAAGCTGGAGAAACAGAGGTCGTTTCTGTGGTTCTTCACCCTGTCCTTCCCTGATGAGTACACAGACACGTGGTTATACATTGCTGATTAATTGGGGCTGCTTTCATTCCATCAGTAAGCCTCCGTGTCCCTGCTATGTCCTGGATACCACTGTCTAGCTTTGGGTATGCAGAGATAAGTTGTAGCCCCTGATCTCATGGAGCTTGTGTGCCAGCAGAGAAGCCAGGCATGGAGAGAAGCACTTACAGTCTAGCAAGGCAAGTGCTGTAAGCGAGGTGTACCTGAGGCATGGGGGGAGGCACTGTGGAGGTGGAAATCAATTCGGCCCAAGGCAGGCTTTATGGAGGAAGAGGTGGCTCTGGAGGTGGATCTTAAAGAGATCACTCACACACTTGAGAACTCATCAGTTGCTCAGACCAGAGATAAAGCCCTGAATAAGACCACAGTAAATGCTAAGATTTACTATATTAAACCTGTAGACTTACAGATCACCTACAGAACATGCAGCAAAGTTTGATGACCACTATTCTCCTTCCACCCTGGGTTACACAATTTGTCTTCATGTCAGATAATCAGATCTTAGCTGATCTTTCCCATTGTTCTGCCTCAGACTGCAACACACTCCAATGCATTCTTCACAATTGCCAATCAGATAGTGTTGGGCCATGATCAGAATCCTTCATCAGGACTGCCCGGAGAATAAACTCTCCAGATAGATTCTCCTCCCTCTCTGCCCCATGCTCTGGGCACCAAATGACTTAGAAGTCCCTATTTCAATTTTCTGTGCTTTGCACAGCCATTTCTACCTGAATGTCCTTCCCTCCATGAGATGTTTTTCACCTGTTTGCTCTTTGGTGTGCCTGCCAACGCTGTCCCCCAAAGCAGACTTGCTGGGTTCTTCCTTCCAGCCACCGTGATGCCTTGTAATCAAACTTGTCTTAGTTGGCTCAGGTTGCTATCGCAAATGTGTCATAGACTATGTGGCTTAAACAACAAACATTTATTTTTTATAGTTCTGGAGTTTGGAAATCCTGAGATTAAGATGCCAGCAGATTCACTGTCACTCATGATCCATTGCTCACTTTAGGGCTTCATTTTAGGAATGTGATTGAGTAGAAATTAAATATCCACATTTATTCTCTTCAAATGTTCTATTTCCCTAACACAATTGTAAAGCTTAGAAAACTACAGCCCTCCAGAAATGAAAGTCCACATTCTGTACGTGTGCATTTCTTTCATATTTTCACTGGCTCTAGGTGTAGGATTTTCCCCCACTGACTCCAATTTAAGGAAATGTTCAGTGGTCCCCTGGCTATTGTGAAAAATCGACTTAAGGTCTGTCCTATTGGTACGCAGGCAGTGACGTCATTTTACCTGGTAATGTATGAAGTTCAAATGCTTGGGAAGTTTGCCGTATAAATCAATAAATAATAATAGTAATTGCGTATTTATCCACTAGGCCACCTGGAATATAGTCGTGTGATTTTACTCAGCATTCAGGGAAATGCAAGGTTTTCATTTTCTCTCTCTTTTTGGAAGGAAGCATACTGCTGAGACTATTAGAGAAAATGCAAATCTCCTGGCTGTTTGGGAAAGCTCCAAAAGAGTGAAAGTGAGCAGTTGTTACCAGCAGTGTTTGGATGAAAATGTAAACTCTTTGTCTTTAAAAGTGTTTATTTAACTGCGGAGAGTTTACACAGCTTGTGGAGAATTACAGTGGAAGAAATTACATTTCATTTCCACCATCATCAGTTTTCTCCACCTGCCAAAGGTCCCCACTTCAGTCTGCTGGGGCATTAGTAATGCTTAAAATGATCACAAAGAAATACCAACATTTGCTGTTAAGATGGGGAAGAATGCAGTGGGCTCAAAATGAGGAATTTGCATGCCTCCTGGCCCCCACACACTCAGAATAATTTCTTCTAAAATAAGTTTTCCTATCAGATTTATGTTCTGCTTTCTCCTCACCCTGTTGCTAATGAGTAGGACAGAGAAAGTTGCTAAAACCACTGACCCCTTGGCAAACACAGGACTCTGTTCCTTATAAATGCTCCATAAATATGTGTTGAGTAAATATTTTTAAAGTGAATGATTACATGCATTAGCAATCAATTAATGATTACTGATTAATTAATGGATTTATTTATGTTCTTTTTGAGAGGGAAGATATTCCATTTGAGGCAGAGGTAAGGTAGGGAATGTTCAGATTTCCTGTCTCCTCCTACCTAAACTCTTTCCCTACTTTCTGCCAACCCTAAACATGGGTGCCACAAGTAGACACCGATTAATAATGGGTGAGCTGACGATCACCAGAATGGCCTCCCTGTTTTGAGTTTCTAGAATCTAAGTCATAATGCCCACATTAACACTTTGTTCTTCTCATATTAACATAGAAATTGTAAATCTCAGAAAAGCGTATCTTCTCCTTATCCTATTGAGAGGATGATTTGGCCAAAAGGAAACATGCAATCATATCACATCAGGTTTTCAAATTGCAATGAGTGAGGCCTCTGATGGTTCCTAAACCAGATGGTCAATTCATGTGGGGAAGCTTTTTTTTTTAAATAATAATAACAAAAAACAACAACAACAACTCATAATTCTTGGGGCTATCTTCAAAAATCTGATAAAGTGAGTCTTCATGAAACCTAGAGACCTATATTTTTAAAACTTGCCCAGATAATTCTTGTGATCAACCATGCCTGGGAATTGTTTCTTCACATTGCAACAGTGTGGTCCCTAGCAAACATTCAAACACGTGTGATATTTGGATGACAAATACAAAATGAAAGATATGGACATGTTACAAAGAATATATTTGGTTTCCTGTGGAGCAGATGCTTGGCCGACTAAAATGCCGATGATGAGATTCTTGATTTCATTCACCTTACGTTGATTATTCTGCAATGGCCTGGAAAATCACTGAGTTGTTTTGAAATAAGCACCTTTATACTCTATCAAGGTCAAACGTTTTACTTGATGTACTTAACTAACCATGTAAAATATTACATCAGCAAGCCTACGAGGCACTTGGAGATATATTCACATTTGCATAATGTCCTCTGTAAGTTAGTCTTTGGTCCTTAAGGGTGTTTAGAATAACTGCATGCAAGAATATATTTAATCCAATCTCATTTTAGCTTTTGCTCTTTTAAGATTTCAAAATTAATAAATCCTCCTGATACTCCAAATTACCATGAGCTTTTATAAGCATAACTTTGTAACTTTAACCCATTTATGAACATACCCCACAGGCAAATGTACTAATGAATAAGAAATAACATTAGAAGTTTAAAAGATGGTCTCTTTATGAAGTAATGTAAGAAAATCCTGTTAGCTGGATCCGGTACAAAAGTGCGATTTCTTAAAAAATACAAAATCCGTCACAAAATTACATGTAATTACAATAACCAAAGGATAGAAAGTAAGAATAGTTGAAGTACCATGCATTATTTAACTTAGTACATGTTATCACTTGCTTGCATATGGATGAAAGCACGGGAAAAAAGGAACTGACACAAACTCTCCGCCTGCAGCTAAAGAAATTGTGGTATTTTGTACCTGGCTTCCTTGTATGTGAATTCTTGGCCAAAACCATCAACACACCTGATAGGTAGAATATGCTTCAGGTTTCTTCAGTCATTACCTGCTGGCTGCTTCTCTTCTTCAACCCCCTTCTCACTGTCTACCTTATTCTAACGTTACACTACAAAATAAAGTCAGTGTTCAGAGCTGAAGAAAATGCTAAAATCCACTTGGTCAACAAACTAGGCCACTCCTTCAATACGGGCAACAAAATTACGAGCCATATCTTATTATCATAGGAACACTTACATGTGAATTTCTATTTTCCAAATTCTTTTGTGGTGTTTTTATTCCATTTGTTGGTGCTAAGTACCATATTGCAAAAAGGCCTCTCACACATGCCTCTGGTTCACTGAGTAGGACACCGTCGCATACAAGGGATAAATCACTTGCCCAATGTCACATGCTAGTGCTTGCCTGGGCAGAAAAGAGAATTTAGATTCACTGAGATGCTAATCTTACATGGTTCACTAAGAAGATGTCTGAAAAAAGGATGAAGTACTGCCTTAAAGCATTTGAAAGGAAGATTGTGAAGAGCAGGAAATGATATTATGTGATAAGCTGTGAACACGGAGAGTCTCGCATATGGGCCAGCGGAGTCTTCATGGCAGAATGTCTAGTATGTTATCTGCAGCTGAGGGCATGAAGAGAGGGTGGGGAAGCAGTGATGGGTGGGATGTTTCCAGATGGGAAAAGTGGGGCTGACTTCTGCAGGCCATTCCTGGAATGGGTGCTCTCCGATGTTGCTGATAATCTTCCTGGAAAGCTCCACAGCTTCAAAAGTTTCTATTCTTCCTGTGTTAAGTAGAACTGAAATGTGAGCAAAATCTTATGTTCAAAAATTAGATACAGACTTATGTTTATGATGAAAAATTAGGAATAACTTAAATAACCAACAAATGGAAAACAGTAAATGATGGTATATTTATGTGATAAAATATTTAATGTCATGGGCAAGAGCTTTTTCTATAATATTATATTAAAAAATATAAGTGTATCAAGTAAAATGATCCCCAGTGAAACACATTAAATTGTTAGCAATGATTTTATCTCTAAAGGGTAGTGTTAGGATAGGGTTTAGTTTTTTTTTTTTGTCATTTTTTATGTTTTTCAAATTCTTTATAATAAGCATGTATTACTTTATAATCAGAAACATAACTTTTTTTTTTTTTTTTTGAGACAGGATCTCACTCTTGCCTGGGCTGGAGTGCAGTAACACAATCACGGCTCACTATAGCCTCTATCTCCTGGGCTCAAGTGATCCTCCCATCTCAGCCTCTCAAGTAGTTAGCACCACAGGTGTACACCATCATGCCTTGCTAATTTTTATATTTTTTGTAGAGATGGGGTTTTGTCCTGTTGCCAAGGCTGGTTTCAAACTCCTGGCCTCAAGCGATCCTCCTGACTCAGCCTCCTGAAGTGTTGGGGTTACAGGCATGAGCCACCATCCTCTGGCCACATTTTTTTAAATTACTATACAAGATTCTTTCACACAGTTGGTGGAAGGATGAATTAGTAACATCGCTTAGTGTGCAAAGATATATGTAAGGATGTTTATTGTAGCATTAATTATAAAAATAACAAATTGGAGAAAACAAATGTCTACCAGCAAGGAAATGGATAAACAAATAATCACTATAAATATTATAATTATTATTATTAAATAGTTAACATTTATTGGTTTTTATTAAGTGCTGGACATAGTTCTAAGTACTTAAAGTGTCTTAATCTTTTTCAACTCCACCATAATTTTTTGAAATACATACTATTATTATCCTCATTTACAGATGAGATATTTCAGACATAATATTCATTACATCCAGCTTTTAAAGCTTGAGATTCTGATGCACTGGTATGGATGCCTATGATAAAGCAAATCACAAAGGACAATATTTCAGATAATTATCTTTTTTGTTTTTAAAAAATGTGTATACAAAAATGTAAGCATTTGTGCATTTAAACAGGTCTGAATAAACAAATCAGATTCTTGATAGGGCCTTCTGGTAAATAAGTGTAGAAGTGATGAAGAGAGTTTTACATGTTAGTTCATATAGTTCTCAATGTTTTATATTGATTCTTGTAATTAAAATATTATGTTTTTAAAAGAACGATGGCTGGGCGATGCCTGTAATCCCAGAACTTTGGGAGGCTGAGGGGGGCAGATTACTTGAGGTCAGGAGTTCGAGAAAAGCCTGGCCAACATGGCAAAAACCCATCTCTACTAAAAATACAAAAATTAGCCAGACATGGTGGCAGCCGCCTGTGATTCCAGCTACTCAGGAGGCTGAGGCAGAAGAAACGCTTGAACCCGGGAGGCTGGAGGTTGCAGTGAGCCAAGATTGAGCTGCTGCACTCCAGCCTGGACAACAGAGTGAGACTCCATTTCAAAAAAAAGAAAAAGGAAAAGAAAATTACACTATCTTTAGACAACTAATATTGAGGAAAACAAAATGCAAACCAGCTAGCAGAATTCACAAACTACCAAACAGAACTTGAGTGTGCAAACCACAGAATGGTTGATATTATCTTAGCCAAGATTACATGGATAAAAATAGTAGGGGCACACTTGAGCATAGTTACTCAGAGAATGAGAACTACAAGTTTGGGGGCACAAAGGAAACGGCTTAGTTAAGCAAAGGGTATATATTAGGAAACCAGCAAAATGAACTTGGTAAGGTAATATAGTCTGTTAATGCAGGCCCCTGAATAGCAGGTTCACAATGTGGGGCTTCATCCAGTAAGAGGTAGATAACTACTGTAAGTTCTAAGGCAAAGAAATAACATGTAGGACACAGAATATTTTCAAATTCATCTTACAGGCAATTCAGATGGATTAGCAAGAGACAAATCCATAGGTAGTTAGGGCTAGCTCAAAATCAAGGCATAAAATAAGACAGATCCACTACTAAGGCAGAGACTTGGGGAATGGAGAGGAAGAGCCATCTCAGAACAGCTCCACCCTTAGCCCAAGCAAGAAGGCCCCCATCTGGGATCCAAGGTTTTAGAAGCCTCCACGTATTGCAAAAATTCCAACGATTAAATTTAGTTAATTTAATAAGGAACACATGGACATGTCTTTCTGGGTTGAATGTTCTCTAAAAATCCACTCTGTAGGCCTCGGGGAAGTGCTTTTCCACCCTTCTTGTCCTATTCCCTTAAGGTGAATGAAATGCAGTGATGTTCAGACATCAACCATGAAGGTTTGCAGTTTGCGCTTCTGTCTACATTAGAAACATACTGCTTTGCAGTACAAGAGGGCCTGAGCAGCAGAAGTGCTTGGGATCAAGAAAATGCAGTCACTTCCTCTCCATATAGAAGACACAGATTTTTGCATAGCAAAATATTTTTCTTAGCAGCTTTGAGCATCCATTTTCATGCTTCTCTTTATGTTTCCATCCATGGTTTCAAAGTCCTCATGATTAGTTAGAGCTGAGGAATATTTTGTAATATTAAATAATTTATATTACTCTCACATTTGAGGATCTAGATATAACATCTATGTAATACACTAAAGATTCTGTGCACAGTTTCATTTTTACAAAATTATTTAATAAAATTTTTAGAAAATTAAATAAAAATTCAATTAACCTGCCAGTTTTATCTAAATAATTTTGCTTTAAAATGTTTATTTTTATTAGTTGTATTTTAGCTTTTAACTTTAATAGGTAAACTTAAAAACCTTTTTTGAAAACACATTGAAAAATAATTTTTATTTTTGGTAAAAAATCTTAATTTGTCAATGTTTATCTCAAGTTATACTTTTTCTGAAAATACATTCAAATGTATTCTTGAATACGACTACATTTTATTTTTAATCTTTCAGGTAGTTCCTATTAATACAAGTGGCATGAAAATCTTGATCATAACAACATAATTGATGATTTGACTGAAAAGAAGCCAAGAAAAATAAATTGTATTAAATTCACACATAACGACTTATGAAATATGTATATCTTTATTTTATCACTCATCTAAACAGTGCCAGCCCATCAACAGTCCCAGACATGTATAATTACAATTAAATTCTATTGCCTTTGACATTTGGCCAACTTTCAGGCATATGTAAATTATAGCTTTATCCAAACCATGTTATCATGAAGGTATTTTTCAAGGGAAAAAGGAATGTAATTTAGTCAATGGTTTGTAAGCTTGATTTTTTTATAACTTTCAAATATTTAGATATGGAGTATACATGCCACTATTATATTCTTGCCCTAGGTCTCTAAGATGACACAGGCAGTCCAGGATTAAAAAGAAATGTCTAATAAAGGATGTGGGAGCAAAGGAAATGGAGGCATTAAGGATAAAAAGATGAGTAATCTGGTGTCCCCACTGACAGGAGGAGGGAAGTTGGAGAGGGCAGCTTGAATCCACCCGTCCTTTTGTAAAGCCTGGTGAGTATGAGTGGTTGTAATCAGTCATAAACCTCAGGCATCAGCTGAGGAACCACAAACTCAGAATCAATAGTATCAGTCAGGAGTAGGAGGGTGAACTTGGCACCTTGGACCCACATCTGACCCAGCCCTGTGAGGACAGCAGCTATGGAGCAGTCCCTGAGCATGGTGACTGGAATGGACAGTACTCTGTTGGATGGAATCAGATTTCAGTATTTCTACTACGGACAATCCCAGAGTGGATTTTAGACTGAGATTTCAGAAATAGGTATTATTTCAGAATACCTAATCACATCATAAGCTTGCCAGAAGCAAATTTTATTAAATAAAATCTCTAGATCTTTTCTGTTACTGTTCTCTAAAAATCACTTCCTTCTCTCTCAACTGGCCTACACATCTGGGCATTGCCTCAGACTATGTGGTGCTCTGCTGATCTCATCTTCATGTTCCTTAGGCTTTGTGTTAAGGTTACCTTTTTCTTTTAGGTCATCTAACACTTTAAAGGACCAACCACTCTGTCTGCTCTGCCTCAGGCTACTTTTTCCTCCTTGTCACATTCACCACCCAGGTGGGCATTGCCAGTGGCAGCGGGGGCAGCACACTGACTCTTCTCATGGCCTAGTCTGACTGGTCTAACTCATCTCAGTCTCCTCTGGCTCAGCCCTACATGGAGCAGGTTTGAATATGACCCTAACAGATTTGAGTGAAGAACAGATGAGGATTTCAGTAAAGAGCCATGAGGAAGTCTACCCCCACCCTAACAGATGATTTCAGCTTTTCCTTCCTTTCAAATTCCTTCCCCTCCGCCTCAGCCACTACGACCACCTAAGGCATTAGGAATCTTCCGGGGTCAAAGCAGTGCTTTCCATAACTGACCCACACACAGTCTTTAAATAAGACTTACAGGCTGGGTGTGGTGGCTCACGCCTGTAATCCCAGCACTTTGGGAGGCCAAGGCGGACGAATCACCTGAGATCAGGAGTTAGAGATCAGCCTGGCCAACACAGTGAAACCCCATCTCTACTAAAAATACAAAAATTAGTTGAGTGTGGTGGTGCACGCCTGTAATCCCAGCTACTTGGGAGGCTGAAGTAGGAGAATCGCTTGAACCCAAGAGGTGGAGGTTGCAGTGAGCCAAGATCATGCCACTGTACTCCAGCCTGGAAAACAGAGCGAGAATCCATCTCAAAAAAAAAAAAAAAAACAGACTTTCAAAAGGTCTTTCAATACATTTGAAACTTTTGTAGACTGTTTTACTCATTCTATGAGGTTAAGATGTAGTGGCACTCACCCCTACCCACATTCAATTCATGCTATTTTTAAAATTCAGTTCAAGTCAATTAATCACGCATAGGATAGGACTTATTAACGTATTCCCAGTCTCCATTCACCACCAACGCCCCCACCCATCCACACACACATATCACCCCCTCACCAGCTAAGAGAATGTTGTCCATCTCTCCCCATTCTCTCATCCTCTAAGCACATTTTGGCATTTGCCAAACTAGCTTGGGCTGTTTGTGAGACAGAATATGAGGAATGAGTAGACAGAAAAAAGACCTGAGAAAGAGAAAAATGGGAAAAAATCTTGCTAGCTGAGCCACTTCCCTTGCTCTCCTTTGTTGTTAAAAACTGAGGTGATAGGTAAAGCTGAAAAGGAATTTAAAAAAAAAAAGGCCTGAGCTATTTACTCGGTCTACACAATAAAGAACAGACAAAAGGGGTAGAGGAGACAGAAAAAAATCAGCGTGAGGTGTCTAGAAGATTATTTCTGGGGTAGGATTTGTAAGTGAGAGTCTCCAGAACCACTGCAGCCTGTGAAGAAGTGAAAGGTGGAGAGGGGATTGTTGTCATTGGGAGATATAAAATATACCCCGAAAATGTTCTATAACTGACACAGTTACATTTCTAGTGGTTGCTGGACTTTTCAGAATATGACTCCACATAGACAGGGCTATTGGGCCTTAGTTTATATTTAAGTTACATAATTATATAAGCCTCTGGTTGGAAAGAAATGATGAAGTTTTATGAAATCCCACAGGGTGAAGTCTCTCCCAACAGAGAGAGAGCATAGAAATGTGTTCAGACAACAACGAAAATTTGAATTGGTCTAGAGATGGGTCCTCCACACTCAGGTAAACCCAGCATTTCCCACTGACAAGTTTTTCTTCATTTTTCCTCTTACCAATCTTTCAGAGCCAGCTTCAAATGTTTATTTTCTTACTTTTCCAAATGTAAAGATAGAGTTTCCAAATGGAAAGATAGAATTTCCAAATGGAGGCCTTTTCCTACATGAAAAATTTACTATAGAAAGTCTTCCAATATTCTATTTCTTGGCCTGGTGGTGGATCCACAGATTTTCTTTGTGATGGATCACTGAGCTAAATATTTTTTATTTTTGCATTTTTCTGATATGAGAAAAAAGTTAAAAGTTATTAAAAGCATGACTTTCTGCTGTGTTGTTCACTAATAACTGAAACTCAAAATGTTGGGAAAAGTGTAAAATTATCTTTTATTCTCTTTGATAGTCTCAGAGTTGGGGAACAGCTCCTAAATTTGGAAACATCTAGATTTGCACATTCACTATTCCTGTCTCACCCATTAAGAAAAGACTGACTTATTTAAAAGCTACTTTTTACACATTTAGAATCTAGGGAAATCCTGGAAATAATTTACCAAACACTACCCTGCTCCTCACTTTACTATTGAAATGTATTTACATTTTAAACATAACGCCATCTAGATGTTTGCTCATAATTCTGCCATGCTTATTGTTCCAAGAAATGTGGATTTCCATCCATCAGAGAGTTTGAAATCAGGTTCCAAAACAAGGAGCCTAACTCTGAACAAGAACCCATCATTTTTCATGAGGATATAATCCACCTCGAGAAGGAGCCACAGTTTAAGTATGCCAGATTTAGGGATAAAATCCCTTTGGGTCTGTGGAGAGGGTGGAAATTTTAATCAACTATTTTCTAGCTCATAGAATCCCATATGGTGTTGGGTCATTGTGAACATGGGAATGCTTTGACATTGCACATCGCTTTTGTTTCTCCCCCTAAAGTAAAGCCACAACATCCTCTGTTTGAGGAGCTGCATTGGGTGGAAGCTACTCCCAAGAGCCTGTTGATGTCTGCTGGCAAAGCTACCCGAGCAAGTCATGCGTGAGTAGTCTTCTTGCTAATGTTTTGGCATGTCATGATTATGCACTGCTAAGTCTTTGTCAGGAATAAACCTGTTGCCAATGTTTGTTGTTCATGCCTGTTGTTATTAATTTTCTTTCTTCCCCGCCCTTATGGCAATCACGCTCTATTGTAAAGGGGAAGGAGAAAAAGTAAGGAAGCTGAAGATTGCTGTCCTTCCCAACTGCTTGCAAAAGCACAGGGAGATGAAGTCTGGGAGAAGGAGAGGAGGGTGTATCAAATAACCTCCAGAAAGCAAGTTCATTGGCAGGAACTCCTAAGTCTAAAGCAGTTGTACTCTACCTTGGCTGCACATTGGAATCACCAGGGGAGGTTTTAAAAGGCTGATGTCTGGGCCCCTCCTCCATGTTTAAATGTGTCTGGAGATGGGCTAGAGCATCAGGACTTTGCTTAACTTCCCGAGATGATGCTGATGTGGAATCAAGATTGAGAACCACTGCTCTTAACTCAGTGAGCAATCCCTGCCAGGACCTACTCTTTCAATGGTTCCTTGTCTTCCATTCTGACTCATGGAATTATCCCCTTTCAGATGCCATAGGATCACGTGATATTAGAGCCATCCAAGATCTGCAAGATCGGTTCATCTTGCCCTCTCTTTTGAAGTAGCTATGATGTGCCACAAAGAACACTGGATCTGGGTCACTCTTCTGCCTCTTACTTAAATGAGCTATGACAAGTCCTGATGTCTCTCCCAGGCTCTTTTATCTAAGATACTGGACATTTGAGAAATTCAGTGGCCATTACAAAGGCATCAAATTCAGTTTTAGGCATATGGCAATGCATAGTTGGGCAGTAAATGATCCCTGTTTCTGTTTTTATAGATGGGCACACTATACCCCAAAGGAGTAATTGTCTGGAGCTCTTCCTATTATCACTGATGCTGTCAGCAGTTTCTTGCCCTAGTTCTGATTTTTTTGCTTTTGTTTTTTGGTGGTGTTGTTGTTGTTGTTGACAGAGTCTCCCTCTGTCATCCAGGCTGGAGTTCAGTGGTGTGATCTCGGCTCACTGCAGCCTCTGCCTCCCTGGTTCAAGCAATTTTCAAGCCTCAGCCTCTCAAGTAGCTGGGATTACAGGCATGCACCACCACACCCATTCAAATTTTGTGTTTTTAGTAGAGACAGGGTTTCACTATGTTGGCCAGGCTGGTCTCGAACTCCTGGCCTCAAGTGATCCACACGCCTTGGCCTCCCAAAGTGCTGGGATAACAGGCGTGAGCCACCACACCCGGCCTGTTTCTGTTTTTTAATTGGACCAAGTGAAAGCACATCATTTGAACTCTATCCATTGGTCATCTCTCATCCCCTTCTCCCATCACCATAGAAACACACATACCCACAAACTTGGTTCAAGAAGATTTATAATACAGGAGAAAACAGAAATGTTAATACTGCCTTGGGATTTCTAGGGCGGGGACTGCTCACCGACTCCCAGCTCTGAAAATATTTCCACTTTGGAGTCCCAGACAATTTATCTACACCTTCTCTGTTATCTCCTCCATCGACAAAATGGAAAAATTCCACCAGAGATTAATTCTTGCCTGCATGGCACTTTAAAGATTAAAATGCACTACATTAAAAAAGCCAAGTATAAACCATAGGGAGGAATAGACAAAATCACCAAGGGAAGAGGTAATAACAAGTGAATCAACCAGAAGGTAAGCCTTTACTAAAAATGAGCTACACGATTGCTATAAACTTAGATTTCCTGTCTTGATCCCTTGAGTATCTGTAGTTTGCCTGATTGAGACTTAACCGAAATCAAAATTCCAGGCAAAGATGTTGTGTTTATATAAAAGGAAAAGCCAGTTTTTTTAAATTAAAAAATCCAAGATAAGTTATTTCTTAGGTGAATATTGGGGCTCTCTCTTTCTCTTTCTTTATTTCTGTGTGTGTGTGTGTGTGTGTGTGTGTGTCTTTCTTTCATTTGTTGGGCCTCACACATTCAAACATGTCACAGTTGATGGCATCATAAGTCATGGATGGATACAGCTAAATGTCTACCTGTGAAAAGCTTTTCCTCTACTGCCAAAAATTTGAGAAAACACTATGAGGTACTAATATAGACTCTTGTCTATATTGGAATCACTGCATCTTTCCTGGAAGTCCTGCCCACCACAGGACCCAGAAGCTTTCCATGTATCTTTAAGCTGGAATGGACAAGTGCCACCAGGTGACACCAAACTGTGGCCAGGACCAGGATGGATGTAGACGGCACAGACCGTTGCATCTCCCAGATGGTTGGCTAGTTGGGCAACCTCACTCTAGTTATTTTATTAACATCAGATTTTAAGCCAGTGAATTTTCTGGATTATGGTTTTCTCATTATGGAGAGAGTTTTACTCTACTATTTCTTCTCAATTCTATACCATATTATTTTTAAATTTGTATGTTTTAACCCTCAACCAAATTGCAAGTCCACCGAGAGGAAGAATCATGCATTCTGTGGCTCTTGCATACCTCAAGCCCAAAGCATCTAGTGTGGTATGGATAAAGGAGAGATACTCAACAGCTGCGGGTTTCATTGCTTGTTGAAGCTTTAGTGCACTATGCAGTATCTCAACACAGATTTCTTTAACTGCCCCGAAATAAACCTGTCTGCCACAGACACTCCTCCCTGAAATATACCCCTATATACACAGGAGGCTCTTGCAGTTAGCTCTATTATTGGCCAGACGTTCAGAATACAAGTAGTATATTCCTTTATCAGAGAAGTAAACAAAAGTACAAAATATCTTTGTGATTCAATTGCTTGGTTATAAATACAGGCATCAACTTTTTCTGATTATCTGGTTTTCCACATAGCTATTTATGAAACCTCTATTTATTTTTCCTGTCTATGCTAAGGGACTAGGGAAATAGAACATCCCCCGCACCACACCCCCCCAACACACACACTAGTAGTGTGTCCTTCTCAGGGGGAGCCACCAGCATAAAAGTCTGGAATGTGCTTGGCTTTGCACCCATCACAGCAAGGCATTAGAAATATTGGATTTAGTGTTGTGCGTCCACAGATATAAAATTAGGCCGACAGAAGTCTGGATCTGGGCCTCGCTCCATACTGCTAACTTGTAGAGCACCAGTAGCCAAAAGGGTTTGGAACGGTTGCCTCTCTACAGATGCTGCCATTCATTTCTGTGGGAACAAGACCACTTACATCTAATTACAGTTTCTGCTTAAATTAACAGGACAGATATGACAGCAAAAACTTCTTCAGACTAACTGGTGGGGAGACCTTTAGCTGACACAGCTTATGAAGTAGTTGGCTTGCAGCAAAGCAATGTCAATTTTTAAAAGTAATTTAGAATTCATATGATTCCACCCAGCAATTTGTGGCAGCCAAATACTTGGGGTGGGGAGGTGGGGCGGTAGGTGGGCAGGCAGGCACACGCAGCCTTTTAGAAAGAAGAATAGACTATCTTACAGAGTAGATGATTTTAGAAAGATTGGGTTATTTTATATATTACCATTACACACTAATAAGTGGTGGAGCTGCCATTTGAACCCTGAGAGCTGGACGGCAGAGCTCTTGCTTTTAACCTTGACTGCCTCCAGGGATACCTCAACCCATAGCGCACGTTGAAAATGCCACTAACAAACAATTAAAGGAGATTCTGTGCTTAATACTGGTTTGATGACAGTTTTACTGGCGTTCATTCTGGCCAGTCCACTTTATTCTATGGAATCCAAGGTGAACTGGATCCCTCAGGAACCTACAAATCCCTAGAATGGGTCACTGCATAACCCTCAGGATAGTCATTATGAAAGCCTGCCTCCAGCCAGGAAATGGTGCCAGGGCACCTTTGCAAAGCGATATCCCAAAAGACATGAAATTCAGGGTTCACAGAATTTGCCTCTGAACTGCTCTCTTATCAGTATTATACCTTGTTCCATCTTCCTTCTTTCAGTTTGCTAAACCTCTCTTATCCATCTACCTAACTTGTCCATTTGATAGCCCTTACCAGACTCCAGTTCTTGCATTCATGACCTGGGCTCTGATTACCGTCTCTTTACTTTGATCAAACAACCAAGCAAACAACCACTTTGGCAGGGGGCAGTCTTAGCACGACAGATACCCACATGCTGCCCTGTGGACAGCTCTCACCTGGAGCCGACCAACTCTGGAATCAGACATATGGTGGATTTGGGATGTTTGTTTCACTTGGTGCCTAGAGAAGGACAAGGAGGGACCCAGTCTTGTTATTTGCGAATGTAGCTAACAAAAATAAAGTTTGCAAAAGTGATTATAGAGTTTCCAGCATATTAGACAGGTATATTTTCGAAGTATAGATAACTGTATACAATGGAGATATATACATAAACATGCACATATGTAATACATTTTTTATGAGAAACAAACCCCATTTAAAAGTTGTATTTTTAAACGAATCACTTAAAATTCTCTTAATCACTCATTCTAATTCCTAATTCAAGAGCAGGAAGTCTCTCTTTTTAAAGTATAGTTCTGGAGACTGAATCACAGGAGTCAGAGTTGTGAAGTGATAGCTTCTTGTCTACAGCTGACTGACCTTCATATTTTTCCTCCAGTGCAGAATAATATAACAAATTTACCCGAAGAAATTCTTAGATTAGAAGTCAGCAAACCATGGCCCTTGGGCCAAAATCTAGCCCACTGCTTTTCTTTATAAATAATGTTTTACTGGGACACAGCCATTCTCCTTTATTTATATATTGTCTACAGCTACTTTTGCACTACAGTGACTGAGTTGAGCAGTTGTGACAGAGACCTTATGGCCCGCAAAACCTAATATATTTACTATCTGGCCTTTTATAGAAAAAGTTTGCTTATCCCTGTCCTAGATGAAAAATATGGGACACAGCTTGCAACATGGATTTTTATTATCAAAAAGAAGCTTCTTAGTAGGTCTACTCTAAGCCTAACGAAAACACTACACTTGATGTACGGAACTCAGGACACACTGTTCTAAACAGTTGATTTTTTATTCCTGTACTTTAAAGTCAAATCATTGAAAACTCAAACTTGAACTTAGATACTAAGATATTTTTACCAGTTTACTTTCTCCAGAGTGTACTCAAGTCATAAGATCAAATCATTCATTCTTTATTCCCACAGTCTCAGACTAGAAAGATTAATATTTTCCTGGTTGATTTAAATAATAAAAAATAAATGAAGAAAAGCAATTAACAGGTTAATATAAACCTTGGCTAGGCGCAGTAGCCTGTAATCCAAGTACTTTGGGAGGGTGAGGTGGGAGGATCATTTGAGCCCAGGAGTTCAAGATCAGCCTAGTCAACATGGTGAGGCCCAGTCTCTATGAAAAATTAAAAAATTAGCCAGGCATGGTGGTACACACCCGTAGTCCCAGCTACTCAGGAGGCTGAGGTGGGAAGATTGCTTGAGCCTGGGAAGTCAAGGCTGTAATGAGCCCT
Organism: Homo sapiens; assembly: GCF_000001405.40. NCBI lineage: Eukaryota > Metazoa > Chordata > Mammalia > Primates > Hominidae > Homo > Homo sapiens. The sequence goes on from NC_000014.9 coordinate 57,176,992, forward strand.
GGCCGTGCCACTGCATTCCAGCCTGGGTGACAGAGTGAGACTTCAACTTAAAAAAAACAAAAAACAAAAAAACTCCATTTCTTTGAAGGTGAAGATAAAATAATTGGGGAAATAAATAGTGATAAAATTGATTCTTCCTTAGAGGAAAAAAAAATACTGCTTTCGACTACTTTAAATAATTGCTCATTTAAATAGCATTTGGCTATGTAATAATGAGACAGTTTAATGGTTTCCAATCCATTCCAATCTCTCCTGGACACAAAATAATTTCAAAACATTCTCAATAAACAAAATGAAACACATCTTTACCTATGAACTTAAAGAGGGTAACAAGGAGGACTTCCTGAGGTTGAAGCATACTGGGGTTGAAGAAGCAAAGCTTGGGAAGTTACAAAAGCATGTGCTGGGCTCATGGCCATGAATAAAACCATCTCTGAAACTTTGGGCACATACAAAATCTGTCATCTTTTGAGTCCAATTTATGTTTGTTATTTTAACAAGGTATTTCTGTTTTTATTAATGCTAGACCATTGTTTGGATTACTTCTTTGTGTGGGGGAAGAGAAAAAAATGGTCAGCATCTCACCTATATAACTGACATGCTGCCTGACATTCATTGCTTCAAGGTACAGGTGGAAAAGGATTTGGGCTAATCAAAAGCAGTGACTCTTATCTCCACTGCTGTCTTGCTGTGTGATCTTGGACAAGCCATTTGCCTATTCTGTGCCTCAGGTTCCTCATCTGAAAAAAAGGAGATCATGAAAACCTCCCCAACCCACCATCATGTAAAGCTGCAACAAGAAAATGAGGTAGAGAATAAATTAAAGGTTTAATGAAAATTAGAACTTTTCTTTCAGAAGTATGTTACTTGTATTTGCAACTCAATTTAAAAATAACTTAAGCATTTTCTTACTTCTAGTTGTGCTAGCAGTCTAAATAGAGAAAGCCCTCATTAGTTCGAATATACCAGGATTGGCAATTGGGTCCTGTCTTCCCCCAGCTCTCATGCTCAGATGGGCCCGGGCAAAGTTCTTATGTTCCCTAGGATGAGGGTGAGGCCTCAGGGAAAAACTCTGGGAAGCAGGGACATAGAGAGTGGGACCCCACCTTCCAGGAGCCTCCCAGGCCAATCTCAGTACTGGCCAAAGAAAGGAGAGGCAATTATCTGGGAGAATTTTGGAATTGCTGTCATTGTCCTGTCAGTCCTAGACAGTCACCAGACCTAGAATTATTCCTATTGATAACATAAGCCAGAGTGAAAAAATCACCACAGGTGGTGCCAACCAAAGCTGGCAAAGGGATGGATTTAGATGGTTCATTTTTGGTACTCAGCAGCTAGTCGAACAAGCTTGCTCTGGCCCTTTTCTTGCAACCCTGTGACCCGTATTTTAGCCAATTTATTTTTTTCAGCCCCCACTTGTCACATTATAATGGGTAATGATGACAAAAGAAAGGCTTAAAATGGGGTAAAAGCCAGAGATCACTGTCTCTCTCCCTTAAATATTTGTTGGCGAGGAAATGAAAGAATCTAGCATTTTCACTTTACCATTAAAACTTTGATACAGGGCTTGTTACCACAGAGCAGAGTCTTGAGTTCATTATTAAATGAAGAGGGAAATCTTACTTAGTCTTGGACTTATCTCATAGAATCTTAGAGTTGAATAACATTCAGAAACTGCCTTTGAATTTGTGGGTCCTGAATATCTCTTTGTCTTATCAATTAGAACCTGAGAAACAATCTTTTAGGGCTCAAGAACGATAATAAAGTAAGAAAAGTGTTTTTCCTATGCTCCCTAATGTGACCAGTCAGATATTAATATCAGAGGGGTGATCATATGCAAAACAAGAAAACATACATTACTAGCTATTGCTAAAAAGTGCCATTTTACTCAGATCTCTAGCGCATTCTGAAAGCAGAAACTGACACAGAGCCCTACTTAGAGAGAGAATATGACCAGCAGTCCTTCAGATAGCCACTCCAGTGGGTAAAGAAAAAGTGATAGAAATGGAAATTTTAGCCTTCAGCACACTGGTACTATCCTCCTTCAGGCCACCAATATGCGTTATGATCAAAGGAAAGGCAATTTAAATTTGTTGGGCAGAATATTTTTTCCCAGCCTATGGGCAAGGCTGTTTTATTTGCTTGACCCTCTCTACTCCTAAAACTATTTATGGTCAGATATTACCAAACGTGTGAAGAGCCACAGAACAAAATTACATTTCTTTTAACCAAGGGTAGGGGAAATAAGTTAATTTCATGCTATTTCTTGAGGTCAGATAACAAAATGCACATTTACCCAGGAAGAGAAATCATAGGCTTTTCTTCCCAAAATTGTGAGTCCTGAAAGTAAAAGCAGCTGAACCCAGGAAGTTGATGAAACGACACTCTGAGAGAACCGCTCCTCAGATGGAGAATCCTATGGCAGCCAGTCAGGCTGCTTCCAGAGCACAGGGCATTGATCACAGCTCCTTCATTGGCCATTAGGGCTCTGGCAGGCAAGCTGCGTGTGGCTCTGTGCTGGATGTCCACTGCTGGGCCTCTGAAGGCTGCTGTGACAAGCCAACCCTTGGAGCCACCACACAGGACTGAGGGTCTTTGTGCACCTCTCGCCACATTTAAACATGATTCATTGTAAGAAAAAGGATGTGGTGAAAAGGTGGGATCAAATGGTTTGTGCCATTAAGAGGAAAGCAGACAACTGAGATGAGTACCAAGTGCTTTTGGGATATGGAGGAATTAATCCATGAACTTCAGAGCTGGAAGAGAGACCTGAGGGATCATGGAGTCAAACCCCTTTTTGCAATTGTGAGAACAAAGGTCCAGAGAGCTGCCTTGCCCACGATAGACAGCAAGCTGGTAGGAAGGCAGGACTAGAACACATGGCTCTGCACACAAGTCAGTCCTCTTTCTCCTAAGTTACATTGTCTCTAGTTCAGGGAGGTTAAAGTGGCTTTAAAAATAAAGGAAATGCTTTCCACGTGTATAACATTCTGATCAGAAATTAAACTCAACTAGGCAGGCTGTCCTGGTCTCTGTTCTTTACATGTCTAAACCTTGGAACTGAATCAAAATTATGACTCTATTGGTGGGAATGCCCAGGGCTGTTAATTATTAATATTCCTTACTGGGGGAAGAATTCAGCGATATTTCTCTTACCCGTTTTTGGTAATAAGAGAAATGTGGCTCTGTTCTGCCGGGCCCACAGGCAGCCAGACTGTATCTCCCTTGTTCCCTGAAAATCGCTGTTATCCTGTTCTTAAGGTGCCCAGATTTCGTATTGTTCAAACACACATGCTTTACGAACAATTTGTGCAGTTAACGCAATCATCACAGGGTCCTGAGATGACATACATCCTCAGCTTACGAAGATGATGGGATTAAGAGATTAAAGTAAAGACAGGCGTAGGAAATTATAAGAGTATCGATTGGGGAAGTGATAAATGTCCATGAAATCTTCACAACTTACGTTCTTCTGTCACAGCTTCAGCAGGTCCCTCTGTTCGGGGTCCCTGACTTCCCACAACAGGAATATAAACTGCTAAAGCCATCGTGGAAAACTGTATAGATATTCCTCAAAAAATTAAAAATAGAATTATCATGTGATCCAGCAATCCCAATGGACATTTACCCGAAAGATTTTAAATCAGTATGTGGAAGAGATGCCTGCATCCCATGTTCAGTGTAGCACTACTCACAACAGCCAAGTTATGGAATCAACCTAAGTGTCCATCAACAGATGAATGGTTAAAGAAAATGTGGCAGATATAGACAATGCAATGCTATTCAGCCTTAAAAAAGAGAAATGTTATCATTTGCAACAAAATAGATGAAATCGGAGAACATTATGCTAAATGAAAAGAGCCAGGCACAGAAAGCTAAATGCCACATGTTCTCACTTACACGTGGAGTCTAAAACAATCAAACTCATAGAAGCAGAGAGTAGAATGGTGGTTACCAGGGGTGAGGGGATGGGGGAAATGGGGAGCTGATGGTCAAAGGGTACAAAGCCTCAGTTAGATATGATGAATAAGTTCTTTTGAGATCTATTGCATAGTGTGGTGAACTTCAAAATTGCTGAGTAAATTTCAAATGTTCTCATCACAAAAGTAATAAGTATTTGAAGTGCTGGATATGTTACTTAGTTTCACTTAATGATTCCACATTGTATTCATAAATCACAACATCACTTTGTACTGCATAAATATATACAACTATAAATTAGATCCATTTATAATAAAAATAAATTAACTAACTTAAAAAAACATTTTTTTTGAAATACAGTCTCGCTCTGTCCCTCCCAGTTCAAGTTATTCTCCTGCCTCAGCTTCCCAAGTAGATGGGATTACAGGTGTGTGCCACCACTCCCAGCTAATTTTTGTATTTTTGGTAGAGACAGAGTTTCACCATGTTGGCCAGACTGGTCTCAAACTCCTGACCTCATGTGATCCGCCTGCCTCAGTCTCTCAAAGTGCTGGGATTACAGGCCTGAGCCACCATGCCTGGCCTAAAAAACAATTTATGACTCTAATCAAACCAGTCCTTTGTCACAGCCAACTATCTAGGTAAACAGGACCCACAGCTTCTTACTTCTTCTCTGGCATCCCAATCATCTTCCCACTCCTCAATGGATTCATTCGTGAACTACAGAATTCCAGACAATGCCTCATTTTACCCTCCTAATACTGTCTTCCTCTCCCTCTAATACCAACCAGGCTGAAAGTTTTGCCCCGGGATTCACTGGATTAAAAGAATCGAGGTAGACTCTAAGAAAAGACATAGTTTGCAAATTCAAGTAGTTTACAACTTTTTATCAGTATAGTAGACAGCAACCAATATATTTCAAATAAAGCTTAATTCCCCAAGGGGGTGACTATAATGAAGGTACCTGAGAGAACCCCCTGAAGGTCATCATCCCTACTTCTAAAGAACCAAAAGAAAACACAGGTGGCCACAGTTTCTAGATCAGTGCTTCTCAAACTTTAATAAGCATCAGCATCACCTGGACGGTTTGCTGAACACAGATAGCTGAGCCTTACCCTCATTGTTTGTAATTCAAGAGATCTGGGGTGGGGCCAGTGATTTATTTGCATTTCTAACACATTCTCTTGATGTTGGTGCTGATGTTGATGCTGATACTGCTTGGCCTGGGCATCATACTTTGAGAATCACTGCTGTTTCAGATCAACACTAGGAAAGCCTTGGAATGGGAAAATATAAACTCCTGTTTCCTCCTGAATTGTATTTACATGTCAGATTCCATCACGTAATATTGATGAACAACCGCAAATCCTAACAATAAAGCTCTTGCTTGAAGTTTGCTTTTGATTGATGCCTTGTAGACTCTCATATCCCCAGGGAGTTATATATCAAGAATGGGGTCCTTTAAGGGCTGAGAGATGAGTAGACTACAGCTAAGATGTTGATTCTAAGAGGAAACTCTGGTCCGACATCCTCAAAATCTACACAGCTCACTGTCTGATTATCACAAGCTAGAGTGACTTAATCTAGAACCCTACCTAAAGTGAGATCAACAAAACCCAGTAGCCCATACAAATCTGATGCCAGATTCTGGGGCAGAGCATCCAGTGGATGATGTTCCCAGAGGCTGGTGCCAATGACCCATGAGCTGTGACCTCAGGCAGGCTAGAGGATGATCTCAGTAATTCTGTTCTGAAATGCTGCATAGACCAGGAGCTGATGCCATAAAAATATCCCCAAATAGTCTAGCCTTTTTCATGTGCTTCTGAAGAACTTTAACAGTTCTTCCCCATGGGATGGGCCAATGAAGGGGGAGAAAAATCCCTTGCACAGCATGCTGTGGTTGACAGAGTAATTTTCATATGTGTTCTCATTCAATTCTTACAACTCTGTGAGTGGTAGTATTAGTATCATTCCCATTTTACAGATGAGGAAATGGAAATCCAATAAAGTTTGCCCAAGGTCAAAGAACCGAGATTCAAACCCAGGCCGCACAAGCTCGATGAATGATGCCACACTGCCTCTCAGAGGCCGAGGAACAGATGTACAACAGCAGCCCTGAGAAATGGTTCTGAACAAAAGTCAGGAGGGCAACCAATAAAACTCATTAAAATTCTTCATGCCAAGCAAAGTAACAAGACAACAGGGCAAGGGGCAAGCTGTTTGGCCAGCAAACGATAGAGAAGCAAACAAAAACAAGATATAACTGGAATGTTTTTTTTTTAAAAAAAAAAAAACAGACAGATGTTTACATAGTCATTTCACAATAACAGATTGAGACTTATTTCTCTGAGAGCACACTTAAAGGTTCTTACATAAACTATCCTGAGAGATCCTTAAGCAGAACACTCACCACTCTCCCAGAGGCATATTTTAATTCTCCATCTTGCTAATTTTTTTATTTTAGAGTTATCCAGGAAGAACAAGTGCTATAGGAACTAAAACTGCTTTAGTTGAAGGTGGTCAGCTTCCAGTGTTGGAAACTCAAAGAATAATTAAAAGAATTCTTATTGAGACAGATTTAAACATGTATTCATGGCTTGGAGCAGGGGGTCAGTCCTGTAATCCCAGCACTTTGGGAGGCTGAGGCAGGTGGACCACCTGAGGTCAGGAGTTTGAGACCAGCCTGGCCAACCTGGTGAAACCCCATCTCTACCAAAAATACAAAGATTAGCTGAGCATGGTGGTGGGTGCCTGTAATCCCAGCTATTCAGGAGGCTGAGGCAGGAGAATCACTTGAACCCAGGAGGCAGATGTTGCAGTGAGCCGAGATTGCACCATTGCACTCCAGCCTGGGCGACAGAATGAGACTCCCTCTCAAAAAAGAAAAAAAAATGTATTTATGAAGATGCACTTTTCTCATAAGCTGATTCTCCTCCTTGCTTCTTATCGCTATTATGTCCTGAGTCAGAGCCAGCCCTAGGCAAAACTGACAAATAAAAGTTTATTTTCAGCACTACCTCTCTTCCTAACCTCCACTTTCCCCATCTCCTATAAAAATCCCAGGTACTTCTTCCTACCTCCTTTTGGCTAAAGACTCAGTTTTCTTTCCTTCCCAATAAAAATCTGCCCTCCAGGAAGAATACGATGTTTTCCACACTCTAGACCAATGGATCCTAACTTTGGCTGCATATTAAAAATCACCTTAAAACAACAACAACAAAACAATGTCCAGGCTCCACCCTAAACTAGTTAAATCAGAATCTCTGACAGTGAAGCTCTAGCATCAGTATTTAAAAACAAACAAACAAAAACAACTCCTCTCCTCCAAGTGATTCTAACATGTAGCCAGGGTTGGAAATCACTATACATACATTCATGAGAAGGCTTATTATATTACTCTTTCCCAAAATATTTGTATTTTATATCATAACAAGCCTTAGTAGTGGGACATTTAGGCAGGCTACATGATCGACGAAGAAAAGAGGAAGAGTTAGAGAGAGAAGAGAAGACTCCTTTGTTGAAATTACTCCCTGCAGAGGTGGATGTCATCTTAATTAGTGAGCTTCATGGGTTCAGCAATGAGAAGGTCATTCAGACACCTGCATTTGGTTTAGAATCACTCTGTCTCATGGTTTCCCTTTCAGACACACCATCCTTTGACTGGTGTTCATGTTGGTGGCAAACAGATCCTTCAGTTATTTCTTTTTTCTCTCCATGATGACAGGTTTTTTTCCTTCTTAGGTCTGACCAAATCCCTGTCTATAACTTTCAGCATTCAGCTAAGGGAGCAAAGTGCCCTGATTTATTTAGCAGAGTAAATGCTTTGGAGATGCTTCCCAGGTCATTCTTTACAAAAGATGACCTGGGATGGCTGTCCTTTTCTTGACAAGCCTCATAGGATGGCAATTTGTTAGGATCACTGAGAAAGCAAGGTCTGGTTCTCAGTTTTGCAGGCTCTGAATCAGAGTTTTATTACTGCACCAGAGGGTGATCAGGCCCTCGTGAGCTGGCGCATACTAATCTACCACATAAATCATAACCCTGCCGTACTCAGTTTTACTGAGATCTTTGACTGTCAAATGGACTACTTCTCTTGGCCAGCCTAACACCTTAGCTTACAAAGTCAGGAGCTCTCTTTGTGAGAATAAGGATGGAGCAAAGGTACATATCAAAAAAGTGCCTCCACAAAATCTTCCAGAGGTCCCATCTAGAACTTCTAGGAAACCAGAGAATCCTACATTTTAGCTGTACTCACTGCACTCCCTTCTTCTTGCCTTTGAAACAGAGGTCTGCTTACTGAGAGTTAGGCTTCGAGAGTGGCAGAAAGAGCAATCCAAGAGGATACCTTCGTTGAAAGGAAATTGCCAAACAGAGTCAGTTATTCCATGTCTGATGCAGTCTCTTCAAACAGACCAGTGGTTCTTAAACTCTTCTGCACATTAGAATCACCTGGGAGCTTTCAAGAGTCCTGATACCTGGGCCACACCCCAAATCAATTGGATCAGAATCACCAGGGATGGGAGCCCGTGGCATCAATATCTTAGGGATGCTAAAAATACCACAGAAATGTGTTGCCCATGAACTCAGATTATGGTTTTTGCGGATTCGTTTTTAAACTACCACAGGTGATTCCAATAAAAAGCCAAATTTGTGAAACCACTGAATAGGTCTGTGCAAATGATTTGCATAGTCACAGTCAGATTCCATTCTCCCCCAGACAAGGCTGGAAATAAATCTTTACTGTCTTTTTCTATCTGCCATCCTAATTAGGGGGTTTCAAGGTAAGGAAGGTTTGTATTTATATTTATATGCCAGACACAGAAGAGGCCTGTATGTACTTTGTCTCCTTAGTTCTGGACACAGTCTTCTCATCCCGATTCATAGGACTGAGCTACTTTAAAGTACATGTGTCAACCACAACCCTCCAGTTCTCCTTAATCAGAAACTCTGAGATTGGATGCTGGGTATCTGAAGATTTTTTAAATTCCCCAAATGAGCTGATTCAAAACTAGGGCTAAGAATCTCTGAGCCAAGTAGATCACTGGCATTTGAGACATTTTGTGGCACTTGTCATAATATCATTCTTTATTCAAGGCCAGATTATAGGGTGGTTCAATCAGACAAATACCTGTGGCACTTATATATTAGAAATGCTCAAACAAACAAACAAACCAAAACAAAACAAAAACAAAAACCATGGAAATATATTGTCAGTGAACTCAGTTCTTTGTCTATGCATCCTAACACAAAGGACAAAATATAACATGGTTCCATTTCTACTAAAGTAGATCACCTTTCAGAAGAGATTAAAATGGAGAAGGGAAAAGAAAAGAAAACAGGCCGGGCGCGGTGGCTCACGCCTGTAATCCCAGCACTTTGGGAGGCCGAGGCGGGTGGATCACGAGGTCAGGAGACTGAGACCATCCTGGCTAACACGGTGAAACCCCGTCTCTACTAAAAATATCAAAAAATTAGCCGGGCGTGGTGGCGGGCGCCTGTAGTCCCAGCTACTCGGGAGGCTGAGGCAGGAGAATGGTGTGAACCCGGGAGGCGGAGCTTGCAGTGAGACGAGATCGCACCACTGCGCTCTAGCCTGGGCGACAGAGCAAGACTGCGTCTCAAAAAATAAAAATAAATAAATAAAAACAAAACAAAACAAAGCAAGACAAAACATCCTTGCCAGTATTGATCACTCCTCACTAAACAAATGTTGAACCATGATTTTCAACACACTTGGTGCTTGCATATCTCAATCCAGCCCTAATACCATGTCTTATTTTCAATGATGGTATTTGGATTGGTCATTCTGAGGGAGACCGTATGATAAAATAACAAAGCCAATAGCATTGCCATTTATTGAGCACTTGCTGTGCACCTGGTGGTAGGTGCTTACTGTAACTTCTTACTTACCATAGCTTCTTTCATAGAGGGGAAGCATTCATCCACTCATTCATTCAAGTATTGACTGCCTCCTATAGAAAAAGGCAGTAGATTATTTAATATTGCCAAGTACATAGGCTTTGGAATGAGACAGCATGGGTTTGATGCCTGCGCTGTGAGCTATTGGTTGTTACCTCTTCTGTAAAATATGGATAGCAGTAAGATTACCATAAATGAGTGACTCATTAAAGCACTGAATGCAATGTCTGATAACTATTCAGTAAAAGTAATAACATCAGAGATGGTCATTGCTCCTATGTGTACTATGTGCTAGACACATGCTGGGTGGTGGGTACCCTTATCTCATGAGCAAATTCAACCATCCGTTTGTTTATTCATCTATTTTAGTAAGTCATTCAGTCAACAAACCATTTTTTAATGCTGTGCTAGACTGTGAGAGCTCACTAGACTACAGGTAAGGAGCAGACAGACAGTAAACAAATCATGGAAACTAGAGGTGATGAGAGCTGCGTGGACGGGTGTGTGTGTGTGTGTGTGTGTGTGTGTGTGTGTCTGTGTGTGTGTAGTGCCCTGGCAGTGGAGAGGAAGGGGCCAGGACCTTGGGGAGGAGGCAGTAGCCAAAAGCTTCATGGAGACACTTGAGCAGTTTCTGGAAGG